>NC_000011.10:60888710-61191740 GCF_000001405.40 Homo sapiens | reverse complement strand
CAGTGAGTTCTAATCCATTATTGCCATTTATTTTCATGCTTAAATTGCCCAGTATTCTTTAAACACATTCCAGCATTCTTTGTGTTTCTTGGTGTTATGGGTTGAACTGTGTCCTCCCTAAAATTCATACGTTGAAGTCCGTGTAGAAAGTAAAAAGTTCCTCTTCAACGTTTCCCTTCTTGTTAAAGATTAAATCATAAGTGTTAAAAATAACAGTTTCTTTTAAAAACTAAGTTCCTTCAAGCCTCCTTACTTTATGCAAATAACTTTGTTGGGCCCTATCCTACGTAGCTGTTAAACGTGCTCATAGGCTTGTAGTACATTCTACGTCCTTGTACCTTAACCAATATATTTGTGCTGGACACGCTCACAGTCACGTTCCAGCTCGCAGCCTATGCCCCTTCCCTATTTGGCATAAGCAACTTCCTCTTTTCCTTTATTTTTCCATTACTTTTACCTATTTAGAAAAGTTTTAAACTGTTAGCCAATCGAGTTTTAGTTTAGATTGTGAGGTCTGGCTCCAGCCAATGAAGACAGGACACAGTAGCAGGGACCAACTGCATAAAGGATAAAAATTGCTTCCCTCCTTTGTTCAGGTGTGTTCTCACCATTGTTGCATCTGCGACGAGCACCCTTTCTGCAGAAAGTAAAAATGGCCTTGCTGAGAGAATTACATTTATGTTCAAGTACCATTTCTTTGCAGAACTGGGGAACAAGCATTCTGTTTCTAAATAAACATTTTTACATATAACAGTCCTGCCCCCCAGTACCTCAGAATGTGACTGTATTTGGAGACAGGGCCTTTAAAGAGGTGATTAAGGTTAAATGAGGGCTGGGTGCGGTGGCTTACACCTGTAATCCCCAGAACTTTGGGAGGCCGAGGCAGGCGGATCACCTGAGGTCAGGCATTCGAGACCAGCCCGGCCAACATGGTGAAACCCTGTCTCTACTAATAATACAAAAATTAGCCAGGTGTGGTGGCGGGCATCTGTAATCCCAGCTACTGGGGAGGCTGAGGCAGGAGAATCACTTGAACCTGGGAGGTGGAGGTTGCAGTGAGCCGAGATTGAGCCACTGCACTCCAGCCTGGGTAGCAGAGCAAGACTCCATCTCAAAAACAAACAAACAAACAAAACCATTAAATGAGGTCATCAGGGTGGGCCCTAATCCAACGTAAGTGGTGTCCTTATAAGAGGAGGAGATTAAGACACAAACACACACAAAGACCGTGTGAAGACACTGGAAGAAGACCGCCATTTACTAGCAAGGAAGGAAGCCTCGGAAGGAACAACCCTACCAACACCTTGAGCTTGGGCTTCTAGACCCCAGAATTGTGAGAACACAGATTTCTGTTTTTTTTTTTTTTTTGGTGTTGTGTTTTGTTTTGTTTGAGACAGAGTCTTATTCTGTTGCCCAGGCTGAGTGCAGTGGTGCAATCATGGCTCACCATAGCCTCAGCCTCCCAGGCTCAAACAACCCTCTCACCTCAGCCACCTGAGTAGCTGGGACTACAGGTATGCACCACCATGCTTGGCTAATTTTTGATTTTCTGTAGAGATGGGGTCTCACTATGTTGCCCAGGCTGGTCTCGAACTCCTGGATGCAAGCAGTCCTCCTGCCTCAGCCTCCCAATGCTGGGATTACAGGCATGAGCCACCGTGCCCAGCGATTTCTGTTGTTTAAGCCACCGTGTCTGTAGCATTTGTTGTGGCAGCCTGAGCAAACTCATCCAGGCGGCAATGTCCACGCTTCCTGCTTTTGCAGAGTTGCACTCAGCGTGCACCTATGACGTTGGGTTTTCTTAACATTGAGTTCACATGATGTTCATTCCAAAAGTATTTATTAAGCAGCTATTATTTTAGGCACAGAGGATTCATCAAGAAACAGGACAGACCCAAATCTTTGCCCTCATGAGTTTACACACCAGGGAAGGAGACAGATAACCAACAAGATAAATAAGCAAATTATAGCGTGTGATTCTGTGAAGCCAGAAAGAAACTACAGTAAGGAAGAAGATGGGGAGTGTCAGGACGGTTGACATTTTAGACAGAGGGACCACAGAGGGCCCCACCCTGGAGGGGGCGTGTGAGTGGAGACTGGAAGGAGGTGAGGGAGGGAGAGTGCTTGTTACTCATGATTTGAGCTGTGCTTTTCTTTTCTTTCTTTTTATAGGCAAGTCAACTTTATTTTTTTGGTTTGCATTTTATCCTTTCCATTGTTTATCCATTACGTATCTACATACTTTTTTTTTTTGAGACAGAGTTTCGCTCTTGTCGCCTAGGCTGGAGTACAATGGTGCGATCTCAGCTCACTGCAACCCCCACCTCCCGGGTTCAAGCAATTCTCCTGCCTCAGCCTCTGGAGTAGCTGGGATTACAGGCTTCCGCCACCATACCCAGCTAATTTTTGTATTATTAGTAGAGACGGGGTTTTGCCATGTTGGCCAGGCTGGTCTCGAACTCCTAACCTCAGGCAATCCACCTGCCTTGGCATCCCAAAGTGCTGGGATTACAGGCGTGAGCCACTGTGCCCGGCTACGTTCTTATTATTAGATCTTGCTGGGTGCAGTGGCTCACTCCTGTAATCCCAGCACTTTGAGAGGCCAAGGTGGGAGGATTGCTTAAGCCCAGGAGTTCTAGACCAACTTGGGACACATAGCGAGACCCCCATCTCTACAAAAAATTTAAAAATTAATGGGGCATGGTGGTGTGTGCCTGTAGTTCCAGGTTCTTGGGAGGCTGAGGTGGAAGGGTGGCTTGAGTCCAGGAGGTTGTGGCTGCAGTGAACCGTGCAACTGCACTGCAGCCTGGGCAACAAGTGAGACCCTGTCTCAACAAGAAACAAATTTAAAAACTTTAAAAAGTAAATGAACAGGCCTTAAAGTAAAACATTGTCTACCTGGGAAATATTTTTAAATAGCCAAATATATGTGTCTAACCATTGGAAACATTTAAAAGTCATAATATTTATTTAGAAGATAATATTAATTGTAGACTTTCTTTAGGAAATATATTTATTGTAAAACTGTATTCTATAGTTCATATAACCTTTGTAATAAAAACTCAGGCAGCTAATTTTTCATTGCATTCTGTTCTGCACAAACATTTTTGCAATATATCAAAATTGTGTATTTGTAAAAATGGTCTGTGCTTTTCTTTAGACAGATGGGCAGATGTAGTCCACGCTCATCACTTTAAGAGCAAGGAGCAGGCCGGGAATGGTGGCTCACACCTGTAATCCCAGCACTTTGGGAGGCCAAGGCAGGCTTATCACGAGGTCAGGAGTTTGAGACCAACCTGGCCAACATAGTGAAACCCCATCTCTATTAAAAATACAAAAAATTAGCTGGGCATGGTGGTGGGTGCCTGTAATCCCAGCTACTTGGGAGGCTGAGGCAGGAGAGTCGCTTAAACCTGGGAGGCAGAGGTTGCAATGAGCTGAGATGGAGATCACGCCACTGCACTCCAGCCCAGGCGACAGTGCAAGACTCCGTCTCAAAAAAACAAAACAAAACAAAAAAACAAAAATTAGCCAGGCATGGTGGTGCGTGCCTGTAGTCCCAACTACTTAGGAGGCTGAGGCAGAAGAATCTCCTGAACACGGGAGCCAGAGGTTGCAGTGAGCCGAGATCGCGGACTGCACTCCGGCCTAGGCGACACAGCAAGGCCCTGTCTCAAAAAAAATAAATAAACAAAAGAAAAAGAGCCAGGAGCAGATTCTTTCCTATTGATAATTTCCCTGCTCTTAGAATCTGGGGTGCCTTCCATCTTTCACTGGTAATAGAGTCCCTGGGAAAATCTTTGTAGCTAATATATATTTTATAACTAATAATAATAAACATATATTTACTTATGTGAGATGTATTTCTCAAAATGGGATTCGCAGGTCTAAAGGTAGGAGAGTTCATATTACAGTGGTTTCATGTCGCTAAGTAACTGTTTAAGTAGATGGAACCAATGGGCGGGTCTAAGACCACCACATGTATGCATGTAATATCCGCCTTGGCCACTAGGCGTCAGTCCTCCACTGACAGTAGGCTTCCTGATGGCCTTTTTTCTCTGGGGAATAATTCACTCCAGCAGGAACCCAGGCAACCCCAGCAAAGATATAGCCTCCTCTCTATTGGGGGTCTTTCCCTCTCTTTTATAGAATAATGCTTAGCTTTCCCACCATCTTAAAAGCAATCACGGAAGAAACTCAGAAAAGTATAAGGAGAGAAAAAAATTGTCCATACAGTTGCCTTTTGGATAGAATGAGTGTTAAATCCTTTGGCTAACTGTTAACCTTTTGGTCTTTGTCTGGTGTTTAAAATAGAAATAGCTCGGCTGGGCGCAGTGGCTCACGCCTGTAATCCCAGCACTTCGGGAGGCTGAGGCGGGCGAATCACGAGGTCAGGAGATGGAGACCATCCTGGCTAACACGGTGAAACCCTGTCTCTACTAAAAAATATAAAAAATTAGCCGGGCGTGGTGGTGGCCGCCTGTAGTCCCAGCTACTCGGGAGGCTGAGGCAGGAGAATGGCGTGAACCCGGGAGGCGGAGCTTGCAGTGAGCCAAGATCGAGCCACTGCACTCCAGCCTGGGCGACAGAGCGAGACTCCGCTTCAAAATAAATAAATAAATAAAATAAAATAGAAATAGCTCATGCTACGAGGTGACAGGCATGTTCTAAATGTTTTATATGTTAAATTCATTGAGTCCTCACTGTAGTCCTAGAAGGCAGAAACTGTTCTTCCCTGTGATTTTTTGTTGTTGTTTATAAAGTTTAACAGCTTTATTGAGGTGTGTCTCGCATATCATAAATTTGCCCATCTGAAGTGTACAGTTCAGTGGTCTTTTTCATGTTTACGGAGTTGTAAAAGCATCACCGTGATTTAATCTCAGAACATTTCCAGTACCCCAGGAAGAAACCCACATGCATTAGCATACCTACTCTTGCCCTTACCCATGACTAGAAGGGACTATTCTTATCCCAAGTTTACAGATTAGGACGCTGAGGCCCAGAAACAAACTTTTCCAAGGTCACGTGACTCGTACATATCAGTGCTGGGGTTTGAACTCGGGCAGAAAGGCTCTGGGCCCCGCATGCCTGGCTACTTGCAGACATCATGATCCTTTGCTCCTAAATCTTTAGTGTGTGTCTCCAAGGACATTTGCTTACATGGGCAATGTCACACTGTTCACATGCAGAAAGTCTAACATTGATGTGCGCTCAGCAAGACTGGGGTCATGTGACTTAAGATGGCTGCAGAAAAAAACAAATTAAAAATATTTTTTAGGAAAGGTCAGGTGTGGTGACTCACACTCGTAATCCCAGCACTTTGGGAGGCTGAGGCAGAACGATTGCTTGAGCCTATGAGTTCAAGACCAGCCTGGGCAACATGATGAGACATCGTTTCTACAAAAAAAATCACAAAAAAATTAGCCAGACGTGGTGGCACGTGCCTGTAGGCCCAGCTACTCCGGAGGGTGAGATAGAACTGCTTGAACCCAGGAGATTGATGCTGCAGTGAGCTGTAATCATGCCACTGCGTTTCAGCCTGGGCAACGGAGTGAGACCCTGTCTCAAAAAAATAAAAACATAAATAAAAGAATAAAAAAAAGGCCGGGTGTAGTGGCTCACGCCTGTAATCCCAGCACTTTCGGAGGCCAAGGCAGGAGGATAACTTGAGCTCAGGAGTTTGAGACCAGCCTTGGCAACATATTGAGACCCTGTTACTCTAAAAAAAAAAAAAATTTTTTTTTAAAGAAAAGAAGAAACAAAAAAGATAAAAAACCAAAAAGATGGCTGCATGATTGTCTACCTATGCTGGGGCACTCTGCTTAACAGACACTGGGAGGCTCCGGATTTTCCCTTGTGTAAGAGACTCTGAAGATTACATCCCTGCTCATATATGTTTCTGGGCATTTCTGACCATTGAGTTAGCCTAAATCCTGAAAGCAAAATTGCTGGGACAAAGACCACACTTTTTATTTTTTTTATTTTTTTGAGACGGAGTTTTGTTCTTGTTGCCCAGGCTGGAGTGCAGCGGTGCGACCTCGGCTCACCACAACCTCCGCCTCCTGGGTTCAAGCGATTCTCCTGCCTCAGCCTCCCGAGTAGCTGAGATTACAGGCATGCACCACCCAGGCCTGGCTAATTTTGTATTTTTAGTAGAGATGGGGTTTCTTGACGTTGGTCAGGCTGGTCTTGAACTCCCCACCTCAGGTGATCCACCCGCTTTGGCCTCCCAAAGTGCTGGGATTACAGGCGTGAGCCACCGCGCCCGGCCTGGCCATACACATTTTAAGAACAAATCAACTCCAAAAAGGCTGTATCAATTTACACTCACAAGAAGTGTCCAAAAGCTGTCTTTTAAAAAAAAAGTGTTTTATTTCTTAATATGCTTTAATGCTTTTTTCACTTTCCCCAAATTATAAACTGTAGGCTAATGACACCACCTAGAACTAAGGACGTTTACTCAACACAATCTACTGATAGACGTTATAGTCACTCGCTGTAATTTCTTCTCACTTCTTAAGAAACAGCATAAAAATAATGAGAAGAATAGGCTGAGATTCTTTTCAGAAGATTAGAAATGAATCCCAGGCAATGTTCATGAATAATAAAAAGCCTCCCAAGCTTAAGGACTCTGATGCAAAACCGGAATTGGGAATGATATACTCAGTTATCTTTTCGAGCTTCCATACAACACAGAGATCCTACAATCCAAAAACGTTTTAAAGAGAGACATTTTTAATTTTGATAAGAACCATCTTTTTCTCCACATTCTCTCTCAACAAAGTTTATGAATCTCTTTGGTCTGCAGTTGGTAAAGGATAAAAGTGGAGGGGGCAGAATTCTGCTTTGTTATTTACATTTATTTTATTTTATTTTTCTTAGAGACAGGGTCTTGCTGTGTTGCCCAAGCTGGAGTGCAGTGGCATGATCACAGCTCACTGCAGCCTCAATCTCCTGGGCTCAAGCGATCCCTCCCACCTCCGCCTCCCCAAATGCTAGGATCCCTCCCACCTCCGCCTCCCCAAATACAGGCATGCACCACCATGCCTGGCCAGGGTTTTGCCTTGAAGATCAGAATTCATCCTCATGCTGTGGGCACAGGTTACAAATATAGAACCTCAAAAAGAGTTTTATTTATTTATTTATTTATTTTATTATTATTATTTTTTGAGACAGGGTCTCACTCTGTCTCCCGGTCTAGAGGGCCATGGTGGGATCTCGGCTTACTGCAACCTCCGCCTTCTGGGTTCAAGTGACTCTCATGCCTCAGCCTCCCAAGTAGCTGGATTACAGGTGTGCACTACCATGCCCAGCTGATTTTTTGTATATTTAGTAGGGACTGGGTTTCAATGTGTTGGTCAGGCTGGTCTCGAACTCCTGGCCTCAAGTGATTCGCCTGCCTTGACCTCCAACAGTGCTGGGATTACAGGCATGAGCCCTGCCTCCAAAAGAGTTTAACTCCCTCCCTCTCACCGCTGCACTTGATGAGTCTTTAAAAAAAAAGTTTGAATCATTAATAGACACCAGCTCCAGCCTGTGGCGTGGAAATCTTCCCCTGGCTCCCTGAAGACAAAGACAGACATTTAAGGGTGCAAACCCTGACCAGCACGCTGTCACCTCTCAATAATACAAAAATTAGCCAGGCGTGGTAGTGCACACCTGAAATCCCAGTTACTCGGGAGGCTGAGGCAGGGGAATCACTTGAATCTGGGAGGTGGAGGTTGCAGTGAGCTGAGATCACGCCATTGCACTCCAGCCTGGGCAAGACTCTATCTCAAAAAAAAAAAAGTGTGATTGAACAAAAAGGGAATGATCTAGTGTTGATAGACTGAGTGGAGAAGCCCAGAAATGCCCGTCTGTTGAGATTCTTCTTGGTCTCTCTGTGCAGCATTCCTTCCTCCAGGGTATGGGGCAGGACTCCTCTGAAGTGGAGTTTTATGACCTGCAGTCGGCCAGTCAGAGAATTTCTTTATGAACAGAGGCAGGGGAAGATTAGAATATATTTTTAGGTGCTAAGGCCTGCCTTAGAGAGAAAAAGGAGCAGGTGAAAAGAAGGCCGAAGGAGGTCAGGGAGAAAGATTCTGTTTTCTGGGGCCTGGTTAGAAGCCTAACACACTCCAACCTCATAACAAAAGACAGTAACAAGGGCTATGCGGGTTATGAGCCAGGAACTGTGGATGAAAACTGATGTGTGTTTATACATATACATATATATAAACACACATTTTATATATATACACATAAAATAAAAAGTCAAAAGTCTGGATATTTATGTGAAATCCCTGATCTTTAGCTGTTAGCAGCTAATTAATTTGTTTTTCAAGAAACATAGTGTGGGCCAAAACTTAAGCAACTGTGGGATGTGTAGGTTTTTATTTCTGGCCTAGAGTTGGGAGTAGAAAGGGGGCTAGAAAGGGAGGGTGTAGAGGGCTAGAAAGGGAGAGTAGAAAAGGGGTAGAAAGGGAGGGTGTTCAATTCATGTTTGTTGAATGAATAACACATGGAATGCATTGATTTTCCTTCCACTTGTAAAGAAAGACTACCAGGGTCAGATAAACCAACTGACTTACTGAGAACTCCCACTTGATGAGCACCCGCTGTAATTCCCCTGATAGGATCCAGGCTGGAAACATTTTGTCTGCCAAATAAAAAGAAATAATTAAAGTGTATTGCTAATCAAAAGAGACAAAAAAAGAACCACTAGGAGCTTCTGCTTGCCTGAGATGAGAAGAGCTACCTTCTTAAACTGGCATTATTCCAGGCGAAGGAAAGAAAATGGAATGGTGTGGCTCCTTCTGGGACTTCCAGGGCCCTCATGTTCCCATACAAGATCCAGATCCAGTCTGTGCCCATCTTGGGTAGAGCAATGCCAAGGCTGATCTGATCCCCAGGGTTGGGTTGCAAGTGACTTGGGGGCTCTGTATCTTTTTTTTTTTTTTTTCTGACACAGGGTCTACCTCTGTCACTCAGGCTGGAGTGAAGTGGCACAATCAATCTCTGCTCACTGCAACCTCTGCCTCCCTGGCTCAAGCAGTCCTCCCACCTCAACCTTCCTCGTAACTGGGACTACAGGCATGCGCCACCATGCCCAGCTAATTTTTGCATTTTCTTTTGTAGAGACAGGCTTTTGCCATGTTGTTCAGCCTGGTCTTGAACTGGGCTCAAGTTATCCTCCTGCCTTGGCCTCCCAAAGTGCTGAGATTACAGGGATAAGCCACAGCGCCTGGCTGGGGTTCTGTGTCAGTTTTACCCCTACTGCCCAAATTTGTCAACATGGGATATCACAGGACATCAGCTTATTAGTAGACGTAGGGAAACTATAATCAATACTTATGTTAATTTTTTCTATATGAACTATATTTTGGGTAATCACAAATAGTTGACTAAAAAGTTTTTTTTCAAACATCAGTTTAAGGAATAAGGAAAAAAAGTTGTTTTATTAAAAAATTCCTGGCTGCGTGTGGCGGCTCACACCTGTAATCCCAGCACTTTGGAAGGCTGAAGTGGGTGAATCACTTGAGGCCAGGAGTTCGAGACCAGCATGGCCAATATGGCAAAACCCTGTCTCTACTAAAAATATAAAAATTAGCTGGGCATGGTGGCGCATGCCAGTGATCCCAGCTACTCAGGAGGCTGAGGCTGGAGAATCGCTTGAGGCCGGGAGGCAGAGGTTACAGTGAGCCAAGATTGTGCCATTGCATTCCAGCCTGGGTGACAGAGCAAGACTTTTTCTCAAAAAAAAAAAAAAAAAAAAAAAAAAAAAAAGCAAGGGGGACCTATAGCGATGGCAACTCTTGCTCTAACTGGTTCCTCTCTGCCTCTCTGCAAAGGTTACAAGGTTAACAGAGTCTCCTCTTTTATTAAAAACCCAATAATCCTGGCCAGGCATGATGACTTACACCTGTAATCCCAACACTTTGGGAAGTCAAGACAAGAGGATGGCTTGAACCTGGGAGGTTGAGGATGCAGTGAGCTATGATGGTGCCACTGCTCTTCAGCCTGTGTGACAGAGCGAGGCCCTGTCTCAAAATAAATAAATAAATAAATAAATAAATAAATAATAAATTCCAATGATTAAATTCAGAAGGAATGGTAGAATTTGGAACTCATTGTTTTGCAACTTCTAATGAAACAATGGATCTAGGGCAAAAATCATCAACAGATGCCAAAACCGTAAGGTGGAAGGTTGAAGGGTAAGTTCAGGATTGGATGGATTAGGTTGATAACACCAGGACCCGCGGATTAATCTAGCATCTGTAAGAGTGAGACAGTCAGAAATTATGTGCTTCTTTATGTGATACAATAGGGAATATATGGAACTACCTAAGAAGTATTTTAATTAAAATTTTGAATTCAAGTCTAGATCTCATGACCAGGCATAGGAAATAATGTAGGTAAAGGAACAAAAAAACAATCATTCAAATCCCATACGTGGGACATCCTGTAGGACAAATGACCTCTCCATGCTCCCCCTACTTAAAAAAACAGACTTTACTTTTTAGAGCAGTTTTAGCTTCACTGCAAAATTGAGCAGAAGGTACAGAGATTTCCCATATATCCATGCCACCCCACCTCACATGCACAGCCTCTCCATTATTAATATCTTGCCCCAGAGTGGTACATTTGTTACAATTGATTAACCTACGATGATGCTTCATTATTACCCCAAGTCCATGGTTTACGTTAAGATTCACTCTTGGCATTGAACATTCTATGGGTTTGGACAAATGTGTGATAGGTACCCACCATTATGATATTATACAGAAGGCCGGGCATGGTGGCTCATGCCTGTAATCCCAGCACTTTGGGAGGCCGAGGCAGGTGGATCACCTGAGGTCAGGAGTTCAAGACCAGCCTGACCAACATGGTGAAACCGCATCTCTCCTAAAAATACAAAAATTAGCCATGCATGGTGGTGGATGCCTGTAATCTCAGCTACTCGGGAGGCTGAGGCATGAGAATCGCTTGAACTGGAGAGGCAGAGGTTGCAGTGAGCCAAGACTGCGCCATTGCACTCCAGCCTGGGCAACAAGAGTAAAACTCCATCTCATACACACACATGCACACAAAATAAAGAACAGCTTCACTACTCTGTGCTCTGCCTATTCATCCTTCCCTCCCACCAGCCCCTGGTTACCACTGATTGTTTTACTGTCTCCATAGTTTTGTCTTTTCCAGAATGTCATATAGTTGAAATCATACAGTATATGGCCTTTTAAGATGGGCTTCTTAGCCAACTCATTTTCAACAAAGGCACCAAGAACATACAATGGGGAAAGGACAGTCTCTTCAGTAAATGCTACTGGGGGTGCTGGGCACAGTGGCTCACGCCTATAGTCCCAGCACTTTGGGAGGCCGAGGCGGTGGATCACATGAGGCCAGGAGTTCAAGACCAATCTGGCCGACATGGCAAAACCCCATCTCTACTACTTGGGAGACTGAGGCACAAGAATTGCTTGAACTCGGGAGGTGGAGGTTGCCGTGAGCTGAGATCAGTCATGCCATTGCACTCCAGCCTGGGTGAGAGAGCAAGACTCTGTCTTAAAAAAAAAAATGGCCTGGCACGGTAGCTTACTCCTGCAATCCCAGCACTTTGAGAGGCCGAGTGCTGGGATTACCTGAGATCAGGAGTTTGAGACCAGTCTGGCCAACATGGTGAAACCCTGTCTCTACTAAAAATACAAAAGTTAGCCAGGTGTGGTGGCAGACACCTGTAATCCCAGCTACTCAGGAGGCTGAGGCAGGAGGCTCGCTTCAACCCAGGAGGCGGAGGTAGCAGTGAGCCGAGCTTGCACCATTGCACTGCAGGTACTGGGAAAACTGGGTATGCTATGCAGAACAATGATGAAACTAGATCATGCAAAAAGTTCAAATCAAAATGGATTAAATACTTAAATGTAAGTCCTGAAACTATGAAACTACTAGAAGAAAACATTGGGGAAATGCTTCAGGACATTGGTCTGGGCAAAGATTTCTTGGATAAGACCTTAAAAACACAGGCAAACAAAGCAAAAATTAACAAATGGGATGTAAATCAAGCCAAAAGGTTGTGCACAGCAAAGAAAACAATCAACAAGGTGAAGAGACAACCCACAGAATGGGAGAAAATATTTACAAACTATTCATCCAACAAGGGAATAACAACCAGGAATATATAAAGAACTCAAACAACTTAATAGCAAAGAAACAAATAATTTGATTAAAAATGGGCAAAAGATCTGAATAGACACTTCTCAAAGGAGGATACAAATGGACAACGGGTGGAGAAAAAAAGACTCAACATTCGTAATGATCAGGGAAATGCCAATTAAAATCACAGTGAGTTATCATCTCACCCCAGTTAAATAGCTGTCATCAAAAAGACAGAAGATAACAGATGCTGGTGAGGAGACCAAGAAAGAGGAATGCTCATTCACTGTTGGTGGAAATTTAAATGAGTACAGCCTCTGTGGAAAACAGAATGCAGATTTTTCAAAAAACTAAAGATAGAACTATCATATGATCCAGCAATCCCACTGCTGGGTATATATATCCGAAAGAAAGGAAATTAGTCGGCCGGGCACGGTGGCTCACGCCTGTAATCCCAGCACTTTGGAGTCTGAGGTGGGTGGATCACCTGAGGTTGGGAGTTCGAGATCAGCCTGACCAACATGGAGAAACCCCGTCTCTACTAATAATACAAAAAAAATTAGCCGGGCATGGTGGCACATGCCTGTAGTCCCAGCTGCTCAGGAGGCCGAGGCAGGAGAATTGCTTGAACCCGGGAGGTGGAGGTTGCCATGAGCCGAGATCGTGCCATTGCACTCCAGCCTAGGCAACAAGAGCAAAACTCCGTCTAAAAAAAAAAAAAAAAGAAAAAGAAAGAAAGGAAATTAGTCTATTGACGAGATATCTGCACTCCTGTTTTTATCGCAGCACTATTCGCAGCAGCCAAGCTAGATAGACTAATTACCCAGATTTGATCATTACGCACTGCATACTTGAAATCAAAATATCCCGTGTACCCCATAAATGTGTACAACTATTATGTATTCACATATACATTTTTAAGACTGGCTTTTTTCACTTAGTGATATGCACTTAAGTTTCCTCCTTTTCATGGCTTGGTAGCTCATTTCTTTCTTTTTTTAATTTTTATTTTCGTTTTTATTTTTTGAGACAGGGTCTCATTCTGTTGCCCAGGCTGGAGTGCAATGGTACCATCTTGGCTCACTGCAACCTCTGCCTCCGAGGCTCAAGCCATCCTCCCACTTCAGTCTCCCAAGTAGCTGGGACTACAGGTACACACCAGTATGCCTAGCTAATTTTTCTCTATATATATTTTTTGTAGAGATGGGGTTTCGCCATGTTGCCCAGGCTGGTCTTGAACTCCTGAGCTTGATGGATCCACCTGACTCGGTCTCCCAAAGTGCTGGGATTACAGGTGTGAGCCACCGTGCCCAGCCGATTGCTCATTTCTTTTTAGTGCTTAATAATAATCCATTGTCTGGATGGAGTACAGTTTATCTTCTTATTCACTCACTGAAGGGCATCTTAGTTTCTTCCAAGCTTTGACAATTATAAAGCTGCTATAAATAGTCATATGCAGGTTTTCGTGTGGGTATAAATTTTCAACTCCTCTGAGTAAATCCAAGCAGTGTGACTGATGGGTAATATGGCAAGAGTATGTTTAATTTTATAACAAACTGCCAAGCTGTCTTTTAAAGTGTCTGTGCCATTTTGCATTCCTACCAGCAACGAATGAGAGTTTCTGTTGCTCCACATTCTCACCAGGATTTGGTGTTCTCAGTGTTCTGGATTTTGGCCATTCTAACAGGCCCATACACTTACTTTATAAATAAATTAATGGCATATAAAGGGGGACTGCTATCTACTAAAAGTCTTTTTTTTTTTTTGAGATGGAGTTTCGCTCTTGTTGCCCAGGCTGGAGTGCAGTGGTGCAATCTTGGCTCACTGCAACCTCCGCCTCCTGGGTTCAAGCGATGCTCCTGCCTCAGCCTCCCAAGTAGCTGGGATTACTGGTGCCTGCCACCACGCCTGGCTAATTTTTGTATTTTCAGTAGAGATGGGTTTTACCATGTTGGCCAGGCTGGTCTCAAACTCCTGACCTTGTGGTCTGCCCGCCTCAGCCTCCCAAAGTGCTTGGATTACAGGTGTAAGCCACCGCGCCCAGCCCATTAAAAGTCTTAAGAAACAGCCACCAAATGCAACACATGCGGATAACCTCAAGATCTTGATCCTGGATCTGAATATATCAACTGTTAAAAGGCATTTTTGAGAGAATCAAATAAATTTGAACATGGACTGGTTATTAGGTGATATTAAAATTGGTAATTAAAAGAAAAGTTGGTAGTTTTGTTTGGAATAAGAGAGCATTGCCGCTATAAATATATATATTTGAATATATATATTAATTACAGCTGTGTATATATATATATATATATAATATGACCCTTATCTCCTAGAAATGTACAATAAAGTATTTACAGTGAAATGGTAAGCTGTATGCCTTAAAATATTACAGCAAATATAAATATATAAAGAATAAAATTTTTAAAAAGTAAGAGTGTCGCCAGGTGCGGTAGCTCATGCCTATAATCCCAGCACTTTGGGAGGCTGAGGCAGGTAGATTGCTTGAGGCCAGGAGTTTGAGACCAGCCTGGCCAACATGGTGAAACTCTGTCTCTACGAAAAATACAAAAATTATCTGGGTGTGTTGATGCATGCCTGTAATCCCAGCTACTCAGGAGGCTGAGGCATGAGAATCGCTTGAACCTGGGAGGCGGAGGCTGCAGTGAGCCGGGATCACGCCAGTCCACTCCAGCCTGGGCAACAAAGTGAGACAAAGAAAAAAAAAAGGGGGGAGTGTGTATATAAAACAAGGATTTGCAGAAACAGTGTAATTCTTGATGCTGAGTGATGGAATATGAGGTCCATGACACTATTCATTTTTACTTTTATGTTTGAACCTTTTTTGTAATAAGTTGAAAACATTTCCATTTTGAAGTTTCTGTCTTTAGTGGTATCCCAAGGGTCCCAAGCAAGGCCGACCTGGGTGGGCCCCACACTGGCTGAGTTGCTCCTGAGCCTCCCCTGCCCACGGCTCCGGCCCTCGTCCTGCTGTCTCCCACCACTACCCCTCGAGGTTGTCTGATCATCAGCTTGAGACTTTGAGGAGCCGTATCAGGGCCTGGAAGTGGAAAGGATGAGAACATTTTTAGAAACAACAAAATGGGGGTCTCCCTCCCTGGCTTTGTCTGCTTTAGTATCATCTGTAGGGAAGGGGCAGGGGCCCGGATAGGGAGGGAGCCAAAGACTGAAGCAGTGGAGGTGTTTTGAAGGGAAGGGAGGAGGGATTCATAACTAAATAACAGAGAGGAGGGCAGCTTGCACAGGATGCAAGACAGACTGGGATGGGAGAGAAGCCCAGGGGCGTGAACAGAGGGTCTGCAGAGCGGAACAAGATATTGGAAAAGGGCCTCCTGTGGCAGCGGGACATATGCAGTGAGTCAAGTTTAAACAGAGAACAGCCAGCTGTGGGGAGGAGAGAGCTAGGATTTCTGTGGTACCTACCAGCAGTCCAGTCGCACTTGGATCTTCTGGTCAAATGGTTCTGGAGGCTGCGTCCTTCCTGCTGGAATTCCTGCTCCAGACATGGAGGTGGTAGAGATGCTTACTGCTGGTGAGCCATGGGAACGAGGCCATATTCAGTGGCCCTTTTATTACTCTGTGGCCATTGGCATCATCTCAAGCTGGACAGCAAAATAGCAGGTCACCCAAAACATCTCTCCTTTTAAAATATTGTCCAATATATCTAACCTTTCTTGGCACGTCTTGGACCTAGAATTTTTTTTATTGTTATTCATTCCTTTAGTAAAGGTAATTCATCAGCCTGACTCGAGTTTCTGTTGAAGAATCCATGAGCTTCCCAGTTGGTAACTTCTGCCTTATGGCTGTCAGATCTCATCCCACAGAATCCAAGTGCTGGAATGTTCCATTGGGCAGGAGTGCAAAGGTCCTTTAGCTCCTGCATGTCAGTGACGTGGCACCTGGTCTACCATGCTCCATTCTGAGTCCAAGGCAGATATTGCCAGCGAACCACAGCACCCCCTACCACTGGATGTGGCCCCAGAATCCCGAGCAACATACAATCCCTTCAGCCACGTGTTCTAGCAACCAGCGTCGGCACTGGATTGGGAATGATTGCTATTCTTGGACAAGTCCAGTCTGTTATCCCGGAGATGGGGAAACTGAGAGCTGGGGTGTATAATTTACAGAAGGGATGCAAGGTAGGTTAGTGAAGTGCTGGGACCCGGGGCTTCTGGCTCTCAGGTAATCCTCTTCCCACCTGGGCATAGGCTTGGGGAGCTCTGAGAAGGGAAAGGTGAGAGAATGCTCAATTGCAGTCCCTGCTGCCAGCTTCCGTAGGTCACTTTCGGGGGTCTGCAGGTGCCAGAGCTGAAGTTCCTTCCTCTTTCTCCTTAAGTCCGGCTCCAGTTCTGTTGCCAGACCTGCCATCTTATGGCAGCAGGAAAGCAATATTGGAAGCTGCCAGACACAGTGGGGGCAGCCCCGGCTGGAGTGGCACCAGGAAGCAGGAGGCAGTGGTGCCGGTTAGTGCTTGACTTGTGCCCAGCTTGGCAGCCCCACAGCTTCCCCTCCTTGTTCATAACACACTGACCCTTGTAAGTTGGTGTGACACTGGCCTGTATTTAGAGTAAGGAACATCTTCTGGTCAGACTTCGACAATTGAAACCCAATGTTCTATTTCATCTTTAGGGGATTCTTGGCTGAGTTGGGAGGGTCAGACAAGGGTGCATTCAAGGACTTGTTGCCTCTCTGAGGCTCAAGAAAGACCTTGGAACTTTGAAGGCCCTGATGAGGGATGAACAACTGATGCTTTCTGGGGGCTTCACTGTATGGAGACAAAGAATGGAGCAAGGAAAACCCACCGGGAAAGCCTGGGCATTACTTGGGTCTCAACTGATTTCAAGTTGAATTCTAGCCACCAGACATCATGGTCAGGTGCTGATGCCCCATGGCCATCTTCCAAGAAGGAATGGAAGAACCAGACTCTGCCAAAGGAGCAGCCACCTTCGGGGGGCCCCTGTGATAGCACTGGGGGAGATTAGTCAAGAGCGTTTACTTTCCTCTTGGCCCTGTGGGTGTGCTGGGCGTTCCAGCAGGAGGACAAGCAAACCCCAGGGTTCCTGGTGGTGGCAGTGGCACCCACTGTGCCTCTTGGAGCTGGAGCTGGTGATGATAACCAGCTTATCTACATGGCCCTGGGCCCAGAGCAAACTCAGCTCTATTGACACCTCTTATTTTCCCGCCTCAGTTTGCACATAGCCCCAGGGCTTGCCATTCTGGGAAAGGGGTTGATAATTCATTGCTGGTAACTTGCTCCGAGTCAACAAATCAAGTGTGTGATGAGGTCATGGTGTGTAACTTGTGGCCTCGATGGCCTGGTTGACGATGGTGTGTTCAGGTGTGGACGGAAGACTGGAGATGGAAAAGTAGCCTTTTATTGAACTTGGTTACCTTGGGCCTTTGCAATTCCTGTTCTCCCTGTCCAGAAGGTTCTTCTCCCAGCTTTCTGCGTGGATGGCTATTCAGCCATCATCTCAATGTTCCCTCCTCAGTGATGCCTTCCATGGCCACTCTGGTCTCCCAGCTGTAGAGCCTGACTTGGAGGAGCCCTGGAGACACCTATTGAACGCCTTTTCCCATGTGCTCTTTGTGGGCGCCCTGTGAAGCTGATAATGTCTCCAATTTATAGATGAGGAAACTGAGGCTTAGAGGAGCTAAGTAACTTCCTCAAGGATTTATGGCAAGTAAGTGGTAGAGTCAAGATTTGAACTAGGTCTGTCTGACTACAAATTCTAGGCTCTTGGCCACTCTGCAGCTCATTAGTACTGGGCTTGGGAGGTCAGGAAATGAGGCAGAACAAAAGGAGGAGAGGACGGGTGGGAGGAGGAAGGGATAATTGAGGACAGGTCTCATCTATTAGGAAATATTCATTCTTTCAGTGAACACTTGAGGGTGCTCGAAGCCAAGTTCATAAATTGCTCGCTGTTTATGAATAGCCTTGCAGACAGGGCCATGGAGGACATTGTACAATTTGTGCCCAGAACACAGGTGTCAGGCCATGGGGGAAGAAGACCTGAAGTCAGGTCATGATTCACTGCTGAGCCATGCACCTGGGCAGCTGCAGCCACCTGGAGGAGGCCAGCTTTTTCTGAATCTAACGAAGGCTCCAAATGGGCTAGCAGTGGCCCTGAAGTCCAGGAAACAAAACATTTAGAAAGGTAATGTGGCAGCACTGCAATAGAGGCATGCCCTGGGCATCCTGCAAAGAGGATGCCCAATGCTGCCTTAGGTGGAAAGTTAGGAAGTCTCCCTAGTGGAGGTGGCAACTGAGCCGAGTCTCAGTGGATGAGAGAACTTTGCCAAATGGGCATGGGGAGGAGGGAACACCAAAGAGGGCAGCACTGGCATGATAATAGACCTAAAGGATTGTAAGTCACCTGGTAAGGTTAGATGGTAAGGGTCATGGGCCCAGTTGATGCATGATATTAGTCAGCATGGGCAGTATATGCTGCAGTAACAAGCAACACCCAATTTCACAATAAGAAGGTTTCTCTTTTGCTTTCCCTATATGTCCATTACAGGTCATCTAGGGCTCTGGTTTGAGACGTTTTCACTCAGAGATGCAGACCGATGGAGACTTCACCATCTATGGTGTCACTGGTGGCCACAGCAGGGGGAGAGGCACATGCCAACTCATGCACCGGCCACATCAGAAGTGTCTGCAGGAGTGAAATGGGTCACCACTATTTGCACTTCATTGGCCCAAGTGACGCCAAATTTCAAGGGATTATGGAAGTATAATTCAACATGGTTTTAGAATGAGGACTAGGAAACTCTGGAGAACACTGCTAATGATTTACGGCTTAACATGGGGAAGGAGAGCAAGGACTACATCATGGTAGGCTTTGAGTGCCATGGTTAGGCACTTGGAATGTTTCCTGTAGGCAATGAGGAGCTTTGGGTGGGTGGATGAGGTATGAGCCTACAAAGAAGGGAGCAGAAGAGAGGAAAGTGAGGTTTAAACATGAGAAGGGCGCCAGAGCCAAGAGAAGAGGAAGGAAGCACGAAACATCAAACAGAGAGGGAAGCCAGAGAAACGGGTTGGGGAAGCACTGGACAGTGAGTGAAAGTCAGGCCCTCCGGTCTCCAACCCTCCCTTTCATTGGAAAGAGAGAGACTGGGGAGAAAGGGTTGGTGGGAGGAGGTGGGGAAGATGGAGACCAGACAGACATTTTGAGGGGTTGCTTAGACTGGAAAATCAAGACTTCGGTGGAGCTTGAGGGCCAACCACAAATATCTAAAAGTTTTTTGCAAAAACAAGGGACTAGACTTATTCGATAGCAAATGTTCAGAGTAGCATAGGGACAAAGACTGGGAATTATAGGGAGGCGGATTTAACTTTTATTTGATAACAACTTCTGTTATCAACTTAAGCTTGTTATTTGAACTATGTACAAGCACCTTGCAGGGGTGAAGAGGCGTGTAATGTTTTGAAATGTTAATTTCCTTCCTGTTCTCATGGCTGAAGGAAAGAATGAATGAATATTTAATACTGCAGGCTAGGGCAGTGCTTTGAGGGTGACAGGTGACAATTAATGGCTTTGTGGTATTCTAGGACTGTACTGAAGAAAACCCCCACCCAAGCCGGTGTTTAGAAGATGAAGTTAAATGAGAATGGGGAGGTAAATAGAGGGGTAAGTGCCATGTTAGAAATGAAGAGGAAAAAGCTGGGTGTGGTGGCACACACCTGTAGTGCCAGCTACTTGGGAGGCTGAGGTGGGAGGATTACTTGGGCCCAGGAATTGGAGGCTGCAGTGAGCTGTGATCGCACCACTGCACTCCAGCCTGGAAGACAGAGTGTGACTCCATATCTAAAAAAAGAAAACAGAAAATCCCCCCAGAAATGAAAGAAGGAGGAAGCCCTCTCTGGGGGAAAGAGGGGTGATGGCTTCCTTACACAGCTGAGGCTGGTTATGCTCCCAATTCTGGGCCACAGAAAGAGGCAGAACTTATGATCCTAGGTAGGTCTCATTTCTGAGCATGTGGCTTTGGGAGGACCTGGCAGGATACCCTAGGAATTGTCCTTGCCCTGGCTTGGGCCCTTGGAGTGGCATCTCTGTGACCTGCCCAGTGACCGAAGGCATTGCCATGTCACCCTGCGGCAGACGAGGCTGTGGCTAAGAGGGTGATCACCATGGTGTCTAAACTCAGCCCCCATTCCCCCTAATTTTCCTTTTATTTCTTTTCTTTTCCTTTTTTTTTTTTTTTTTTTTGAGATGGAGTCTTGCTCTGTTGCCTAGGCTGGAGTGCAGTGGCACAATCTTGGCTCACTGCAACCGCCGCCTCTCGGGTTCAAGCAATTCCCCTGCCTCAGCCTCCTGAGTAGCTGGGACTACAAGTGCCTGCTGGCATGCCTAGCTAACTTTTGTATTTTTAGTAGAGACGGGGTTTCGCCATGTTGGCCAGGCTGGTCTTGAACTCCTGACCTCAAGTGATCCGCCCACCTTGGCCTCCCAAAGTGCTGGGATTATGGCATGAGCCACTGCACCCTGCTTCCCTCTAGTTTTTCTGACTTTGTCCTGGTCTGGAAATCTCACAGGATTCTATGGAGTAGGAGGAAGGAATGAACAGGCTGCTTTGGGAGCCTCCAGGCCTGCACGGGGATCAAGCAGAGGCTGTCTGACCTCCAGCTGGTCCGAGGGCTCTTCTGGGATGCTTCCCAGAAGAGAGACTGCCCTTTCATTCTGATGTCCAGCTAGCCTTAGGGGTTGGGGGGATTTGTTTGACTCCCTGTGGCCTTATCAGCTGATACCATGTCCTTTCCAAAGACTTGAGAACCTTCGCAACGTTCCTGGGCAGGTCCTTGCCCAGAGACCAATACGGATCCAAGTGTAGGGAGCTGCAGTGGCCGCCAAAGCTCAGAGTTCCTGGGGGCTCAACCTAATGGGACGGAGCCTGGCTGGTCGTGGCCGAAAGCTTTATAACAATCACGCCACTCCCTGCATCTTGCTCTTAAAGAGCTTGTGTTGGGGGGCAGGATTTAAATGCCATGGGTGCCACTGGGGTGAGTGCATTCTTCCTCCAGCTGCTGGCTTCTCCACAGATCACAGGTGCGGTGGGACACACCTGTAATCCTAGCTACTGGGGAGGCTGAGGCAGGAGGATCACTTGATGCCAGGAGTTTGAGACCAGCCTGGGCAACATAGCAAAATTCCATCTCTAAAAACAAAAAACAAAACTTAAAAAAAGGGAATCTCTTTATGTCTTTTCTGTTCCATTGAGGGGGTTTTGGCCACTGGGAACCAGAAAGGCTCTCTCCCTCAAAGCCTTTTTAGGATTCCTGATATGATGTTGATAGGAGTAGAAGAGGTGTGGAACATCCCAACATCACCTGAGCTTGCACTTTCACGGGGTTTGAGGTGCTTTTGCTTCTCATGGCACCTATGACTTGTCTTTGGAGAATAGAATACATTGGCCCACAGGTGTAGGGTGGCCCTTAGCCAATGACTGAGGGGTACAGGTGGGAATGTGAAAGCCCAGCTTGCTTGCCTTAGGTTGGGGCAATTTTCAGGCATGACTTACATTCCAGGGCTCCCCTGTGGGATCAGGCTGGAGCTTCCCTCGGCAGGACTTGCATAAAATCACACTTTGGCTTGGCTTCATCCCCTTCCCAGTCCTGCTTCCCTGCTCCCTCCCTCACTGGTTTCCTGAACCACCTTTGAAATAAATCACTTGTACATGAAACCTCATCTCACTGGTTACTTCTGGGGAGCTTGACCTGAGACAGTTTCCTTCAGGCAGCCACTGAGACCCCAGCTATGAGTTCCTAGAGCACCAGGAAGCTTTCCCTGCCATATGGCTTTGCCCCGGCCTGATTTTCTGAACCCCCGGCTGGACCACATGTTCCTGAGGGCAGGGATCTCACTTGACTTGTTCATAAGTCCATGGTCTCTACCTGCCATAACTCTAATTGTCAAAACCAGGCTAACATCCAGGAATTAGGCTGCAGGTTCAACTGCTGTAACCAAAGCCCAAATAACAGAGGTTTAAGTAAAATACAATTTAATGGCTGGGTGCGGTGACTCACATCTGTAATCCCAGCACTTTGTGAGGCCGAGGCGGGCAGATCACAAGGTCAAGAGATCGAGACCCTCCTGGCCAACATGGTGAAACCCCGTCTCTACTAAGAAAAATACAAAAAAATTAGCTGGGCCTGGTGGTGCGCGCCTGTAGTCCCAGCTACTCAGGAGGCTGAGGCAGGAGAATCACTTGAACCTGGGAGGTAGAGGTTGCAGTGAGCTGAGATTGAGCCACTGCATTCCAGCCTGGCGACAGAGTGAGACTCCATCTCAACAACAAACAAACAAACAAACAAACAAAAATTTCATTTATCTTTCATATAATAGATAATAGTCCAGGTGGCTCTCCAGTGATTGAAACCCAAATTCCTTCTTGTTGCCTTGCCATCCTCAACACATGATATTCATCTCTTGGTCCATTATAGCTGCTTCAGCTCCTGTCATTACATCTGCATTCCAGCCAGCAGGAAATAGAGAAAGGGAAGTGGGATATGCCCCTTTCCTTAAAAGGCATAATCCAGAAGTTGCAAAGATTACTTCTGCTCATATGTCACTGGCCGTAATGAAGTTAACAGGGGCACTTCTAGGTGAAAGAGAGGCTGGGAAATGTAGTCTTTAGCTAGGTGGCCACAGACTAGGGTGAAAGTTGGAGTTTGATTACTGGAGGAAGTAGATGATGAGCAGTTCCTGTTATACCCTCCTGCTTCAGTGAAGATAAGCTGGTTTCCACCCTCCAAATCTCAGAGGATCAATACAACTAAGGTTGATTTCTCACTCACAGCCGACCTGGGTTGGCAGGGAGCTCTACTCCTCGCAGCCATGCAGGGACTCAGGCTGACGGATGCTCTGTCCTGATGCAGGGGAAGGAGATGGGTGAGAAATGGGACTCTGGTTCCTAAAGGCTTCTACCTGGAAGTGACACATGTCACCACCTCTGCTCACATTCCATTGGTCAAAGTAAATTTGACCAATGGGGATGGGTGGCGGGGGGATGAGGGTGGGAGGGGGATAGTGGTTTGGAAGAGGGAGGGGAAGTGTGGTTCTGCTGCTGTGGTTATGAACAGCAACAATGGCCACACCCTTCATCCATGTGCTCATGCCTCACTCACCTTTGGTTCTCCCCACCCCTGCCCTAAGCCTCTTTTGGCCAACATACGCAGAGTTGGATGAGACTATACAGGAGGACATGCACTAGGCTGTCAATAAGCAGGGGAACCAACCAAACAACCAAAGAAAAAAAAGAAAAGAAAACATCCCCAAACTATGCTTAACCATGTTTATAATCACAATTTGCATTTATGCATGATTATGTATATGTGCATTTTTTTTTTTTTTTTTGAGACACGGTCTTGCTCTGTCACCCAGGCAGGAGTGCAGTGGCTCGATCTCGGCTCACTGCAACCTCCGCCTCCTGAGTTCAAGCAATTCTCGTGCCTCAGCCTCTGGAGCAGCTGGGATTATAGGCCCCCACCACCATGCCCGGGTACTTTTTTGTATTTTTAGTACAGATGGGGGTTTCATCATGTCGGCCAGGCTGGTCTCAAACTCCTGACCTCAGGTAATCCACTCGCCTCGGCCTCCCAAAGTACTGGAATTACAGGCGTGAGCCTGTAATAGTCTGTGCTTTTTTTTTTGGCAGCCTGAGCAGACTAAGACACACAGTAACTGTGTGTAGTAGTATCAGGTTTAAGTTTAGGTGCACATTATAGAAAACCTGAAATAACCACAACTTTAAAAAGAGAAAACTTATTTTTTCTCCCTTAAATAAATCTGCAGATAGGCTGTTCAGTTTGAACGCTTTCCATTTCCAAAGTCACCTCATAGTCCAATATGGCTGCAGGAGTTCCAGCCAGCACTTCTGAAATCTAGTAAGTACTTAGAAGGCGGGGGAAGGCAAAAAGACTCACACCCCAGCTGAATCAGCTCCTTTAAAGCAGCCTTCCAGGAAATCCCCCTCAACACTCCTGCTTATATCACAGTCACCTAGTCACAACTAACAGCAAAGGAGGTTGGGAAATGCAGTCTTTTAGCTGACTGGACACATTGCTATCCTGAATGAAATGTACTGTTTTTAAGGAAAAACAGAGAACGGATAATTTTGTAGGCAGCTGCCAGCCCCTACTTCAGAGGCAAATCCATTGTCTGGATTGTGCAGGCTGAATGGCTCGGCACAGCGTGGGAGCCACAAGGAGGAAGCAGAAGTGAGAAACCAGGCTCTCCCTCGCCCTCGCCCTCGCCCTCTCCCTCTCCCTCTCCCTCGCCCTCTCCCTCTCCCTCCTCGCCCTCTCCCTCTCCCTCTCCCCACGGTCTCCCTCTCCCTCTCTTTCCATGGTCTCCCTCTGATGCCGAGCCGAAGCTGGACTGTACTGCTGCCATCTCGGCTCACTGCAACCTCCCTGCCTGATTCTCCTGCCTCAGCCTGCCGAGTGCCTGCGATTGCAGGCGCGCGCCGCCACGCCTGACTGGTTTTCGTATTTTTTTGGTGGAGACGGGGTTTCACTGTGTTGGCCGGGCTGGTCTCCAGCTCCTAAACGCGAGTGATCCGCCAGCCTCGGCCTCCCGAGGTGCCGGGATTGCAGACGGAGTCTCGTTCACTCAGTGCTCAATGGTGCCCAGGCTGGAGTGCAGTGGCGTGATCTCGGCTCGCTACAACCTCCACCTCCCAGCCGCCTGCCTTGGCCTCCCAAAGTGCCGAGATTGCAGCCTCTGCCCGGCCGCCACCCCGTCTGGGAAGTGAGGAGCATCTCTGCCTGGCCGCCCATCGTCTGGGATGTGAGGAGCCCCTCTGCCTGGCTGCCCAGTCTGGAAAGTGAGGAGCGTCTCTGACCGGCCGCCATCCCATCTAGGAAGTGAGGAGAGCCTCTTCCCGGCCGCCATCCCATCTAGGAAGTGAGGAGCGTCTCTGCCCGGCCACCCATCGTCTGAGATGTGGGGAGCGCCTCTGCTCCACCGCCCCGTCTGGGATGTGAGGACCGCCTCTGCCCGGCCGCGACCCCGTCTGGGAGGTGAGGAGCGTCTCTGCCTGGCCGCCCCGTCTGAGAAGTGAGGAGACCCTCCGCCCGGCAGCCGCCCAGTCTGAGAAGTGAGGAGCCCCTCCGCCCGGCAGCCACCCTGTCTGGGAGGGAAGTGGGGGTCAGCCCCCGCCAGGCCAGCCGCCCCGTCTGGGAGGGAGGTGGGGGGGTCAGCCCCCCGCCCGGCCAGCCGCCCCGTCCGGGAGGTGAGGGGTGCCTCTGCCCGGCCGCCCCTACTGGGAAGTGAGGAGCCCCTCTGCCCGGCCACCACCCCGTCTGGGAGGTGTACCCAACAGCTCATTGAGAACGGGCCATGATGACAATGGCGGTTTTGTGGAATAGAAAAGGGGGAAAGGTGGGGAAAAGATTGAGAAATCGGATGGTTGCTGTGTCTGTGTAGAAAGAAGTAGACATGGGAGACTTTTCATTTTGTTCTGTACTAAGAAAAATTCTTCTGCCTTGGGATCCTGTTCATCTATGACCTTACCCCCAACCCTGTGCTCTCTGAAACACGTGCTGTGTCCACTCAGGGTTAAATGGATTAAGGGCGGTGCAAGATGTGCTTTGTTAAACAGATGCTTGAAGGCAGCATGCTCGTTAAGAGTCATTGCCACTCCCTAATCTCAAGTACCCAGGGACACAAACACTGCGGAAGGCCGCAGGGTCCTCTGCCTAGGAAAACCAGAGACCTTTGTTCACTTGTTTATCTGCTGACCTTCCCTCCACTATTGTCCTATGACCCTGCCAAATCCCCCTCTGCGAGAAACACCCAAGAATGGTCAATAAAAAAAAAAAAAAAAAAAGTGAGAAACCAGCCAGAGAGATCTGACTCCCAACTCTAGAGATAAAAAGATAAAGTAACTCTTCACTGGCAATCATCTGAAGACCAAACTAGAGATTCTACATGCCACATAGCAAAACTTCCTTTAAAAACTGCTCTTCCGGCCGGGCACAGTGGCTCACACCTGTAATCCTAGCATTTTGGGAGGCTGAGGTGGGCAGATCTTGAGGTCAGGAGATTGAGACCATCCTGGCTAACACGGTGAAATCCCATCTGTACTAAAAATATTAAAAATTAGCCAGGCGTGGTGGTACGCGCCTATAGTCCCAGCACTGGGGAGGCTGAGGCAGGAGAACTGCTTGAACCCGGGAGGCGGAGGTAGCAGTGAGCCGAGATCGTGCCACTGTATTCCAGCCTGGGTGACAGAGCGAGACTCTGTCTCAAAAACAAACAAAAAACCCCCAAAACAACAACAAAACTGCTCTTCCAACCCAGTTCCCAAATCTCTCGCAATACCTCAGCTTCTCAAATGTCTCATTACCTCGAACTCTTAACTTCCTTGTCTTGTCTTCCTTACTTGTTTACGTTACCTGTCCGTCCATTCAACCAGTATGACAAGGTCCAGGGCTGAGCAGCTGAGCAAACAAGCAAGCAAAGAAGCAAAATGAAACCCTCACTTTTTAGAAGGGGGTAGAGAGGCAATGCAATGTATATACTTCAACGTAGTGTCATATTTTTTGTTCCTGATCAGGGTCATTTGAAGGATTGAGTTATCTTGGGCTAGAGATACTTTGTTTTCTCTCCAATCTCAACCAAAAATGTGACATCCTTGAGGCTGGAGAGGGTATCTGTTCATCTGTGTATCCGCAGGTCTTAGCAGTGTGGGTATTCAGTGAATGCATGTGGAATGAACAAAGGAATGAAGTGAATGTGAGAAACAGAGTAAGGTACCCCCTTCTGTAACTGGGGTTGTTTGTGTTTATAACTTCTTAAAAATTTTGCATTAATCAGGGCCACTCCACTTATGAATGAAATTGGGTGTAATTGAGGTATAGAACGTGGGAACATAGGTGTATGTGTGATAAGAGACCAGGACTGGAGGAGGGGCTAGAGCCAAGGGAAGTTGCAAAAGGCCCAAAGTCGAAAATAGCAGGAACCAAATAGAAAGAGCACCCTTTTTCCCAATGCCACTTCCCTCCCATGACTTGAATTTCCTGCAATTTTCTCTTCCTCCCTCCTTCGTCCTAATTCTCTATCTTTGGTTATTCAGGAGGGCCAGCACCCTGTGGCCCCAGAAGATAATGTGGCAACGACTTAGGACACGGAGAGAGAGCGTAGGCAGCAGTGTGTCATTTCCCCTCAACACCCTTGGTAGAATCATCGTGTCTGTCACATTCACAAGTTCTTCTTCTTCTTTTTTTTTTTTTTTTTTAGCGTTAGCAGTTTCCAGCATCTGCATAAAATGATGTATAAAATAGAGTCTCTGCCTGTCCTTAGAGAAGTTACTATCTAGGGGGAGTGAAAGGTCAACTACAGAAAAGTGTAGAGAATGCTAAGAAAGGGCTGAAGGGTGGGGTGTTTGAATAACATACAAGGGGGGAAGTTACCCAGTCTTAGGATATAGGGGCTTTCCAGAAGTAGAGTCTAAGACTTAAAGGGCACAAGTGACAGAAAATCCAAAACAACAGTGACACGAGGTGGTTTATTTCCCTCTCACACAGAGCCCAGAGGCAGCCGTCCAGTGGTGTCATGGTCCTTTACGGAATCAGGGCTCAGGTTCCTTCTATTTTGTTGTGCCACTAGTGTGGCCTCTATTCCTATGGTCGCCTCATGGTTCAAGATGACTACACTTGCTCCAGCCATCATGTCCATGTCCCACCTTCCAACATGGTACTAATCAGTGAAGAGATTGCTGGATATAAACTCAAGCTAATCCATCAATAGTGTTTCCTAATTATTTTCCTTCAGAAATGAAACACATGCAGAGTTAAAAATCACATAGCAGCTGGGCGTGGTGGCTCACGCCTGTAATCTCAGCACTTTGGGAGGCCGAGGTGGGTGGATCACCTGAGGTCAGGAGTTCGAGATCAGCCTGGCAACATGGTGAAACCCTGTCTCTACTAAAAATACAAAGACTAGCCGGGTGTGGTGGTAGGCGCCTGTAATCCCAGCTACTTGGGACGCTCAGGCAGGACAATCACCTGAACCCAGGAGGCGGAGGTTGCAGTGAGCAGAGATCACACCATTGCACTCCAGCCTGGGCAACAAGAGAGAAACTCCGTCTCAAAAAAAAAAAAAAATCACATAGCACAAAAAGGCTTATGACAAAAAATTAAGGTCATCTGCCCTGGCCCTCCCTAACCCTCAGAAACAATTTCAACCTAGCTTTCAAACAGGTGCTGTCAATGGGAGTCACTCTGACATTCTGTACCAAGTGAAATGTTTGCAAAACCAACATGCCCCCGCTCAAAGGAGTCACCAGTGTCTCAGAAGGGTCAGCAGCTGACCTTCTTCATGGACCCCTTCTGTTATAAGAAGGAGTTTTGACAAATTCAGTTTGACAGAGTTTAATTGAGCAAATAATGATTTGTGAATCAGTCAGCCCCCAGAACCAGAATAGGTTCAGAGTGACTCTGAGGCTGCCAGGTGGTTGGATAACATTTAGGGATAGAAAACGGAAAGCAGGTTGGGCGTGGTGGCTCATGCCTGTAATTCCAACACTTTGGGAAGCCGAGGCTGGAGGATTGCTTGAGTCCAGGAGTTCCAGACCAGCCTGGGCAACATAGCGAATCTCCATTTCTATTAAAAAATAATCATTAAAATTTAAAAATAAGAAAAGAAAAAGGAAATAGATGTCCAGAAAACAGAAGCGAGGTACAGAAACAGTTGGACCAGTTATGTAAGCGCAGAACCAGCCCCATCTGGTTCAACTTTGTGTAATAAAGTGGTGAGTTGTTTTTTCAGTTGCCATGATCCCAGGTTGCAAGTTATGTAACCTGAGCGTGCCCAGAAGAACCAAGCATGCAACCACAGGCGCAACCTAAATGCTCAGACCAAAGAACCGGAACAGAATTAAGAAGTAGATACATGGTATAAGCCATGATCTAATCAGATTGAGCCATGGCATCATCCCATGGCAAGATCCAGTCAGATCATTGCTTATTGCAAGATTCAATCAGATCACTGCTCATTACCCTCTGCCTATAACACCTGTCACAGCCCCTGGCTTGGGGAGACAGATTTGAGCATGTCTCCTTCCCAGTTGACTTGCAACAAATCTTTCCCTCTACAAAAACCTGATACTTCGGTGTTTGGCTTTCTGAGGGCAAAGGGATCCAGTTTGGTTCCCTACCAATGACAGATTGACATTTGCCTTATTGGAACAAGGTTTGAACAGGTGGCTGCCTGTGATTGGCTGAAACTCTGTGATTGGTATGAGTAGGATCCAGTTCACTATGTACGGAGAAACCTTTAGGACAAACTTAAGATACGCCAGGAGACAACTTTAGGCTAAACTGGACACTTCTCCCCTTTTGGTCAACCTCTTGATTTTGAGAGGTTGGAAACTTTAGACATTGACATCAGTTACCATTGTAAATAGACTTATTTGGTCTCAAATTCCCCTGGGAAATAGCAGAGCAGTGGGTTTCATAGGTGGGAAAGGGAACAGAATAGAAAAAAAAAAAAAAACACCTGATTAGTTAACATCAGGTCACTTCAGATTCCTTTTTTTAAGGGTTAGAGCAGAGGGGGCTTCCTTATTATGCTGGACTCTCCTGTTTCCAGGGGGGAAGGGAGGAGATGGGGAATACTGGTAATTCTGTAGAATGAATGGGTGGGGGAAAGAGATTAACTAGTAAATGGAAATGAGTGTGTGGTGGCCTTGGGGCTCCTCAGTCTGAGCTCAGCCCATCTGGGGCTCCTCCTAGGTTCTGGGCTTCCATCTGCTTCCCCCTCCTTTTGGGTCCCTCTGAGAAGCCTCCCAAGATCGAGCTGTGTACAGAGCGAGTCCTCGCTGGCCACTCGGAAGGCGGCGGACGTCCGCGCCGGCGCACTAGCCCAGAGCGGCCTGGTCTCCGCCCAGTGGGCGGGGCCTCTTACCGGGGGCGGGGCCGAGGCGTGCGGCGAGCGCTGGAGGGGTCTCGTGGGCGCTCCCGTGGTTGTGGCCCGGGCGGCCGCGAGCGTGTGTGTGTGGCACGATGTCGTGGTAACTCAGAGGCGCGCGAGGCGGGGCGGCCAACGGGGTCGCGGGGCGAGCACGCGCGCCACTGGGGCGCCGGACGTTGCAAGGGGGTCACATCCGGTAGGGGGCGGGCCTGGCGGACCCCGGAAGTGTGGGCGCGGCTGCGGTTTAACCCGCGGTGGCGGCGGCGACGGCGGCCCTGGCAGGTGAGCGGAGACTGGGGAGGGTCCCGGCTCTGCCGCAGGCGGGCGGGGCAGAGGACGACGGTGGGGGCGGCGCCGGCCGTGGCTCCCGGAGCGCCCCCGCCTGCCCGCCTCATCCTGGCAGAGGCCGGTGATTGGGCACGAGGGGCGCGTGACTCTCGCCGGGGGCCGGCGCCCCTGCCCCTCGCGGTGGGAGGGAGGGAGGGAGAGCGCGAGGCGCCGCCCCGGCTCCCCGGCGGGTCGCACCTCCAGTTCCGCCCCACCACTCACCGCCACCCTCCTTTCTGCGTCTCTGCAGGCCCTCGTCCCATATGTGAGCATCTTGCGGTCACAATTCTGATGACATTAGAGCCAATTAGCCCATTGTATAGATGGGGAAGCTGAGGCCTAAGAGTAGGGTCCGACTTGCCAGAGGGCACGCGGGAGACGAGTGGCAGAGGGGAGGTTGGAGGGACTTTGCTCTGTGACTTACTGGCTTGTGCCCTTTCTCCAGGGCATTGAGAGATGGGAGTTTCAGCTTTGGCTTTGTTCAGGACTCAGACTTGGACCTCCCAGCATCACTGAACATTTCTTACCCCGGGACCCTCTGGGCGCAAAGGGCACTGATGTATACATACCCATTATATGCCTGGTTCCTCTTCATTTCCTCCTCAGCCGATGAGGCGATTTCCCACTTTACGGATGGGAGAAGGAGTTAACTGGAGGTGTTTTGTGAGTTACTGGCAGAGTGGACTCTACAACCTGGGGTTTTAGTCGCTGAGCTGAGGCAGTGCTTTCCCAGCTACACCTTGTCTGGGCTCACTTACCCTGGGAATGTCAGTCTTCAGCTCCAGAAACTTCCCACTCATTTCCCTTCGCTCCAGCGGTACCTCAGTTCTCTTGCTGCCTAAGGCCTTTTCCACCCTCTTTATTGGCTCCAGGAGTCCCATTTCCTACTAATGCACCAAGATGCTGCCACCAGACTCTCAGTTCTGTGACTTTTGGCCTTAGAGCTGGAGGTGGTGGTGACCGAGGAACTGGGGAAAGAAAGACTCTTACTTTGTTGTCCAAAGCTGCAACCCTGCAGACACCTGAACTCTGTAGTTCCGGGTGGGATCGGGGACTGTTGCAATGAAAATACTGGACGCTAAACTGAGTCTTTGTTCTTTGCGGTCATAGTGCCCAGAAAAGCCTTTTACCTAGATTATCTTGGAAATGTGGTTCCGTGCCTTTGTAATTTCCATTAAGTAGAACATTTTCATTGTAGACTTTCTGAGCAGTTTCTGGCCGCTGTTTTGCAGGTAGCAATAGCTGTGATTTGTTGCTTGGCTTCATATGCTGGGCACTGTTCTAGGGCTTTCTGAACATACCGAATTTTGCGAACATGTCCAAATAGGTGATGATCCCGTTTTACAGATGAAGTGAGTTGCGGAGATGTTAGATAACCTGGCTAGTGTCACACAGCCAGTAAGTGGCCAAGTTTGGATTTTTTTTTTTTTTTTTTTTTTTTTTTGAGACGGAGTCTTGATCTGTCGCCCAGGCTGGAGTGAAGTGGTGTGATCTCAGCTCACTGCAACCTCCGCCCCCTGGTTCAAGCGATTCTCCTGCCTCAGCCTCCCAAGTAGCTGGGATTATAGGTGCCCACCACCACGCCCGGCTAATTTTTGTATTTTTTATTTATTTATTTATTTATTTTTTTTTGAGACGGAGTCTCGCTCTGTCGCCCAGGCTGGAGTGCAGTGGCGGGATCTCGGCTCACTGCAAGCAATTTTTGTATTTTTTAGTAGAGACGGGGTTTCACCATGTTGGCCAGGCTGGTCTCGAACTCCTGAGCTCAGGTGATCCACCCGCTTTGGCCTCCCAAAGTGCTAGGATTACAGGTGTGAGCCACTGCGTCTGGCCACAAGTGAGATTTGTAACCCATCAGTCTTATTTCGAAGTTAATGTGCTTTTAACTCTGTGATACTGCCTCTCAGACCGTTTAGTTTCCCAAAGGTGCTGGACCTTAAGAATAATTTCTGATGCTTGTTAAAAATACAGAGCTCCACCTCTAGAGATTCTTGGGCTATTGTCTGGAGGAGGGCCCAGAAATCTATTAACAAATGCACTGGGTGATTCTTACGGTAAGGCAAGTTTGGGAAACACTGCCTTTAAGAACTTTGTAGATTTGCTGGGCCACTGGTAGCTTGGAAGTGACATTATTCCTGAGGATTCTTGTTTTCTTTTTGTTTATTGCTTTGAAATTTGTTAATTTGCCCTTAAAAAGCCTTTGGGTTAACTAGCCATATGAATCATTTCTGGACACTCTTGGCCAGTAATAGTAGGGGTTTTCCAGGCTGACAAAATTAGATCACTCAAGACCTGATTTAATGGATTTAGCTCTTTTAATCCAGCTGGATCTCTGTTGTGTGGAAATTCTGTTAGAAGTGTCCTTGAAGGATGTGGCGTTTCCACAAGGTTTTGGTCTGTTCCCAGGTGCTTACCGAATGACAGAGAGGTGTCTAATGGCAGCACTGTCTGAGGTTTTGCTAGCTGTAAAGGCATGTTTACTTAGTAGGTGCTCCTTCCAATTCATATCTCACCTCTTTATCTTCCTTTACTGGTTTATGTGAAAGACTTAAGCAAATATCAAACAGGTTTGTCTTGATTTAGCTGGGGCTGACAAGTAGGACCCCTGGGGCTTAGGATGGGCTGGAGAGGAGAGAGAGTCTCCCCAGTGAACCTCAAACAGATAGCTCAGGCAGGTAGGCCCTACCTTTGAAGACCTGTTAGTATTTTTAGTTCCGCTGATTTATCTGGTCCCACCTCAAGCAGGATTACAACTAGTCACGGATAAAGTCAGCATTATAGGATTACTTTATTCTCCTATCTGGTAAACACTGATTTCTAATTTATTTTCTTTTAAATAGAGAACATACTTCTCTATTAAATTTGCTGAGACTTCTTCTGTGGTCTGTCTTGGTAAATGTTCTGTGAGCACTTGAGAAGATTGCATCTTCTGCTATTGCCGGGTCAAGTGTTCTATAACTTTCAATTCAGGCAGGTTGGCTTGTAATGTTCAAGTCTTCTGTGTCCTTACTGATTTTTGGTCTTCCGTTCTTTCAGTTATTGAGAGAGGGACATTGACACTTCTGATTGTAATTGTGGATTCGTCCATTTCCCCTTGTAGTTTTATCAATTTGTGTTTCACATGTTTTGAAGCTCTGCTGTTAATTGCATAAACCTTTATGAGTATTATATTCCGTGTATGAATTGACCTTCTTTATTGTATTGCATTAGTCTGTTTTGCATTGCTATAAAGGAATACCTGAAGCTGGATAATTTATAAAGAAAAGAGATTCATTTGGCTCACGGTTCTACAGGCTGTACAAGAAGCATAGTACCAGCATCTGCTTCTGGTGAGGACTCAGGAAGCTTTTACTCGTCTCAGAAGGTGAAAGGGGAACAGGTGTGTCACACAGCCACAGAGGGAGCAAGAGAGATGCCAGGCCCTTTTAAGCAGCCAGCTCTCATGTGAACTAAGAGAGCAAGAGCTCATTACTGTGGGAGGGCACCAAGCCATTCATGAGGGATCTGTCCTGTGACCTAAACATGTCTCACTAGGCCCTACCTCCAACATTGGAAATCAAATTTTAACGGATTTGGAGGAGACAAATATCCAAGCTGTATCATTGATCATGAAAAGACCCTTTTAGCCCCCGGAAATAGTCTTTGCTCTGAAATCTACTTTGTCTGATATTAGTATAGCTAATTCAGCTTTAAAAAAATAGTGTTAGGAATTGATTTCCAGAGTATGTAAAGAACTTCTACTACCCAACAACAAAAAACAACCCGATTCAAAAGTGGGTGAAGGACTTGAATAGATATTTCTTCAAAGAAGATACACAAATGACCAATAAGCACATGAAAAGATGCTCAACATCACTAGTCATTATGGAATGCAAATCAATACCACAGTGAGCTACCACTTCACCCATTAGGATGGCTATTGAAAAAAAACAACAACAGTAAATAATAAGTGTTGACAAGGATGTAGAGAAATTGAAACGCTTGTGCTTTTCTGGTGGGAATGTAAAATGGTATAGCCAGTGGCAAATAGTATGGCAGTTCCTCAAAAAATTAAACATAGAATTGCCATATCATCTAGCAATTCCACTTCTGGGTATATACGAAAATAAGGGAAAGCAGACACTTGAACAAGTATTTGTATACCCATGTTTGTAGCAGCATTATTTACAATAGCCAAAAAGTTGGGAGCCATTCAAGCGTCCATGGACAGGTGAATGGATAAACAAAATGTGTTATATGTATTAGATAGAATATTATTCAGTCTTAAAAAGGAAAGAACGTTTGATACATCCTGTAATACAGGTGAACCTTGAAGACATTATCCTAAGTGAAACCTGCCAGTCACAAAAGAACAAATATTGTTGGATTCCTCTTACATGAGGTTCCTAGAGTAGTCCAATTCGTAGAGACAGAAAGTGGAATGGTGGTTGCCAGAAGACGGGAGAAAAGGAGAATGGGAAGTTAGTGCTTAATGGGTGCAGAATTTCAGTTTAGGGTGATGAAAATCTTCTGGAGAGGAATGGTGGTGATGGTTGTATGACAAAGTAAATGTACTTAATGTGAAAGAACTGTATACTTAAAAATGATTAAAATGGTAAATTTTGTTACGTATAAAACAGTTTTTAAAAATAGAGGATTTAAAAATTACGGTATATCTCTTAAAAAGTTTTTTACTTCTAAACAATTTGTGTCTTTATATTGAAAGTGGGCTTCTTGTAGGCAGCATATAGATGGGTGGTGTTTTTGTTTTTGTTTTTTTTTGAGACAGAGTCTCCTTCTGTTGCCCAGGCTGGAGTACAGTGGTGTGATCTTGACTCACTGCAACTGCCTCCTCCTGGGTTCAAATGATTCTCATGCCTCAGCTTCCTGAGAGCTGGGATTACAGGCGTGTGCCTACCATGCCCAGCTAATTTTTTGGTATTTTTAGTAGAGACGGGATTTCACCATGTTGGCTAGGCTGGTCTTGAACTCCTGACCTTAAGTTATCTACCCACCCCTCCCAAAGTGCTGGGTTTACAGGCGTGAACAACTGCACCTGGCCGGGGGTTGCTTTTTAATCCAATCTCACAAGCTGCATTTTAATTGGGGTGTTAAGACTATTTAGATTTAATGTGGTTATTGATATGGTTGAGTTTAAATCTACCTTCTTGCTATTTGTTTTCAATTTGTCCCATGTGCTTTGTTCCCTTTTTCCTTTTTTATGACTTCTTTGGGATCGAATAATTTTTATGATTCCACTTTGTTTCCTTTGTTGGTTCATTAATTCGAACACTTTTTAGTGGTTGCTTTAAGGTATATAGTATGCATCTTTAATTTGCTACAGCCTATCTTCAAGCGATATTATACCACTTTAGTGTAAGAATCTTGCAATAGTTTACTTTCATTTCCTTCCTCCTGGACTTTGTATTGTTGTCACCTGTTTTACTTCTACACGTGCCATAAATCCCACAACACATTGTTATTTTTGCTTTAAATAGTCAATTATTTTTTAAGGAGATGAAAATGTAAAGTTCTTTTATATTTACTTGTTCGTTTAACATTTTTGGTGCTCTTTATTCCTTCATGTAGATCCACATTTCTATCTTGTTTCATGTTCCTTCTGACTTGAGGACATCCTTTTAACATTTCTTGTGGTGCTGGTCTGTTAGTGATGGATTCTTTCAGCTTTTGGGTGTCTAGAGAAGTCTTTATTTTGGCTTTGTTTTTGGAAGGCATTTTCCCTGTATAGAATTCTGGATTAACTATTTTTTTTTTCAGTGCTTTAAAGATGTTCCAGTGTCTTTTGCTTGCATTGTTTCATATCAGTAGTCTGCTATTTTTCTTTCCTTTTTTCTTCTTGCTTTTTAAGAGGCAGAATCTCACTCTGTCATCCAGGCCAGAGTGCAGTGGCGTGATCATAGCTCACTGTGGCCTCAAACTTCTGGGCTCAAGTGATCCTCCCACCTCAGGGTCCCTAGTAGCTAAGACTACAGGTGTGTATCACCATGCCTGGGTAGTTGTTTTTTAATGATTATTCTTTATTTTTGTAGAGATAGGGTCTTGCTATGTTGCTCAGGCTGGTCTTGACTTCCTGGCCTCAAGTGATCCTACGGCATCAGCTTCCCAAAGTGATGAGATTACAAGCATGAGCCACCACACCTGGTCTGTTTATTTTTATTTTTTGCTCTTCTGTTTGTAATGTATCTTTTCTCCTTATAACTGCTTTTCTTTCTCCCTGTCCCCCCGCCTTTTTTTTTTTTTTGGAGACAGAGTCTCACTCTGTCATCCAGGCCAGAGTGCAGTGGCGTGATCATAGCTCACTGCAGCTTCAAACTTCTGGGCTCGAGGGATCCTCCCACTTCAGCCTCCCAAGTAGTTGGGACCACAGGTGTGTGCCACCATGCCAGGCAAATTTTTTATTTTTTGTAGAGACAGGGTCTCACTATGTTGCCCAGGGTGGTCGAAAACTCCTGGGCTCAAGCGATCCTCCCACCTCGGCCTTCCAAAGTGCTGAGATTGCAGGTGTGAGCCACTGTGCCTGGCCCTAACTGCTTTTCTAACTGAGTTTAAACAATGTAATGATGATGTGCTTTTGTGTAGTGTAATTTTCTTTGTGTGTTTTGTGCTTGGGTTCATTGAGTTTTTTGGATTTGTGGGTTTATAGCTTTCATCAGATTTGGAAATTTTTCAGTCAGTAACTCTGCAAATATTTTTTTTATTCCCTTTTCTCTTTCCTCTCTTTCGGGGACTCCAGTTACATGTATGTAAGGGTGCTAGAGGTTGCTCCATAGCTCTCTGATCATTCATTTTTCCCAGTAGTCCCTTTTTCTTTTCTCTCTGTGGTTTGTTCTGGTTAGTTTCTATTGCTCTTTCTTCAAATTCACTGGTCTCTTCTGCATTGTCTAATCTGCTGATATTACCTTTCAGTATACTTTTTATCACAGACATTGTAGTTTTCATCTCTAGAAGTTTGATTTGGGTCTTTTAAATATCTTCCCTGTCTCTAACATGCTTAATCTTTCTTTTAGCTTCTTGAACATATGGAATATAGTTTTAGGAACTGTTTTAATGTCCTTGCCTACTAATTCCATTATCTGTGTATTTTTTGGGTCTGTTTCTATTGCTTCCCTCATTATGAGTCTTATTTTCTTGATTCTTTGTATGTCTGGTAATTTTTATTGTATATCAGATGTTGTGAATTTTACCTTGTGGGGTGCTGGATATTTTTGTATTTCTAGAAATGTTCCTGGCATTGTTTTAGGACACTGTTAAGTTACTTGGGAACAGTTTGATTCTTTAAAGCTGCTCTCAAGGTTTGTTAGTTGGAATCAGAACAGCCTTAGGCCCAGGCCTGATTTTTCCTCACTACCAAGGCAATTCTGTCCTTAGTGCTTTACCAATGTCCTGTGAATGATGAGGTTTTTCCACTGTGGCTGGTGGGCACGCAAGACTATTTCTGTTTCAGTTTGAGCTCCAAGGATTGTTGCCTTGGACTGGTATAGATCAGTACCAGCTGAGAACTGGAGGGGGACCCTCTGTAGGTTTCTGGGTTCTCTGTGTGGCCCTTTCCTCTCTGGTACTCTGCCCTGTGAACTCTGGCTACCCTGGCCTCCCTGGAGTGTGAATTCCTCTCCTCCACTGCCTGTGTCTTGGGCCCGGAGTCCCTCTAGGAGTAACTTGGAGCAGCTATAGCACTCACCTTGGTTGTTTCCCACTGTCAGGGGTCTGTGCTGTCTGATGTCCAGTGTTTACAAACTATCATTTTATGTGTTTTGTTTGGCTTTGTCTGGCTTTTTAGTTTTTTGTGGCAGGAGAATAAATCTAGTGCCTCTCCCTCCACATTAGCCAAAAGTGGAAGTCCCTGTCCAGTCAGCATTCCTTGGATGCCTGGTGTATTAGTCCGTTTTTTCACACTGCTATAATAAAAAGAACTGCCCAAGACTGGGTAACTAATAAAGGAAAGAGGTTTAATTGACTCACACTTCTGCATGTTTGGGAGGCCTCAGGAAAGTTACAATCATGGCAGAAGGTGAAGTGCGTTCGTCTTAATGGCGGCAGGTGAGACAGTGTCTGTAGGATAAACTGTCAAACACTTATAAAACCATCATAGCTCATGAGACCTCATTCACTGTCACGAGAACAGCATGGGGGAACCGCCCCCATGATCTAATCACCTCCCACTAGGTCCCTCCCTCCACCTGTGGGGATTATGAGGATTACAATTCAAGATGAGATTTGGGCAGGGGCACCGAGCCAAACCATATCACCTTATATGTGCCCAGTGTTGACCTAGGCGCTGGGATGCAGAAACAAACACGACATGGGCTGTGCCCTTGGGGAGCTCACACTCTTGCTGGAGAAGCATGCTGATTCCTAAATAAGAAATGCTATGTGCTGTGTACAGAGTACCATGGAAGGCAGGATGAACTCTTTGGGAGGAAGAAGCAAGGAAAGCTTTAGAGAGTTGCTGGCTTTTGAGGGATGGAGCAGGCATTTTCTACATGGGGAAAGTGTAGGAAAGAGTATTCCAGGCAGAGTGGAGAGCAAGAGCAAAGGCGGAGAAGCCTGTGCTGCGAATTCCTTGCCGGGCAGGATCCCTGTCTTACTGCTGTTTAGAGATCAATATATGTCAAGTGACTGGAAGTGTGGTTTTTGTTCTGGGACTAGTAGGTAGAACAGAAAGAGTTGGGATGGAGTGAGCAACCCATGGAGAAATAGAGGCTCGGGGTCAGCTGATACAAGGCGTTGTATACCAAGCTGAGGAGCACAAGATTTGGAACATAATACCAAATGCTGGGGAGCCATGGGAGGGCCATGGGAGCTCTGATAGTGTTCTCTCGAGGTTACTGGGGGGTGTAGAAGAGGGCTGGAGAGGGCCAAGGCGGGCTTAGGGCAGACTTTCTGTACAAGGATGAAAATGAGTCCAGAGCTCAGTGTGGTCATGGATACAGCTTTGCCACCCTTTGTTTGATAATGGCCTTCGTGGATTCCTGCCTGAGTCAAGAATTGATTTGAGAAGGCCCTGGCTTGGTTTCTCTTTTTCTGTGGCTATACCTGTCTGCCTGTGGATGATTCCACTGGACCCGGAAGTTCTGGGTCTGGCTTATCACTGGCAGGGGTAGGGTCTGCAGCTGCCCCACTTTATGTCAGCGTAGGATGGCCAAACCTCAGTGAGTACAGCGGTCTTATCATCTTGGGCTTTGAACAGACACACCTTGCATGACCGGTGCACACTCCTGGATGTTTGTCCTTTGCCTTGACCTTCCTCTTGATCCCTCCTTAAAGGGACAGTTAAATCCACTTGCTCAGCTTGCTCTGTGCAGATTAGAAGTGGGCTGGGGGAGGATGGACAGCTGCAGATTGAAATCCTTTCCGAGTCATCTGAACAGTAGGGACAAAGGAGATACAAGTGGAAGTTGGTGTGAAGTCAGTATGTTTTCCTTTTCAAGTCAGTCATGGGCCAAAGAAAGAAGAGGCCTTGCCGAGTGGCTTGGCTTTACTGTCAGAAAGTTTCAAAAACCGGCTACCTATTAAATCACCTGTTTCTTGGCCGTCATTTTGATTGACGCTGAATGCTGTTGGTCTGATTACATCCAGCCTTTGGAGTTATGTTCCTCTGTTGACTGATGCCAGCTCTGGAGGAATCTTAAATTCTCTGTCCTGCGTTGACACGGGAAGTGCTTGAGTTGCAGAAGTAAGAATGGGCTGAGTGTCTGCCCTCAGCCACAGTGATAGAAATCACGAGCGACTGTTTATTGATCCCTGCCTGAGAGCCAGACTTTAGACTTTCTAGGCATGAAACTCAATTCCTCCTTACAAAAGCTCCATCTTATAGAAGACACTGAGGCACAGAGATTTTAAATTACCCACCCAAGGTCTCCCCAGACAGTAAGCAAGAGTGCAGGGCTGTCTGCCTTACAGATTCAGAGCCTTTAATCCCTGGGTCTCCCCTGCAGAGCTGAGTTTCAAAGGAGGCACTGCTCCTGTGCTGCCGGGGCTCCTGGGCCGGTACATCTGTTTGGACTTTAGTCTGAGGGCTGGTGAAGGAGAGTAGTTACCACTTTAGTATTTGTTAGGACAGCATCATGCTGGGTTCTGAACAAGATAGAACAGATCCTACTCTTCAGGGGTCTAGTTGAAGATATCCGTACCGATGACCATTGATGAAGTTGGTCCCCAGAGCCAGGCCTGGTGTTCTGTGGATGTAGATAGACTTGATCGAGGCAGCCGAGCACAGTGAGGCGCGTGGGCCGTGAAGCTGGACGGGCTCTGTTGCAGTTCAGGCTCTGCGTTTCCTCCCTGGGAAACTGTGGGCAGGCACAGAACTTCAGTTTTCTCCTATTTAAAATGAGAAAAGCCTGAGGATGGACAGCAGCTTAGGAGCGGTGAGGATTACCTTAGTTGCTGTGTACGGAACACCCGGGCCAGCCTCTGGACTGTGAGCAGCCTCTAAACCTCAGACGCAGGGCCTGTCACAGTTCCTGACACTGATGGAACAGTGAGGCTCTGGAGGGCAACTGGGCAGGAGGCGGTAAGGCCTGGTTTGATGACTCCCCACACTCTACGCTGCTGGCAAGACATCACAGCTGAAAGGGAGTGGAGGAGGGGACCAGGGGAGGGGCTGGTGAGGGTTGGGAGCAGCGGGGTAGGGGGTTAGGGCGGTGGTCTCAGGGGCCAACTCTAGGTCAAGGGGGAAACTGAGCTGTGAGAACAGGGCTCCCCCCGACCTGTTTGCCCAGAGCATATGTGTTGTGAAGTGTTCTGTGCAGTAGGGTTTGGATTAAATGTTCTGTTTGGAAAAAAAAAAAACAAAACTCCTTTGAAAAAGGTTGAAAGTGACAGGATTAGGCCAAACTGGGCAAATGGGCAGAGGAGGGAGGTGTCTTGTCCAGACTGGTTAGGCTACTTGACCCCTCCCGCCGCCACCCATTGACAGGTGGGGGCGGTGAGGGGAGGAGGGGGGCAAGACAGCCAGCCTTAGGGAAGCAGCATGATAGGACACATTCATCCGGGGAGCCTGGTGGGATGGTTGTGAGAAAGAGACCCTGGAGATGGGAAGACTAGTTTGCAGCCTGCATAGGGCAGGGATGGGTGTGTGTGAGAGCCTTTGGAACACTGACTAGCTAAAACTTGGTGATTGGACATCAGGGGTGGGGGGGACCCACATGTCTGAGCTGACCTGGAAGTCAGGGCCAGGAGCTGAAGTCACTGATAGAAACGGAAGCTGGGGGGAAAGTCTGGTTGAAGAGTGAGAGGAGTGGAGATCTAGGAATGCTGGAATGCAGGTGTGTGTGGAGGTTCAGCAGGTTCGGGAGGAGTCCCTTTAGGGGACGGACTGGGTCAGCAAAGCCAAGCCAGCGACCTAGGGGGCAGGGTGTGAGTGCTGGGCTCTGCAGCCTGCCGCGTGCTGATAGAGCCTCCCAGCCGGCTGAGTGGCTTAATTTCCTGAAGTCTTCTGCCACTCTGGGTGCCTCCCACCATTTGGCACAGTGAATGGGCTTATTATTCTTGAGTCTTCTCACTTGACGGCCCTGCCTCTGGACAAAGGGGGGTCAGATGGAGTTTTTCAGTGGATTGAGGAGCATTCAGTTGTTATGTAAATATTTATGTAAAGATGACAGTTTCCTTCATGAAGCAATTTCCCTATGAGAGATTGTACATTCCCCCTATGTATGCTTATGTTTGAGGACTCTTGTCTAGATTGGTTTGGAGCTTGTTTGGAGCCACATCCTTTGCTTCCGTCCAGGATCAGCTCTTTCAGAGTCCTCTGGTTCTAGACCTAGCTGGCCGCCTGGCACAGTTGACAGGCAGCATTTCCTAACAATAAGTTGTGAGGGAGTGGGAATTAATACTGCCTGGTGCCAGACCTGCTGCTTGGTGGTCTTGTTTAATTCTCATTTAATCCTTACAACCCCATGATGTTGGTAGTATTAGCCCCATTTTACAAATGAGAAACAGAGAAAGGCTGAATAATGTGCCCATGGTGATATAGCTAGTGAAAGGTCAGGATGGGATTGAAATCTAGGAGTTTTTATCTCCAAAGCCTCTTCACTTAGTCTTTTTTGTTTGTTTGTTTACTTTGAGATGGAGTCTCGCTCTGTCGCCGAGGCTGGGATGCAGTGGCGCGATCTCGGCTCACTGCAAGCTCCGTCTCCTGGGTTCACGCCATTCTCCTGCCTCAGCCTCCTGAGTAGCTGGGACTACAGGCGTGTGCCACCACGCCCAGCTAACTTTTTTGTATTTTTAGTAGATAAATATGGGGTTTCACCATGTTAGCTAGGATGGTCTTGATCTCCTGACCTCGTGGTCCGCCCGCCTTGGCCTCCCAAAGTGCTGGGATTACAGGCGTGAGCCACCGCGCCTGGCCCCTCTTCACGTAGTCTTAACTATTTATCCCTGGTGGGTGGGAGGAATCTCCAACCCCAACCCAGCCCCAACCCCAGCAATTCCTTAGAAAGGATGAAAGCCATCTGGGGGCAGTGGCACAGGCCTGGACTCCCAGCTACTTGGGAAGTGAGGTGGATTGCTTGAGCCCAAGAGTTTGAGGCTGTGAAGTGAGCTACTTTTGCGTCCCTGCACTCTAGCCTGGGCAACAGAGTGACAGAGCGAGTCCTTCATCTCTTAAAAGAAAAAAAAGAAAACTAAAAACGCAAAAAAATGAAAACTAAAAACGCCTTCCTCTCCATGGTTTACACTGTAACTTTTCCACTTGTGGGGAAAGTCAGTTCAGTGCTGCTTTGGATCAGGTGAGAAGAACTTGATGATTTGATTTTTTTTTTTTTTTTTTTAACCTCCTGTGGGAAGTCAGGAAACAAAAGAGTCTGGTACTTGGACGCACAGCTGGAATCATTCCGGGAAAAGAAAACCAGATTAGGCCTGCAAATATTTCCTCATTCAGCAGCATGATTAGGAAGGTTTCTAAGGCAACAGCAGGTGTTTCTGACATACGGGGTAAGATGGGGCCAGTTCCTTTTTAACATGTGCAGGTTGGACTTTGCAAGTTGCCCTGGTAACAGCTTCTTCTGGTACCATAGGTGGATGTGGGGAATTTGTAAGAAACCAAGGGACGTCACAGCTCTTCTTGCAGTGTGATTTCGGGCTAGAGGTCACTGGCAAGTAAGTGTTGTCTGGTAAGGCGAGGGGAGTGCTGGGAGCCGTGCTTCAGCTCCCAGGTGCTGGAGCTGGTGGAGGCTGGAATCCTCCTGCACGATCTCAGCAGCCATTTCACTTGACACAAGATTGCAGCCCAGGGGTTGCAGGAGTAACGCCAGGAGGTGGAATAATTTATATTTGTTCAGTGCTCAGGAGTTTGCAAAGCTCTTTTTGGGCTGTTCGCTTATCTGAGCCACACAGCAACCCCTAAGGTGGGATTATCATCATGGTGCCCCATTAAGGAAACCAAGGTTAAAGGACTTGATTAAGGTCACACAGTTAAAGAGCTGTGGAGCCAAAGCACAAACTCAAGGCATCTGTTTTCAAATTCCATGTCTGCACAGGACAGAATTCTGTCCAGACACACAATCTGGGGGGAGAGTTGGCATGAACCACTTAGCGGCAAGGGGTGAGGGGCAGTGCAAGTTGTCTCTAGGGCTGGCATGCCACACTCTCATCTCAGTGCCCTCACTGTCTAGAAAATGCTGCATTTTGCAGTCCAGCTTTTTTTTTTTTGTTGAAGGTTATCCTTGGAAAGGATCTCTGATCAGTGGAAACGATTTGTTTTTGAGCTGATTAGCTTGTTGAGGAAAACCATCATTGCATGACTTTTTTTTTCCCCGATAAAAACAGATCTGGAAGGCTGCCCCAAGTTTGAACCCTCCCCAGAGTTCCCCTTCCACCCCGGTCTGCTAGGAAGTTCTGTGGCCTCCTTGCTGGGGACGTGGCGCTGCCTTTGGCGTAAATCCACTGGCCCTGTGCTATCTTTTACCAGATCGTGTACCCTGTGCTCAAGACCTGTGGGATCGATTTAGTCAAGATATAAAGTAATGGAAAGAAGTTGAGACCAGAGATCAAAGCAACAGGTGCCAGTTGGCTGGTCCGGCTGCACCCAGAAATGCTGCTTCCTTGGTTCTGATAGCAAAGCTCCAGCGAGTTCAGCCTGTGCCCCCACCCCAACCTCCTTTCAGTGCATTGTGGCAAATGGTGGGGCTCCAGGATTCTTGTGGGATGTCTTTATCACCTCTCCCCTCTGCCCCACCCCCTTTTCTGTGATCTGTACCCTTGCACTTGTCTCCCATAGAGGATATGGCATCAATTCAGGTCACACCTGAATTGTGGGTTTTGATGGCCCACCCAGTTTCTCACAACTTTGAGTTGAAATTTAAAAATGGGAAGATGCACCTAGATGTAGATTTCTGGCTTCCCTTTGGAGAGCTGATGGGTCTGGGAAAGCTGGCAAGGCTGCAGGAGGGGCCTAGAATCACCAGGGCCGCTTTCCAGCCATACACACTCTGCCTGTCGCTTGGCCTCCTACTACCAGCCTGGCCTTTGTAGGCCACTGGGGTTGGGACCTCTGGTGGGGGTGAAAACTGCAGAGAGACAACTTTAAAAAGCAAAAGGAAAAAACAAAAGCAAGTGTTCTTCCTTCTCAGGGGCTGGTAGTGAGGAACCAGGGGCACTGTTCCTCTTCTCTGTGCAAGGAACGCAGACTGGCTCACGCATAGCTTTCTCACCTTGTTCCCTCCCAGCCAGATCACTTTCGAGTTGATGATATCACCCCAGAAAAGGTGTTTTCTGCTGTACCTGTGAACCTGTGCAGCCGCCTGCCCCGCAGCCCTCCCTCCTCCTCCCCTCCCAGCCCCTTGGATCTGCAGTGGCTCCCGCCTGGGCTGTGCTGCTCCTGGCATGGCATGCGCAGGCCCCTGTGGCCAAGCTTTCCAGGCCCACAGAGCGGCCCATCTCTCCTCCTCACTCTGTTGGTCTCTGCCTCTGTTACGCTGCTCTCATCTGTATTCATGATGAATTATTGTGAGTATTTTTGACTTTTTAAAATGAAACTGAGTTACTTGAGAGTTAGGATCAGCTCTTACCTGTGAATGCCATGTCTGGCTCATAGTAAGAACCCCCCAAATATTTGCTCACATCCTGCTGCCCCCATTTATCCTTCCTCCTTTGATGTGGGTCTCACAGTATTCTTGGCAAATGCAATTGCTTCATAAGTATTGATTCATTAAGGGAGTGGAGAAATGCGAGCAGGCGGGGGTAAGGGGAAGAATGCCCGTTCTCTGTCCCCACGTCTTCAGTGACTTGTTCTCTCCTTCCTGTCTCCATCACTTTTTGGGCAAACGTTATTGTGAGCTATCTGACAGCCAGTCTGCTGGGCTTGGGTTGACGAAGATGAGTGAGACATTCTCCTTGTCTTCAAGGGGTCGATTTATTCTCACCCTCAACAACTCCCTACTCGTGCGCAGCAAACCCTGGGGGTCACTAGAGCAGTGCTGCATCCTCCCGGGCATCTTGGCAGGGGGAGGGGCTCTGGGCCAGGGCTCTGGTACTGAGGGGCCCAGGTAGTTGGACTCGTCACACCCTCCAGAAACAAAAGCCCATGGACTCTGGGTCCCCGAAGGACATCTCAGGAACCCCCTAGTTCTCTACTTTGAGACATATGCGGTGGCTGGGGTCACTCTGAGAAGTGTCACTTTGGACTTGTCCCTTGCGTTGGGTGATGGAGTCAGACACCACCAGCAGTGGATGACCAAGCTTCAAGGGCACCTTCTTAGCAGCTCTGTGGGCTGTGGGCAAAAGAGTTTCCTGTTCTCCCTTCTCCATATTAGGGACCCAGGGAAGTGCTTGCTGCTTCCAGCCTCGCTGATGGCTCTGAGGAGCAGGTGATGGCTGTGGCATTGGTGAGAGAAAGGGACCTGTCATTTCCAGGGGTGGGTGATGCTGTGGTAAACCCCACAAGGTGGCACTTGCCTGCCCAGCCTGAGATGCTGTATGAGGGCGGTGAGGTGGGCGTCCCCAACCCGGAGGCAGGGACAGGGAGGGATGGGATAATTGGCGTGCTTGCGTGGGCTCCTAATCTCTGGATCTCGGGCCTTATGGCTAAACACCTTATCCTCACTGCACCCCTCTGATGGGCCTGCCGAGCAGGTGGGGCAAAGATGTTGGTGAGATGAAAACACCCGCACAGTGGGGCAGTGTCCTTCCTGCTTCTTTCTGGGATTCATTTTATCTCTGAAATAGGAGGCACTTAAGCTCATGCTGGCTTTACATACTAGAGAGGTTATGTAAATTAACGGGAGAGTTTACAGAGGGCTTTGATCTCTTTATTTATTGTTTCAATTAAAGACCAGTGTGATAGTACAGAGGGCTTTGATTTCAGAAGAAAAGAGCCATGTAAGGGTTTGTTTGCCCATTTTACAGATAAGGAAAGTTGAGTCCCAAAACGAACATCTGGCCTCCAGCTATTTGGCAAAGTTGGGAGTAAGGTCCTGAGCACTCCTCATTTGGGACATGTTTGTCTGGCACATGCCAGCAGTGCCTTCTGAAATGGGAGCCCCATGAGCAGAGGAGGTAGCAGCTTGGTGGAGGCCTCCGGTCTCCTTCCCAGACTCAGCCTCCGTGTAGGGGGGACTCCTGGCCCGTTAGAAGCTTGACATCGTGGCAGGCACTGTTTTCACATGAATCTCCCCTGCCGAGCTGGCCAGAGCTTGGGCACTCGTCTCATGAGCTGTGGCCGTGACGTTCCGCCTCTTGGTCTTGACCGTATGTGACGCTGCCTCCCTCTGTGATGTGCATTGTCACGTCACTGCAAATCTGAAGCCTAAATCCTGGCATGAAGACCCCTGTCTTGTGCACCTGGGTGTCACCTGTCCCGCCGTGCCCACACAGAGCCAAGCCTTAGGAAGTGCCCTTGGGGTCCTGGGGGGGCTCACCCTATAGAAAAAACACTGCCTGCGTTCTCCTCCTGCTTCTGCGGTGACTGGGTGACAAGGCCCTTCCTCCCCTGGGGTCTTTGCTTTTCCTCTGTCAGATGGGGTTGCCTCCCCCTGAGTTCCCCCAGAGTGTTGGGGAAAGGGGAAAATAAGATAATAGATGCCAAACTAGTCAGACCCAGGTAGCCTAGTTAAAATGAAAACTTCATTAAAAATTAAGAATTGGCTGGGTGCGGTGGCTCACGCCTGTAATCCCAGCACTTTGGGAGGCCGAGGTGGGTGGATCACCAGGTCAGGAGATCGAGACCATTCTGGCTAGCACGGTGAAACCCCGTGTCTACTAAAAATATAAAAAAATTAGCCGGGCGTGGTGGTGGCTCCTGTAGTCCCAGCTACTCGGGAGGCTGAGGCAGGAGAATGGCGTCAACCCAGGAAGGCGGAGCTTGCAGTGAGCCAAGATCGCGCCATTGCACCCCAGCCTGGGCGACAGAGCCAGACTCCGTCTCAAAAAAAAAAAAAAAAAATTAAGAATCGGCCGGGCGTGGTCGCTCACGCCTGTAATCCCAGCACTTTGGGAGGCTGAGGCAGGTGGATCATTTGAGGTCAGGAGTTCGAGACCAGCCTGACCAACATGGAGAAACTCTGTCTCTACTAAAAATACAAAATTAGCTGGGCATGGTGTTGCACGCCTGTAATCCCAGCTACTGGGGAGGCTGAGGCCGGAGAATCACTTGAACCCGGGAAGCGGAGGTTGCCGTGAGCCAAGATTGTGCCATTGCACTCCAGCCTGGGCAACAAGAGCGAAACTCCATCTCAGAAAAAAAAAAGAATTGGCTGGGCACAATGGCTCACACCTGTAATCCCAGCACTGAGGCAGGTGGATCACTTGAGGTCAGGAGTTCAAGATCAGCTTGGCCAACATGGTGAAACCCCCATCTCTACTAAAAATACAAAAATTAGCCAGGCTAGTGTCAGGCACCTGTAATCCTCAAGAGGCTGAGGCAGGAGAATTGCTTGAACCCGGGAGGTAGAGGTTACAGTGAGCTGAGATTGTGCCACTGCACTCCAGCCTGGGCGACAGCACAAGACTCCATCTAAAAAAAAAAAAAAAAAAAAAAAAAAAAAAAAAATTAAGAATCCTGGAGATTCTAGAGTTCTAGGTCTGGAGGAGGATTTTAGGACTCAGGGACTCCATGAGGCACATGTTGAGAATCCCTGGACCTGAAAAGGCATTTTCATTCCAAACTGCATGACCTTGGGCAAGTAACGTCACCTCTCCCAGCCTCCCCTGTGAGGTGGGGGTGATATTGACGCCCACTGTCTAAGATGGTTGCCAGGGTCCTCATAGCAGCAAATGCTTAGTGGTACTTACTGTGTTCCGCACGCCGCTCTGTTTTACAGATTGAGAAACTGAGGCACAAAGGGGTTAGATGACACAGTAAGTGGCAGAGATGGGTTCATACCGAGGCAGTCTGGCCCCAGAGTCTCATCTCTTTTTTTTTTTTTTTTTTTTTTTTAGCTATTCTTTTTTTTTTTTTATTATACTTTAAGTTTTAGGGTACATGTGCACATTGTGCAGGTTAGTTACATATGTATACATGTGCCATGCTGGTGCGCTGCACCCACTAACTCGTCATCTAGCATTAGGTATATCTCCCAATGCTACCCCTCCCCCCCTCCCCCCACCCCTTAGAGTCTCATCTCTTAACCTCTAGACCAGTGGCTCTCAAAGTGTGTTTCAGGGGGACTCCTGGAGGTTTCCAGAGACCCTTTCAGGCCATCCATGAGGTTAGAGTAGTTTTCATAATCATTCTGAGACATTATTTTCTTTCTTCACTCTCTTTTCTTGCATGAGTGTACAGTGCAGTTTTCAGAGGCTGCATGACCCATGATCATGTCATCATTCTGGCAGCTAATGGAAGGTAGTGTTTGTGTATTCTTGTATTTTAAAAATTTCTCTTCTGGGTGTGGTGGCTCACACCTGTTATCCCAGCACTTTGGGAGGTCAAGGCGGGAGGATTACTTGAGTACAGGAGTTTGAGACCAACCTGGATCAAATAGTGAGACCCCATCTTTACAAAACATTTGAAAAAATTAGCTGGGTGTGGCGGCACATGCCTGTAGTCCGGTTTACTTAGGAGGCTGAGGTGGGAGGATTGCTTGAGTCTGGGAGATTAAGGCTGAAGTGAGCTGAGATCATGCCATTGCACTCTAGCCTGAGCGATAGAGCGAGACCCTGTTTGAAAAAAAATTTTTCTTCCACTTTTAATTTCTAACATGGTAAATACCGATAGCTATAATCCACATAAACAAAACTCTTTGGAGTCCTCCTTAACATTGAGAGTGAAAAGGGGTCCTGAGACCCAAAAGTTTGCGATGTGTTGTTGGAGGCTGTGTTACCTTATTAAAAGTGATACTTGTCAAACATCTGGTGGCACCTCCTGTGGTAAGCAGCTGGAGGGGAGTTGGTGCCTGTCCCAGGGAATCTCGGCTCTTCTCGGGGCCTCCCCACATGTGGAGACCTCCGTGTATGAGACTGAGTCCTGAACCTGCTGGGTGCTTTCACAGATGGTGGTGCTGACTGTGCTGTTTGTGTGTGGTCAGCTAGCTGCCTGCGACAGAGCTTCCATCCTCCACCTGGCTGCACCTGCAGTGCTCAGCCCTGACTGCAGGAGTGAGCAGATGCTCAGTGGTGGGCCTCCCCTTGGGTGGAGCCGATATGGGTGCAGCTGCTGTGGCCCTGCAAGTTCTGTTCCAGGCCAGGCCTGGCACCGAGCCAGCACCGCCTGTGCTATCCCATTGGACCTCGCACCCGCCCTGTGAGGGAGGGGCTGTTGTGAGTCTTATTTTACAGGTGAAGAATTCAAGGCTCAGGGAGGTTCCACCTGTGCGAGGGGCAGGGCCTGGACTTGAACTGTCTCTGGCTGGCTGGAGCCTGTGCCCCTGATGTGTTTCGGTATCTTCACAATGTTGCTTCTGCTTGTGGCCAGCTCATTTGGGTTTGGATTTGGGGTGTGCTGCCAGTGTTCCTCCCAGGGTTCTGCTCCAGCCCAGGCCATCTGCAGGCTGCTCTTTCCCTGCTCTAGCTCTAGCTTTTACTTACTTTCTTTTCTTTTTTTTTTTTTGAGACCGAGTCTTGCTCGGTTGCCCAGGCTGGAGTGCAGTGGCATGATCTCTGCTCACTGTAACCTCCACCTCCCAGGTTCAAGTGATTCTGGTGCCTGGGCCTCCGGAGTAACTGGGATTACAAGTGTGTGCCACCACGCCGGGCTAATTTTGTATTTTCAGTAGAGACAGGGTTTCAACATGTTGGCTAGGCTGGTCGCGAACTCCTGACCTCAGGTGATCTGCCTACCTTGGCCTTCCAAAGTGCTGGGATTATAGGCATAAGCCACTGCACCTGGCCCAGCTTTTACTTATTTTCATTATTTTATTTCATTTTACAATTTTTACAATCAGATGCTATATTGCCTAGGCTGGTCTTGACCTCCTGGCCACAAATGAGCCTTCTACCTTGGTCTCCCAAAGTGTTGGGATTACAGGTGTGAGCCACCGTGTCCGACCTGGCTCTGGGGCTTTTAGACCAAGGGTTTTGGAGCGGTAAGGTGAGGTGTGGACAGAATGCAGGTTTGAATTTTGGCTCTGCTGTTTGCTGGCTGTGACTGTAACCTTTCTGATACCCTGTCTGCATATGACATGGCTGCTGCTACCTCTCCTTGTAAGGGGAGAACAGCTCAGGGAAAACTGACGTTGCATGTACTCAGAAACCAGGGGTCTCCACTGTGATAGGACTGGCATAGAGCTGTCATCTTCTCAAAATCTGGCCCTGGACCAACTGTGTCAGTCTCTCCAGGAGGGATTCCGGATTTCCGGGCCCTGCCCTGACCTACTAATGCAGAGCTCTGTGGGAGGGGCTGGCCACCTGTATGGTCAGTGAGCTTTGCTGGAATTCAGGTGCACACTGAAGTTTGGCAATCCCTGCTTAGAGGTTGGGGGCCACTTTTAACCCTCAAGACATAACAAATACTGGTCTCGTCCCTGTATGGATAGTTCTTTATCAGTGGCCATATGATTTGTTGTTTAAACCAGGGCACCCTTGAGTGGGTGGGGGGAGGGTCCCCTGAGGAGTGCACTGGGACTTCCTGGTACATGGGAACATGTGGTCGTTTCTCAGTCCTCCTCTTACCTTTCTGATGGCCCTAGGAGATGCCGTTCGCTTCCTACTGCAAATGGGGAAACTGAGACCTGGAGAAGGGTGCATCTGACCACACAGCTATAACCTTGGTCCTTGATTCTAGAACGCTTTCTCAGCTGGGTTGTCAGCCTTGGCTCACCCTAGCTGAGTGCTGGTGCAGGTGGGCTGTGGAGGACCCTAGATTTCTGTGGTGCTGGAATCTTTTGAAAACTAACATAATCTTTGTGATGAGAAAAAACAACATTAAAGCTATGGAGCTGGACATGGTGGCACACACCTGTAATCCCAGCACCTTGGGAGGCCAAGGCAGGAGAATTGTTTGAGCCCAGTAGTTCGAGACCAGCCTGGTCAAAATAGTGAGACCCTGTCTCTACAAAAAATTTAAAAATTAGCTGGAGGTGGTAACGCACACCTATAGTGCCAGCTATCGGGAGGTTGAGGTGGGAGGATCATTTGAGCCCAGGAGATCAAGGCTGCAGTGAGCCCTGTTTGCACCATTGCTTTCCAGCCTGGGCAACAGAGCCAGACCATGTCTCAAAAAAAAAAAAAAAAAAAAGCTATGGAATGCACCTCTGGAAGAGATACAAACCAGATGAAAATGGAGGACCCTGTCAGCAGAAAGGAAGCAGGTGCCGGGTGTATTTGTGCTTCCTCTCTTCAGTCCCTGGGGTTCCCTCCTGGGCCTGGCTGTGACCCATCTACCACACAGACAATCGATGGCCCTCTAGGCAGAGTGACAGGGAGAGGGCCGCTGACACTAGCTCTCTGTCAAAGCGATGTCCTCTTTGGGTCGGTCAATTTCTTTCCTTCCTGATTGCCTGCTAGGCCAAATGGCTGATTTTTTTTTTTTTCCTGCTTCTATGAGGATGCGCATATGACAGTCCATTTTGGTGGCACATGGAGAGGGCTGCAGTTAAGGGGAATTCTGGAGGGAAACCTGAGGTTTCTGGAGCACTAAATATAACAAGCAGTGACATAGTTGAACCAGTGATGTCGAAGCCAGCAAAGCCCCCATGTGTGGAGCTTGGTGTATTTCTGGTTCAGACAGAAATAGACACCTACCAGAGGGCATGATGGCATCAGTGCTTGCGGGCAGCCTTGGGCCAAACTTAGTCTCCATCCCTGCTGCCTGGCCCTCTCCTCCTGCCTTTTCCTCTCTGCTCCTTGGGGAGCTCCATCTAGCACCCGAGGATTGTGGTTTTGCTTCTGGCTGCAAGTACTTTCACATATCCTGTTGCTCATGAGAGGGTGGAGGGAGCAGCTCCTTGATCTCCCTGGGGAGGGGGTGGGCTGAGCCGCAGGAATGTGCTCTCAGAGATTTCTGCCTCTCCTCGAGCCTCCCGGTGGAGTGGTATTATCGCAGGAAAACTCCAGTTTGTTTTTGATAAATCATATGTACAGGCTCGGGGGTCCCTTCGTCTTGGGCTGCCTGTTCGTTACTTTGGTGTCACTGTGTTCACAGGGAAGGATGGAGACGCTGAAGGATAAGACCCTGCAGGAGCTGGAGGAGTTGCAGAATGACTCGGAGGCGATTGACCAGCTGGCCCTGGAGTCCCCTGAGGTAGAGGGAGGCTGGTATGGGACCCAACAGAGGCCAGCAGATGAGGCTTGTTAAGAGGCGCTTTTTAAGGATGCTGGCTTATTGGAAGTTTTGGCCAAATTCATCTCCCTTTTCTGTGAACTTCATCCTGGTTTGGACTCAGAGGAATCCCTGAGGCTTCAGACCAGTTCCTGGGAGTTCTTGGGAGTGCTGGGGAGTCCACTGCCTCCTGGTGCCTTCCCAGGACCCAGATACCCCAGGAGTCCCCACACTGTCGTTCCAGCCCAAATCTGGAGGCAGCTCCTCAAAGCACTGGTATGGTTTTGTACCCACTTTTCCCCAAGAGCCTTGTGCGATCCCATATCTCCAGGTGACTCTAAGGCTTCTAGGAGCCATTCTTGGGCTGAGATCTAGCTCGTCTCCCATTTGATCCTGTTTCTCCTCATAACTGGCCCCTAATCCTCTAGTTCTTAATCACAGACTCCTTGAGGAAAGAAACAGAATCCTGCCTGTGCAGAGATTTACACTTAATAAAGGACATTCCCTGCCCCTAGCATCTCCTGTGACCCTGGGATGTCCCCTGTGAGATGGGAGAGGTCAGGCCACACAGCCAGAAATATCCACGGTCACCCATTGAGTGGCTGCAGCTCATCCGTTGTGCTGGAAGCTCCCGCTTCCTATACCTAATGTGAGGGAGAGACACACACGCAAGCAATGCCAGCTCCTTTGATTTGCATTTGGAGTACATGTTTACTTGCACGGATGAGCAGGTATGGTGTGTCTCTTCTGTGAACTTGTATTTTGAAAAAAATAATGACGTTCCCCCATCCAGTGTCTCCGTGCTTCCATGCCATGGGGGGCGCCAGGCCGGTGAGTCCCCTGCTCCTGTTTCTGCTTGTGCTCTTGCTGCCTGCTGCCTGCTCTACTGCCTAAGTGAGGAATCTTAACTGGGGTTGGAGGTGACTGAACATTGGGTTGAAAAGATCTCCTGGTGGGGAGATTGTGAGGAGAGGTGGACACCATGGGCCACATCCTACCACCCTAGGGCTTTTTTAGTCCTCAGCAAGGACGTGGAGCAAAGCTTGCTTGTCGAAGCCCCAGGGCTGACTCAAATGGCTTGTGAGGCTGTGAGCTCTGCCAGGGCGTTGCTCCTGCCCAGCCTGGTGCTGGGCACAGTGCAGCTCTGCCTGCGTTCCTTTGTCACATATTAAGCACTGTGAGCATGGTGCCATGGGAAGCCCAAGGCCTGCTTCTAGAGTGTGCAGAGCTGAGCAGGCTGACAGAATCGTGACAAAGCAGAGAATCATGGAAAATGTGAGCAGAAGCGACCTCTTGGGCAGAAGGCACTTGAATTTTGTGGTGTGCAGCCACACCTGTCCCATCGATCTGAACTCTCTGAGGGGAAAAAACACTCGTGGATCAGGTAGAAATGAAGCAGGACAAGCCACTTAGACTTCAGACCATTGGCAAACTTTTTTATCGTGGGCTATAAGACAGTCATTGAGTCACAGTGGGATTGTGAGAAGAGACAGGAGCTCTCTATTAGTTCGGGACATGGACACGGCTAGGAGAGAAGGGAGTTGGCAGGGGCTCTCTCCGTGTAGAAGAGTGTGCATAGAGGGGTGTGTGGAGGGGAGCTGCTTTGGGTTGGGGGCCAGATATAGAAGGGAAACACCGTAACTTATTAAGGAAAGTTAGTCAAAATGGTTTTATCTCCCACTTTGCAACTTTTTTTAATTTTTGTTTTTTTAGGCAGGGTCTTACTTTGTCACCCAGGCTGGAGTGCAATGGCGCCATCATGGCTCACTGCAGCCTCCACCTCCTGAACTCAAACAATCCTCCCACCTCAGCCTCCCAAGTAGCTGGGACTACAGGTGCACACCACCACACCTGGCTAATTTCTAAATTTTACATAGCAACTTTTAAGAACTATTAGATACTTCTTGTTGAGTTTTGCTGTAGATTCAAAGAAAATTGATAATTATCTATAAAGGTTAGTAGCGACTCCTTCCTTTTCTAGCTATATATCTGTATGAGTATAGATTCTTCCTCCTTATTTCCACCAAAGTAATATACTAGGGCAGATTGAATTCAGAAGCAGCAAAACATGTGAAAACATCTTTTATTTACCTATTTTTAGTCTTACCTCTTTTCAGTGACTGGGAGGACTTCACACTGAACCCCTAATATGCATCGATATGCAATTTTCTAAATTGATGCATATTTTGCATATTTATGGGGAAGATGAGAATCTTTGTTGCATGCATAGAATGTGTGATGATCAGGCTGGGCGCGGTAGCTCATGCCTGTAATCCCAGCACTTTGGGAGGCCGAGGTGGGTGGAAGACCTGAGGTCAGGAGTTCGAGAGCAGCCTAGCCAACATGGTGAAACCCCATCTCTACTAAAAATACAAAAATTAGCCAGGCGTGGTGGCACGTGCCTGTAGTCCCAGCTACAAGGGAGCAAGGGAGGCTGAGGCAGGAGAATCGCTTGAACCCAGGAGGCAGAGGTTGAAGTGAGCCGAGATTGCGCCATTGCACTCCAGCCTGGGCAACAGAGCGAAACTCTGTCTCAAAAAAAAAAAAAAAAAAAAAATGTGTAATTAAGGTCAGGGCATTTAGGGTCTCCATCACCTTGAGTATTTGTTGTTTCTGTGTGTTGGGAACATTTTACGCTTCTTGCTACTTTGAAATATACAATACATTGTTGCTGACCATAGTCACCCTACTCAGCTGTTGAACATTAGAACTTACTTCTTCTATCTACCTATATGTTTCTACCCATTGACCCACTTCGTGGAGAAAGATGTAAGAAGGCTGTGGAGACAGGGAGCAGAAATAAGTAGGGCAAGATTTAGGGGAAAATGATACAGCGTCGATTTGTTGGTTTAGACGCAGGGAAAAGGCAGTGGACCTATAGGGAGGCCAGAGGATCCATGGGGCCCTGCAAGGGATGGGTGAGCAGGAGGGCTTTAGGCCTTTCACTCTGGGTCAGCCATGTAAGTAAAGTTTCCATGGCTAATAAAAATTAGATTGAGAGTCACGTATGGTGGTTTGTGCCTGTAGTCCCAGCTATTGGAAGGATGGGATGGGAGGATTGTTTGAGGCCAGCCTGGGCAACGTAGGGAAACCCCATCTCTACAGAAAATAAAAGAACTTAGCCAGGCGTGGTGGTGCATGCCTGTAGTCCCAGCTGCTGGAAAGGCTGAGAAGGGAATATTGCTCGAGCTCAGGAGTTTGAGGCTGCAGTGACCTATGGTCATGCTATTGCACTCATTCTGGACGACAGAATGAGACCATGTCTGTAGAAGGCAGCAGCGTGGGCTCTAGGCTGGACAGACCCTGGGCCCTACATCCCTGAACCCTGGCAGCCTTGTCTGGAGGGCTCAGGGAGGGCAGGAAGCTGTGGTATCCCTCTTTCCAATCTGGAGCACAAAGAAGAGGCAATGGGCCTGCCCCAGAGTGCAGGACCTCGGCCCCTGTAGCTGGGACAGCAGAAGGGGTAGCCTTTCCCCGAGGCCGCCTCTTCCAGAATGCCCACGGGCTTCCTATGTCTCGTGGGGCATGAGCCAGTCTGGCTTGGTCTGTCACATGCTGACCATGGTGGAGAAGCTGCACAGAGAAGCTGCACAGTGAGGGCCTGACTTAGAGTCAGTCTTGCTGAGCTGTTCCCTGCGCCCTGTGGCGGGTGCCGAGGCCTCTCTTCTGGTGCCCCATGCTGCTGACAGTGTACTGTCACTGCTGGCTCAGCATGCAGGTCTGACTCCTCAGCCCTCCTCTTAGGAAGAGGACTCCTTGGCGGATGCATGGGGCGTCACATCACAACAGCTGGCAAGGGTGCCTTGGCTTCTGTCTCACTGGCTGGCAGCGACGAAGAGCCTGGCAGAGGGGTAAAGTGCCGCTTGGCTTGGGGAAGTGTTTGCAGCAGGGAATGTCCAGGGTGGCCCCTCTGGCTCATCTGTGCAGCTTCTCTGCAGGACACATGTGTGGCATAGGAGGCAGGTCCAGGTCTCTCCTAAGTCAGTGGCATGGTCTGGTCCAGGGACCTGGCTCTCTCACCCCTCACAATAACTTTATTTGGGGCCTCATTATATGTCTTGCCTGTGCATCTGGCCAGGACCACCTGAGCCCACCATGGTAGGTCTCTTGACTCTGAAGCTTGGGGATAAGTAATTGGGACTTTTGATCCCCTCCCTCCTGGAAAGCCTCTGCTTTTTCTCATGTAAATTGGTCCACCCCCTCCTTGGGGCTCTGCACATTCCATCATGGATATCAATCACATGGCCTTGGGCGAGCTCTTCACCTTCAGCGCCAGGTTCCCATGCGTCTCCACCTCGTGGGCTGTGGGTTAAGGATTAAGTGAGGCGCAGAGTACTTCATTCAGGGTTTGAACCTGGCTTTGTCTGACTAGTTGAGGGCTGAGTATTGCCCCAAGGATGAGCCTCTCCGCCCCAAGGTGAGCAATGTGTCCCCGAAGCCCCTGACCCAGGCTGCCAGGAGGTTAAGGGTGATGGACGTTTTCCTTAGGTTCTGTTGTCCTGCCCTTTTAGGTCCAGGACCTACAGCTGGAACGGGAGATGGCACTGGCCACCAACCGGAGCCTGGCAGAGCGGAACTTGGAGTTCCAGGGTCCCCTGGAGATCAGCCGCTCAAACCTCTCGGATAGATACCAGGAGCTCCGGAAGCTCGTGGAGCGGTGCCAGGAGCAGAAGGCAAAGCTGGGTAGGGTGGCTCCTCTGTGAACTCAGGGTCCCCATTCAGGGTTGGACGGAGGCCCACCGTGTTCCCAGCCCTGTGCTAAGTGCTTTATGTATATTTTTTCACAACAGCCATAGAAGGGTGGGTACTGTTGTTACTCCATTTTATAGGTAAGAAAAATGAGGCTCAGAGAGATTCAATAACTTGACTAAGGTCACCCAGCTTAGAAATAGGTGGAATTGGGATTTGAATTGAGACAGCCTGCATCCTTTGCTGCTGCCGTTACCCTTGGCAGCTCAGCTTCTATGCTTTACTGAGCTGTTCCTGAGCTGCTCTGGGCTCTCTGTGTCCCAGGACCTGTCACCTTTGAAGGTGGGAGGGTGGTCCTTGTCTTGATGGTGAGAAAGCTTGACACTCAGGTTAGGTAACTCCCCTTGCTGGCAGGCAGAACTGGGTCAGTTGGGCTCTGAAGCCCAAGTCATTTCCCATCCCAGGATGGCGTAGGGTAGGCTTGGCCAAGGTCTAGGCTAGGTTCATTCGGGCCCTTCTCTGCTCAGGAAGGAACTGGACCAAAAGTGCTCATCAAGCCCACCCAGAAGGACCCTTTGGTGGACCCTGCTGTGGTGGCTGGGCCTGGATGCACACAGAGGGTATGCAAAGTGCCTTTAACACTGAATCAGGAAGCACTTTTCAAATGTCAGTCGTTCTGCCCTCCCTTCCAGAGAAATTTTCTTCAGCACTGCAGCCAGGGACCTTGTTAGACCTTCTGCAGGTGGAAGGCATGAAGATCGAAGAAGAGTCCGAGGTGAGAGGGCGAGGCGACACCCCTCTTCCCTGGACGGGGTGTCAGTCCCTGCAGCAGGGGCCCTTGGAAGGAGAAGCAGATGTCTGCAAAGCATGGAACAAGGGAGCTTTCGTAGATGGCAGAGGTGAAGGACATCTTTAGTCCTGGGGAGGCCTTTTGGGTATAAATAACAGGAACCCAGTCCCACTAGCTGAAGCAGAAACGGGTGACAGTGGACAAGGGCAGCTCGCAGCCCTGGATGGTAGGGCAGCACAGCAGGAGGCCCCCAGGGGCTGAGGCCAGCTCCCTACTCCACTCTCCCTGCTTCCTGCTTCCCTCCGGCCACCTCTTCAGCCTCTGTGGGCAAACTGGTGCTGTCCACTCTGTGTCTGGGTGGAAGAAGCTTCTAGGCCCTCCCAGTCCCTGGGCTAGTGCTCATCCAGGTGTTCAGCACATATATGCAGTGGCCACTGTGGGCCTGGCATGATGCCAAGGTGCCAGGACAGAGGTGACCACGACAGAGACAGTCCTCGCCTTCAAGGGACTGACATTCTAGTGAGGGAGACAGTGCATGTACCATATGTCAGCTGTGAGAAGGGGCGTATGGGCAGGGAAGAGGAGGGGGTGCCTGAGGCGGCGTGAGGTGGGAGGGCTGCAGCTGAACTCAGACCCTGGGGAAAATCAAGAGGCCTTGATCCCAGCTGCCCCTGTTGTCACTGGACCTTATGTCTTCCAGGCCATGGCTGAGAAGTTCCTGGAGGGCGAGGTGCCCCTGGAAACGTTCCTGGAGAATTTTTCCTCCATGAGGATGCTGTCCCACCTGCGCCGGGTTCGCGTGGAAAAGCTCCAGGAAGTGGTGAGGAAGCCCAGGGCTTCCCAGGAGCTGGCCGGCGATGCCCCTCCACCCCGTCCACCACCCCCGGTGCGCCCAGTCCCCCAGGGAACACCCCCTGTGGTTGAAGAGCAGCCGCAGCCACCATTAGCCATGCCTCCCTACCCTTTGCCCTACAGCCCATCCCCCAGCCTGCCTGTGGGCCCCACTGCCCATGGAGCCCTGCCACCGGCCCCTTTCCCAGTAGTGTCCCAGCCCTCCTTCTACAGCGGGCCTCTGGGCCCCACTTACCCGGCAGCCCAGCTTGGACCCAGGGGTGCTGCGGGTTACTCCTGGTCCCCACAGAGGAGCATGCCACCCCGGCCGGGCTATCCTGGGACCCCAATGGGTGCCTCTGGGCCTGGGTACCCCTTGCGGGGAGGCAGGGCCCCCAGTCCTGGTTATCCTCAACAGTCCCCATACCCCGCAACAGGAGGAAAACCTCCCTACCCAATACAGCCTCAGCTCCCCAGCTTTCCAGGCCAGCCCCAGCCCTCAGTGCCCCTGCAGCCCCCTTATCCCCCCGGGCCCGCCCCTCCCTATGGGTTCCCACCACCGCCGGGGCCTGCCTGGCCTGGGTATTAGACACACTCCTGGCCCTCGGCCCCTCCCTAGTCCCACCCACGCTCAACCTTTGGCCCAGCCATCGCCGAGATTCGAGGGTCAACTGGAAGTGGCGTTGGTGCTCCCTGTGGACTTGCGTCGGCACCCAGAGGCCTTGGAGGGACAAGGCACTGGGCGGTGTGACTGGTCATGGCACTTGCTGGCCTTCTGGCCAGAGGTCCTCCTGGAAGCCCCTCCTTTCAGTGCCTGGCTGCAGCGGTGCTAGCCAGGCTGGAGTCCAGCACCTCTCGCCGGTGTCTGTGTGAGTGAGCGCATGTGCGCATTTATGAGCATCTACTTGCGGCTGCACTCAGGGCCATTTGAACCCAGTGCAGAGTTATCTCTATGAGGAGGCCCCGGGTCTCCAGCCCCCTCCATCTCCCCTGGGGTTTGGCATATTTGACATGGAGCCCCATGCCAAGGGATGCAGCTGTTGGTGTCTGTCCAGTCCATTCAAGGCTAGCCTGCCCATGCACTGTGGCAGGGGTTGGATTGGAGGGAGAGAACAGAGTTGGGAAAAACAACAGGTTTGAGTCCTATAAAGCCATAATTTAACTCCAGTAGCTGATGTCAGACAAGCTTGTCCTATGTCCTATTTGAGTGGCAGCAGCGCCAGCCCAGCAAGAAGGCTGGGGGTTGTCAAGGTTGTCCCCAGACCTTGCTTGCAGTGGTTGGAGAACCCAGGGGGCTGCCTTGGGCCCTCTGGCCAGAGGGAAGCGGGCAGCTCTAGCCCTGGAGATTGTGGTCACATTGGGGCTTGTTTAGGATTGGAGGGCCAGGTCACCTCCCCAGCCACCCTCCCTTCTCTCCTCTGGGGTCCCCACTTTAGGGCGACTTTGCCCGAGGCCCACGCATCCATCCACTCCTTTAGTGCCTTGAATCTCATTCACAAGCAGCCCCCTCCCTTCCCCTCCCCTTCTCACTCTGTTGATGTAATCCTCCCACCCCCAGTGTCCATCCTAAGACAGGCATCAAAAGAGGCCCTAACTTTACTTCCCAAATGGTGCTTTTTAAAAAACACCATCACTACATTAGGGGCAATTTTTTCACACCTCCCTGTCTTCAGAATGTAAAGGGTGGGGATTATGTCTCTGTTTAATATGCAGCCCCCTGCACTGTGGGGTTTGGGGCATGTTCAGTAATAAGAATGAATACAATAGACAAAGGGGGTGTGATGAGTGTTAACTTGGTTGTTCCAGAGGTAAACCAGGTCTCAGGGAAGAGCCTGGAGCTGCTATTGCTTAGGAAGTTGTACGTGCCTTGAAATGTCCACTACCTGAGGACGCAGCATCTGGTGGGCCCGGGGCTGCTGGGGCCAAGGAGGGACCTTGACCTTCTGGTGCCTGCCCCTCCCCGGCCTATGTGCCATCCGCGTGACGCTAGGTCAGCGCTGCCGGTTCTTTACCAAATGTGCTTGCTTCTCCTAAGTTATTTATAAAGAGAAATCACTAATGGACTCTACTGGTTTGAGTGCTTCTGAGCTGGATGACCGACCGCCTGTATGTTTGTGTAATTAATTGCCATAATAAACTTTGATGAGTCACATGTGGTGTGGTGTTGCTGGGTTTGAGTGAAGACGTGGCTGCATGTGGGTGCCTTGAACTCTTCTGCAGCCTTCAGATCGTGCTCTCTGGAGGGGCCTCTGTGATTCACATCCCAAAGCCCCATCCGTCTGGATGTCAGCCCTCCCTTGCCCGCTCGCCCCAGGGCTGGCCCTGGGAGTATTTACCTTCCCTCTCCCGCTCTTCCGCTTTCTTTCTTAGCCGTTTTCCTATTGGAGCCTACGTTTGCCTGGTCCTGGACTGAGAGCAATGGCATGCAAGGCCACAGGATGCCACGAGGGGGCGTCTGGTCCTCAGCCTGCTCGGGAGGTGCTGCGTTCCTGCCACCTGCCGGGCTGGCGGGATGTCGGCGTGTGGGCCTGTCTGTGAGCCATCTAATTCTAACCTGGGCTTGCAGGATGGGCTCAGAGGAACAGCAGGCCGCTAAACTGGCTGCGGCACCAACAGTCTTCTAGGCCTTGGCCCAGCCTGCCTCCCTCCCCAGCGTCGCCTCTGCTGCTGAGCTGCCTATCCCGAGGCCAGGGAGGGCGTCTTCAGCTCAGCAGGAAGGGCAGCTTGGAGGGAGTCTGAAGACCAGGCTTCTAACAGTCCCTCATGTCAGCCCTCCGCCTCTCCTTCCCCGCAAGGTGACCGGGCGGCCACCTGTGGAGGATGCCTAGAGATGCCCTGAAGTCGCTATGGCTGCAGGCTGTACTGTGCTTTCAGGCGCATTATGTCCTGGAGTCCTCGCAACAGCCCTTTCATCCCCAGTTTAAATGGGAGGAAACCACAGGGCAGGTGGTTCGGTGAGCGGGTTGCACAGCCTTAGGAGGAGGTGGGACTTGGACTGGGTCGGTTGGATTTCAGAGGCTGCAGGGGCTCCTTCCCCCTGCCTTGGTGGTGCCAGAAGTGCCTCCCGAGGACAGAGCTGAGAGTCTCTGGGCTCTGGTCAAACGTTTACTGCCCTTCACCCCCAGCTGAACTCTGGCTTTGCCTTGCAGGTGTCCAAGGCTGAGGACACAGGACATCAGGGACAGCTGGAAGCAATTTGGCTTTGTAGGAAGAGGCTGCAAATCTCCCTCTAGGCGCATAGTCAGGTCACCTGCCTTGGGTTGGTGCCAGAGTGGTGGCAGGGGGCACGGAGGGGCTGACTTTCTAAGAAAGGACCATCATGAGCTGCCTCAGCTGGTCAGCCCGCGTGTCCCACCCTGTGCTCTTTGCTTCCCCCTCTCCCTGGCCACCTCACCTCAGAGGGCAGCACACACAGGCGCTCCTCACGCCTCCCTCCCTGCATCCCTGGGAGATCACTGGCTGCTTTTCACCAGACTACAGTGGGCCTCCCGCTGCAGGGGGACAGACCCTGAGCATCAAATTTAGAGTCTCAAGAGATTCCTAGCTTAGGACACTTTGCTCTGCTGGATGTGGTGAGGCCATATAAATGTCATGTCCTTACAGCTCTCTGTTCCGCTCTGTACTCCCAGATCCCTGGGTGCATGATAACTTTTTTTTTTTTGAGACAGAATCTCACTCATCTGGCTCCCAGGCTGGAGTGTATTGGCGCCATCTCAGCTCACTGCAACCTCCGCCTCCCGGGTTCAAGTGATTCTCCTGCCTCAGCCTCTTGAGTAGCTGGGATTACAGGTGTGTGCCACCATGCCTGGCTAATTATTTGTATATATATGGTTTTTTTGGAAAAAAAAAAAAAAAGCCTGTTGCCCAGGCTGGAGTGCAATGGCAAGATCATGGCTCACTGCAGCCTTAAACTCCTGGCCTCAAGTGATCCTCCTGCACCAGCCTCATGAATAACAGACTATAGGCATGTGCTACCATGCTCAGCTAATTAAAAAACTCCTTTTTTTGGTAGAGCTGGGGTCTCACTTTGTTGCCCAGGCTGGTCTGGAACTCCTGGCTTCAAGCAATCCTTCCACCTTGGTCTCCCAAAGTGCTGGGATTACAGGCACGAGCCACCATGCTTGGGCACATGGCAGTGTGAAAGCTAGACTTTTTGGTCCTTGGTATCCTTGACCTAATGTGCTAGAATCAGGGGTTGCACGCCCACTCATTGGCCAGGTCACATGATTTACGCAGGAACATAATTTACGGAATGGGCAGGGTTTGAGGGACACACAGGTGAGTGGAAGGGCTGGCCCTGCTCTAGCAGGTTGCTGGGATGCAGGAACGGGGAGGTTGTCCAGGTCACGGCAGCGCGTCCTCTACCAAGGGATGTGGACACCAGCCCCCGAGCACTGGCTGGGGGAGCAGTGGGTTGCCTTCACCAGCCAAGGCAGGAACTTGACAATGGCACGTTGAAGACTAAAGTGCTTCTATTCCATCGCATCACCAAACATCTTTTTGAAATGCATCACCCAAGTCAGCCAACCCTTGAAAAACAGTTTTCTAAAGGCTCATTTCTCCTCAACTAAACTCTTTATTTTTGGTTTGGTTTTTAAGTAGGCCATGGTTGCTTTGAGGCCACTGTATGGTGGCCAAACTATAGATGAAAGAGCTTTTATTAAAAAAGGCACTGATGGGAGACACTGGCTGCCCCCGAACCTTTGCCCTCCCTAAGAGCAGCCTCTCAGTTCCCTTTTGAGGAGCCCCCTCACCTCCACCAGATATGGGAAGACAAATGGGGTCCCTGTTTCTGGATTCCCAGCATGGTCGGGGGAAGATCTGTGACCTGGGCTTGGCCACGGGGGCTCTCAGAAGGCAAGGCCTGGTTGGAGGGTGTTGGTGGGGGCAGAAAGCTGAGCAGATTCTGGGAGCAGCCCACCCCATATCCTAGTAACTCCCTTTTGCTCTTCCAGACTTATTATGCGGCTTGGACCATTGATGCCTGTGCTCCCAGGAGATACAGCATCAAATGGCGTGGAGAAAGGACCTGTCTTAGGATGTGTTCCCATGTTGCTTCACCTTCTTAGGGAGCCGCCGCAGTGAGCTGCGCCTGGCCTCTCCCTTGATCAGACCCGAGGCTCCTGGGTAGACCTCCTCTTCTCACTTGCAGTTAAGGAAGCCGAGGCCCCATGGGATTAGGTGTACGTCCAAGATCTCCAAGTACTAGAGGAGTCTGTTTTCGTCAAGGGAGTTATTCAAACCAAAGGAACATGACCAGCCCCATCTCTGACTCTTGGGTTAGAAGATGAACTGTGATGGACTGAAACTACCTCAGCTTGGGACTTTTAATTGCTGGGTGAAGCAAAAAACCAAGTTGGTTAAGGTTTACTAGGCGCCCCTTTGTGCCGGGCCCTGGGTGGCACTGGTGCCCTGTGGGCTTGACAGCCAGTGGAAAGGAAGGTGTCTTTAGATGAGGGGGTTGGGGAGGGGAGTCATAAGACAGAGGGAGTGGGGTGACGCTGTGGGTCAGGGTGGTGCCCACCCAGACCCCTGGCTGGCAGCTGCGGTGAATGTGCAGAGCTGTCTTTGTGCTCAGGTGAGCAGCCTCTGACCACCACGGCTGCAGAGGTCTCCGGGAGTCCCCTTCCTGTCCTCCCCAGAGGGATCCGCAGGGGTGGATGCTGCACAGAAGAGGCCAAAGCGCTCGATTTGTCAGGAAGGAGGAAAAGCACTACTTACAAAAAACTATTCAAAATGCACTCGCCCAGCTGTGAGCTTCCTTGTCACTCCTTACCAGGGACAGAGTCTGAGGAGAAAGCCGATTTCACTGAGACGCCGCTCCCCAGCGGGCAGGGAAAGGGGGCCCCCTTCAGACACCCCCGAGTCTCTAGTTGGAAGGCTGCTTGTTTTGGGGCTCTGCCCACCACAGCTTCCACAAGTGGAGGGGCGGCCGAGCTGTTGTGCAGCAGAGTGTGAGCTGGCCTGCCACTCGGGGCAGCAGCGCCTGTCCGGAAGGCTTCTGGCCTCTGTCCATGTTCTGGCCGGGGTAGAAATAGGGACATGATTTCAAGTGAAGAGCGGACAGTTTTCTCAGGACAAACAGGTCTGGCTCTCGGCTTTTTGCTCATGGATCCCAGTTCTGTGGGGTGAGAAGGAAACGTGTTAGAGGAAGACACCGCAGAGGTGATGCAGGGAGGTCGGGGACAGGACCCATGCTCTGGGCTCCATCTTGGGGACGGCTGCTGTCCTGAGCCAGGGGCTCCTTCTGCCCGCTGGCAGGTTGGCAGCTCTAGAGGGGTGTGACTCCATCACGGAGCTCTTAGGGACTCTGCCTGTGTGGCCTTCCGAATGGAGTTTAAGAGTTGATTGTTAAAGTTCATGATTGCTCTGCTCTAATTGTCAAATCAGCTCGTATAACCTAAACAGCTGACGTTTGTCTTTCCCTTTACAAGAATCAAGATGCTGGGGGTCCCCTATTCATGTATGGGCAGGGTGGGACTGAGGGGAGGCATTGAGTGGCTGCTGCTCACCCCCAGGACTGTGGGGGACCCTGGGGTGCTGGGGTCAGGCTGGAGACGGGCTCACCTTTACAGCCTCTGAGCCCCATGCAGATCATAGTCACTGTCGGAGGAGTTGTCAGGCTGCATGGAGGAGCGATGCAGAGCCCCTTCCAGAGCTGGGGAAAGAAAGGACGCTGTTTGCAGAGGGTTTTTGACTCCACAGAGCCCCTTGGATCCTAGAGCCGCTGCCCACAGTGGGTTGGAAGATCACAGGGGCTTTATGAGCCGGTGACAACCCCTTATCTGTTTTGATCAAATCAGCCAAACGTTCACTAATGATGCTGAACTCCAGGCTCCCTGGGGCTTAATTGGTAGTGCCAGTCTGGGAGCCTTTAGTACAGCGCTCCTGCAGCCCACTTAATGGCTCTCTTCTAGCCCGGAGGAATCCAAGGGGCCTCATTTACCATCCAGGCCCCTCAAGGCCCTGAAGGGAAACAGGCCCATTAGGTCACAGCAAGGCTGGGGTTGATGGCTTTCTGAGTGCATTCTTCTCTCCAGATGAGTAGTTTGTGGTCTCAAACGGGACAGCTGGGGCCTGCAAAGGCTATATCCCTTCCGTACCCCTGCTGCATCCTGCGATGTTTGATCCCCTTGCACCCTGGGGTCTCCATTCTGTCTTTGGGCCATCACCCGACCTTCAAGGGCATCACGTGACCTGCCTTGGCGGCCTGCTGCAGCCCTGCCTGCGTGCCTGGGAGCACCCGCTGGTGCTTACCTGGATAAGCTGACAGGTGGGAGTTCCTGGGAGGTTGGCTGTATTCGTTATCCACGTGGGAGGCTGTGGGGTTCTCAGCATGGGATCGGACGGTTGCCGTGTGGTTGCGATGGAAAGACACTGGGCAGATGGTAGGAGACAGTGTCAGACTTGTGGCTGTGTCCTCCGTCTCCTTCCCCAGCAGGTGCCCAGAACTTTAATCTCCTATTCCCATGATGTTAGCGGGGAGAGGACAAAGGCACCCACAGCCCCTTCAATGCATCCCCCTCTCCTTTCTTCCTGGGAGGTTCATGCTAGCAGGATCAGCAGCAGACTTTTAGAGCAGGTTTGGGTAACCCAGCAATCTGACTGGCAGGGTGGGGCCTTCCGTGAGTCGGTCATCAAGCATTTACCAAGCAGGAGACTGGAGCACAGGTGACGGGACAGATCTGCTCCCTGCCCTCCAGGAGCTGAGGGCCTGTATGTTATTAAGAAAGTTTCCAGAGCCTTTCTTAATAACAAATTCAACAGAGCCCTCTTGAAGGATTTGGCTGTGGACTTGGGAAGGGGGAAGAAGGCAGAATGGGAGGCAGGAAGAGCGCCATGTCTCCATCCATTAGGGTGTCTCTGACTGTGGCTGGAAGGAGGGAGGATGAAGACCAGGGATGGTGTTGGGCTGGCTGCACCAAAATGTCCTAATACTGGCCCTGTAAGTTGTTCCATGATGAAAATAACTTGGACAGCCCTTCTTAATGGATCCTTGCTTTGGAGATGGGCAATACAAAAATGCCCATTAAGGTTCTGATAAGTCCTGAAATAGCTATGCTTAGCTGTGCCTAACTCATGGTTTTCCAGATCTGTTGATCAGGGAGGCCTCTTGTGAGTGCTGCCTGTTAACATCCACTGGCTACTGTGTTGGGGAATACTGCTGGAGGAGGTGAGGGCTGCTGGGGACCCTAGAGATGGGGCGAGGGACAGAAAGGATACCATGAGATGTTTCTACACTCTGAGGCTTCAGCGGTAGAAACCGCTCAGCCATCAGCCCATCAAGAAGCCTCCGCCCTCCCTGGTGTGGGGACGTCTGTTGGCCACAGTCACATGTCAGACAAGCACCGTGGAGATCAGAGGCTTCAAGCAGCCACAGGCTCCGTCTGTGGTCAGCAGAGAGCCTCGACTCTGCCTCCATGGCCTCTGTCCAGGGCCTGAGGGAGGCTCCTGCCTCCGGGGACACTTACTGTTTTGGTTCATTCCCGTTGGGCCAATCCACTGGCGCTGCTTCTTCTGGCGGACTGGGCAAGAGACAAGAAAGGCACATCAGAGTGGTGGGGGCAGGTATGGGTGGGGGCAGGCAGGGGTGGGGATGGGGCTGGGCCTGGGAGGGAGATGGTGGCGGCAGGTGCAGCTGAGGGCAGGGCTGCTGGGCTCTGCCCCCTGGAGTCTCTCGTAGGCCTCAGTTTCCTAACTTGCTCGGGAAGGGAATTGCAGCCATCCTGTGCCGAAGGAGCAGGCCGAGGATGGTGTAGAGGTGCCCGGCTCCCCAGGAGAAAAGACCACAGGCGTTTAGAACTAGACCTGGGCAGGCACTAGGACCTAACACTGTCCTGCTGGGCCCTCTGTTCCCAATCTCTCCCCTCTCACTTCTTTGTCTGAATAATTTCCTCTTAAGTTCTGCAAGGCAAGGAGAACAACCCCCCGCGTTCACAAGGTGTGCGATTGCCCATTTGGTAGATGAAGAAACTGAGGGTCAGAGAGAGGAAGTGTCCCAATCAGCATCTTGGGCAGTGGTAAGTGGTGGGGCTAGGCCTGGGATGTGTGTCTCCTACCATCAGAGGCTGTACTGAACACCCTCTGGGCCTGCCACAGCCTTGGGAATGGCCACACCTTCTCTCTGACCTGGAGTGGGTCTCAGCTGGGCTCCAGAGATGGACAAATCAGCAATTGCAATTTTGTTTACTTTGTGTTTCTGTTACTTGGGGCAGAAAATGGCTAATGGGCAGGAGAGGGGAAGGCTGGGTGGTGAAGCAGAGGTGTCCTGCGTGCCCAGCTCTCTGGAGGCATGACCCCTCCTCCGGAGGACTCTAGTGCAGCCCCTCCAGTCTCTGCACGTGGGAACGGAGCCACTCAGGGCCGTGACACCTACATTTCTTCACTAGCTTCTTGTAGGCAAGGGGGCCGCACACGACCAGCAGCACCACCAGGAGCACCAGGGCCAGGATGATGCTTGCCACCGTGCCTGCGGCCAGGCCTGCGGGGTTTGGATCCTGGCCTGGGGAAGGAGGAAGAGTTAGGTCAGTCCCAGTCCTGGGGGGAGAAAAACTGTGGGAGGGAAGCTGCTGGCTGCCTGGCTTCCGCCGTCATCCTTGCTCATCTGAGAAATTCACCAGCATGCACGGAAGGCAATGATCTATTTGGCTATCCCTCCATCTATCTCTAGGATTCCCTGCTACCCACTCACCCACCCACCATTTGTCATCTAACAGTTGATCATCTAGCTATCATTTGCCACACTTGTTATAAGCTATTTAATTTTCTACCATTTGCCAGTTATTAGTGATCACCTTGCCATCATATACCATCAGAAACCAATATATGATTGCATACCAATAGCCAGCGGGGCCTCTATTCTTGATCCATCCATCCATCTGTCCATCCGCCCTTCTGTCCATCCATCCATCCATCCATCCACTCACCCATCCATCAGTCCACTCATCCATCCATCCATCCAACCATCCATCCATCCACCCACCCACTGATCCATCCATCCATCCATCCATCCATCCATCCATCCATCCATCCATCATCCATCCACCCACCCACCGATCCATCCATCCATCCATCCATCCATCCATCCATCCATCCACCCACCCACCCACCCACCCACCAATCCATCCATCCATCCATCCATCCATTTCTCTCTTTTACTTCCCGTTTAGTTACCATTCATGTAGCAAATATGTGCTATCTACCATTTGATTTTCTGGCTTCCACCTTGCAAAAGTAGAAGGTAGAAGGAGAAGTTCTATGACTCATCAGCTGCCTGACAGTGATCTGCCTGTTGCTTGCCCTGTCTCCTATTATTGTTCATGCCCATTGCTGTCTGAGTACTCTTGCTCCCTAGCCTTCCAATTTCCCTGTCTCCATCCTTTCTGGGTCTCTGGGACTCTCTGTCTAGCTCCCCAGGGCTTCCCTTTAGAGACATGCACCCTGACCGGGTCCTAGAGGTAAAGTAGTAACTGCTTCCACCCACTGTGGGCTGTGGCCAACTCACATGTGACAAACACCTTCTTGCAGTAGGAATTTCTCTCCCAAAGTTCGTGGCACTGGGACAGCTTCTGATGGGGACAGAAGAGCCCCCGGGATGTTGGGTCACCAGCGTCCAGCACTCGATAGGAGTTGACGCTGCCACACTGCTGCTCCCGGCACACCTCCTCCCACCGCAGCGAGCTCCTGGCTGAAGAGCTGTCACACAGGGCTGCCCACTGAGCCCCCTGGCGCACCTCCACGGTGCCTTCACAGATGCTGCTGCCCCCCACCAGACGGCTCTGCACCTTGGGCTGGAAACCTGAGAGGGGAAGCAATGGGAAAGGAGGGTGCAAGTGTGAACCTGAGCCTGTGTGCTGCTTCCTGGGGCCCCATGCCACTGGCAAATCGGGGCCCTGGCTAGGGGAAGGCACTGTGTGGGACCACCAGGAGAGGCAGCCTTCTTTTCTGCCCTTCCCTCCTTCTGGCACCCTCTGTGGCTCTTCCCCTGACCCAGCACTGTCTCTGGTGCCTCTGGGCAGCTGCCAGCACCATCCTGAGACACAGCAGCATAGGCGCTTTCTGCAGGGAGGCTGTTGGCAGCCACCAGCAGGGAGTCGGCTCCATGCCAGGTGGAGATAAGAGAAGAGCGTGGGAAATAGGCTCCACCTAGGTCCACTTCTCACTTGGAAACATCTTGTCATTATCCCGCTGCACTTTGGGAAGAAGGAGGACTTTTCAGAAGAGGGAAACTGAGGCCTGGGGGTTGGAAAGACCTACTGCCCTGAGTCCTGGCAGTTCACAGTTGGGACAGATCGTGCTGCCCAGGCACTGAACGCTGAGGGCCAGGCTTTCAGCAAGTGGGGCCTGGCTCAACAGAGGCACACATTTATTTCTGCCTGCCAGGGTGGGGCCTGGGAGTCTGTAGCTGAGGCCCACACATGCTCAGTTTAGAGAGAGTTGTGATCTCACCAGCTTTGCCCAGTTCCCATAGCAACATCCACCTTCAAAGCCCTAGTAAATCTATTTAGAAGAAGCTTCAAAGGCAAGAACCCTGGGTATGGTTTTACAGGTTGTAGCCTGCAGGAAGGATAGTAGCTGAGGGGCCGGTGGGACTGCGAGCCAGCCCCTGCTCTCCTCATCAGGCCAAGAGCCCCTTGGGAGCTGCTTCTGCTGGGGGAGGGGCAGCATTTTACTAATTTACACCAGGTACCCAGCGTGCTTGCAGGACAGCCAGGTGGCCCCGAGCAGTGATTCCTAGATTTGTGCACATAAATCACTGAGGACCTTGCTGAAAAGTGGATTCTGATTCGGAAGGTCCAGGCTGGGGCCTGAGCACCTGCATTTCTAACCAGCTGCTGCTGTTCCAGGACCACACTGAGTCACCAAGGCTCAGATAACAGGCTCTAGAGTGACCCTGCTTGAACAGAAATCCCAGCAAGTGCTCCATAGTACTGGGCGAGAGGTTTAGCCTCTCTAAACCTCAGCCTCCTCACTGTAAAAAGGGATGATAATAATAACACCCACCTCCTAAGGCCATGTGAAAAATTTAGAATGTCCAGGAATGGTCCCTGCATGAAGTAAGCTCTCGGTAAGTACAGTGTGGACTTCACTGAGAACACTTCCGGCCATGGGAACCCACTACTTCCGGAGGGAGGCGTACTGCGAAGTTTCTCCGTTTCTCCCTTCGTTTCAGCTGTGGTTTCTTCCCTTTAGTTTTCTTCATTGATCCTGGTTTGGCCCACCGGGGTCTCACAGACTCAGTCTCACCTGCCTCCTCCCCTCAACCACACAGCGGCATCATTCTCTTTACCTTGTCAGCACACGGCGCAGGACCCTCTGCAGAGCCCTCTTGGGGGCTGTCTCTGTTTCTCTCTTTGCCTGCTGTCCTCTGACTCCCGGGCCTCAGGGACCTCCCACCTCTCACCATTGCTGCAATGCCAACTCTTGGGATTTACAAATGCCCTTCCTGCAAGGCCCACCCCTCCAAGTGCCCCATCTTTGGCACAAGCCATAATTCCTACCTAGACATTTTTTTTTCTCCCCCAGACCCACGAAGAGACCTTGCCTCCTCCTGGAAGTCCTGCCGACTCCCCTTCCCCATGTGGCAGCTGAGCCAGCGGTTCCTTTGGGCTTGGGGTGTGTAGCTTTGCAGAGATTACCAAGGCATTGAGTGTGGATGCATCCTCCCCACCCCAACCCTTGTTACCTCTTAGAGGCCAAGACCAGGCCTCCACTTCCCTTGTATTCTCCATAGTGCCCTGTGCTGCACACATGTTCCCTGACCTTCTGGGATGCTCTGTGACCCCACCTAGGGCAGCAGAAGGTGTCATGGGGCTTGGCCAGGTCTCACTTACCTGAGCAAAGGAGGGCAAGAACTCGGCCACTTTTCTGGGGCTTGATTTTCCTGAAGCAATGCTCCAGGGAGGTACAGCTTGAGTTCTGGATCTTCCATTGGATTGGCAAGGGCTGGTGTTCCCGTGGCTCCCCTGGGTCTTGGGCTCTGCCTGCCTCAGTCTCTGGCAGATGCTTCAAGAAGGAGCCACACTGGAGGTTGTTGCAGAGGAAGTTCTCCAGGTCCTGGGTCTTGTCCTGGGCCTCATAGCTGATGGTACCCCCCAGGCTGCCGCTGTAGAACTCCACCACGCCGGCACAGTGCTGGCCGCCAGACTGTGCCACCAGCTGCAGCCTGGGAGGAGCTAGGAGAGGAGAGAGCAGGAGGGGGAGCCACCCTGAGCGCCGAGGGCTTCCTGGGCACTCCTTGCTGTTTGGCCCCAACTTGTGGACAACTACTGACTAACGCTTAGCCTTGGGAGGTGATGGGGTCCCAAATATTGCGTAGAACACACCAATACTAAACATTTCCACCTTTGTCAGAAATTCCAATGTAACTGGGCATCCTGGGTTTTTATTTGCTAGCTCTGACTCCCTGTGGGGGGTTCAGAATCCTCTTACCTGTGGGCTCTGGAGTTGTGGTGGGCGGGGGCCTTGTCGTTGGAGGTGTTGTCTTCTGGGGTTCTGCAATGAGACACTCTGGTGAGGGAGGAATGGGTGGTGTGGGGAGGGCCGGGGGCAGCCAGCAGCCTTGAGAGGACCAGGAGCTCCTGGCATGAGTGCCGCTTGGCACACCAGGTCCACTTGACCCACACGTTGTCTCTAAGCCTCCTGCGAGGCGGGAAGTACCACCCCACTTCACAGATGGGAGAATGGAGGTTCAGAGGCGACGATGAAGTCAGTGATTGGCAGAACTAGGTCCTCCATTGCCATCCTACAGATGGGTGCTGGCCCCTTCCAGTCCCCCTCCTGGGTATGTGTCTTGGGGAGTGGTTATAAACTGGGGTCCCCCCACCCCTTCCACCAGCCTGCTCAGACCCTAGATCACAGGCCTCGGGCAGTCTCCTCGGGGCTGGCGCCCAGGCCCAGGGTGCCCGTGTGGCTGGCTAGTTACCCACCTAAGCAGGTCAGGCCCAGAGAGTGACACATGTCATTTCTGCTGTGGCTGCAGTTGGAGAAGGAGCCCAGTTGTCCGTAGCAGATGATTGAGCTCTGAGGTGTGTAGGTGACAAGGAAGGGGCCAAGGCTTAAGGGCACCCCACAGTTCAGCCGCTGGCAGACTTTTGACGCTTGACTGGGGTCCTCCCACTGCTTGGAGCTCCGGCCCCAGCTCTGGCTGCAAACCATGTGCCATCCGTCCTTGAGGTAGACCTCCAGCTGGCCCTGGCACTTCGAGTTGGAACGGGTGAGCCTTGCCTGGAAATCTGGGGGTCAGAAAGGTGTGGTGGGGGTCAGGCTGGGAGGGGTTCCCCACTGGCACCCCTCACTGCCCTCTCCCTAGGACGCCCAGTTGAGCTCCCTCCTGCCCCGTGGGCTGCCTGCCTTGCCCCTTGTGAGCTTCGTCCCTTCTGGGGCACTGCAGGGGCTTCCCAGAGGACCCTGACCCAGGCAGCCCCGAAGCTAGACCCAGGAGGGTGGGGCTCCAGATTTCAGAGTCAGAAGGGAGCTCAGATAAATGGGCAAGGTGTTCTCGGCACCCACTGTCCAGCAGGATGGCCCCTGTCCTGGAAATTCTGTCTCAAGGGGTCTGAGATTGGGGCTGGTGTCTGCTTTTTAAGAGATCTTTAAAAATTAATTTTAGGCCAGGTGTGGTGGCTCATGCCTGTAATCCCAGCACTTTGGGAAGCTGAGGCGGGCAGATCACCTGAGGTCAGGAGTTTGAGACCAGCCTGGCCAACATGGTGAAACCCCATCTCTACTAAAAAAAGAAAAAATACCAAAAATTAGCTGGGTGTGGTGGCAGGCGCCTGTAATCCTAGCTACTCGGGAGGCTGAGGCAGGAGAATTGCTTGAACCCGGGAGGCAGAGGTTGCAGTGAGCCAAGATCGCGCCACTGCACTCCAGCCTGGGTAACAGATCAAGATTCCATCTCAAAAAAAAAAAATTTTATTGAGGTAATTTTACATACAGTGAAATGCACTCATTTTAAGGATACTGTTCGATGGAATTTGACAAATGTATACATGCATGTAACCACCACCATAATCTAGATATGGAACATTTCCATCATCTAGAAAGTTCCCTAAGGCCCCTTTATAGTTAATTTCCCTGAATCTAGCCTCAGGCAAACACTGATCTGCTTTTTGTCACAAAAGATGAGTTTTGCCTGTGCTACAATGTCATAGACATGGACTCATACAGCATGGATTTTATTTTGTTTGATTTGGCTTTTTTCGCTTAGCATGTATTTGAGATTTAGCTATGTCACTGGACGCATAAGTAGTTCATTCCTTTTTATTGCCGAATGATAGTTCACTACACGGACATGCCAATTTGTTTTCCATTCACCATTTGATTTGTTTCCGGGTTTTGCCTACTATGAATAAGGCTGCTGTGAACATTCACATACAGGTCTTTGTGTGGGCGTTTCCATTTCTCTTGGGTAAATACCTAGGAATGGAATTGCTGGGTCATGGGTAGACATGTGTCTTGTGTGATTTTATCAAACTCCATGAGGGGAAAAATATATGTGTGTGTGTGGTGTGTGTGTCTGTGTGGTGTAGTGTGTGTGGTGTGTGTGATGTGTGTGTGGTGGTGTGTGTGTTGTGTGTGTTGTATGTGTGTGTGGTGTGTGTAGTGTGCAGGTGGTGTGTGTGTGTGGTGGTGCGTGGTGTGTGTGGTGTGTGTGTGGTGTATGTGGTGTGTGTGTGGTGTGTATAGTGTGCATGTGGTGTGTGTGGTGTGTATGTGGTGTGTGTAGTGTGTGTGTGTGGTGTGTGTGGTGTGTGTGGGGTGTGTGTGGTGTGTGTGGTGTGTGTGTGGTATGTGTGTGGTGTGTGGTGTGTAGTGTGCATGTGGTGTGTGTGGTGTGTGTGTGGTGTGTGTGGTGTGTGTGTGTGGTGTGGGGTGTGTGTGTGGTGGTGTGTGTGTGTGGTGTGGTGGTGTGTGTGGGGTGTGTATGTGGTGTGCGGTGTGTGTGTGGTGTTTGTGGTGGTGTGTGTGTGTGGTGTGGTTGTGTGTATGTGTGGTGTGTGTGTGGGGTCTGTGTGGGGTGTGTGTGTGTGTATTTGCATAAAGAGCTCCTTGAAGAATATGCAAGAAACAAATAAACGTAGTCATTACCTGGGGTGTTGGGGTCGACGTCGGGGGCGACTGGGATAGACGGGAATAGAGATGGAAGTGAGACTCTTCACTACAGATCTTTTTATATTTTTTTAAATTTTTGAGCTGGATGAATGTGTCACTGATTCAAGAAATTTTTAGAAATGTGAAAGGCTCTCCCAGGTGATTCTGAGGGGGAGGTTTTCCCTGGTCGGGAACCACGGGTCAGGCTACCCTTTTCTTCCGACGAGGACACTCTGGGGCCAAAGCTCAGGGCCAGGGCTCGCCAAGGGCACTTGGCTGGTTAGAGGGAGAACGAGCGCGTCTCAACACCTAACATTGGTGGGGTGATTTGCAGGCTGTCCGCCCAGCGAGCTGGCTCGTTGCCGCTTCACCAGGCAAGAGATTTTCTTCCCATTTCACAGCTGGGGAAACGGGCTCAAGAGGTCAAGCAGTGTGCCAAAGCTTGGAGCTAGGATGTCAGTGCAGGGCCCAGATCGTGCTTAGGGCCTGCCAAGGCCCCTGTCACCCCCTCTGGCTGCACAGTGGCATCTCAAGACCCTTCAGCCACAATTCTCCCCAGGTACATTCAGCACGATGTTATCCCAGTCAATGTGAAGGAGAGGTCTGTGGTGAAATAAGGGTGCAAAGTGCTGGGTTAAAAAGTGTCATGTATTTCTTCGCTGCAGGATTTCTCAGATCCTTTACTGGGCCGGTGTACACTGTCAGTCTTCAGTGGGAGATGCGGTGTTGCCTGCCCTTTGTCCAACATGCTCCATGGAACCCTATTTGGGAAACAGCCTCTACGACTAAACTCCAACGTCTAAGGCTGGACGTTCCACACACTTTACCATCAGTCTGCGGCCTCTCTCTGCAGACTCCGCTCTAAACATCTTTGACCATGGAGCATCTGTCAGGATTGGGTGGGAAATAAGACTTTGCAAGGTACATTTATGAGCTGGGATGTCTTCTGTGCATGGTGAGCGGGTCATAATAATTATCATGAGATCTGGCATTTGTGGGTGATTTACGGCTGTCGAGGGCACCCACCTGCATGTGAGCATCTTAATGTGCAGTGTCTGCATCTATGTGCCTGTGTGTATGCTGGGGTTCACTCTCTCTATAGGGTGGGGTTCACTCTGGCAGAAGTGATGGCTTCATCGAGAGGTCCCCGATGGCCTGATGAAACCACAGCCCCACTCTCCCCCTGCCCCAGGCCTTTCTCCATGTGGCTCTTCCTTACCTGGGTCATACCAGCTGAGCCGTCCGAGGCAGGAAGCGACTGCAGAAAGAAGAGAGGAGGGTCAGGAAGTGAAACCTCCCACTCTCTCCCTTCTCCCCAGCTCACCCACCCACAGCCCGAGCAATGGCCCTTTCTGCCTCCCCCTATCCACTATCATGGGTTTTAGGGACAGGAATTTTCATACTCCAGGTTGGAACCCCTGAGTGATATGAATTCTATCTAGTGGGCTGCAACTATCGATTTTTTTTCTTCTTAAAAAACGTTACTTTTAAAATGAACAGACGTGAAATTGATTTTTCTTTACTGCATGATTCCGTGAATGTCACATATATAGATGTGTGTGACCACCATCACAATCAAGGTATACACCAGTTCCATTACTCCCTACCTCAAATTCCCTCATGCTAACCTTTGTAATAATGTAACCATCAATTATTATTATTATTACTTTTTGAGACAGGATATCACTCTCCTCACCCAGGCTGGAGTGCAGTGGCATGATCACAGCTCACTGCAGCCTCAACCTCCCTGGCTCAAAGAATCCTCCCACCTCAGCCTCTTGAGTAGCTAGGATTACAGGCATGAGCCACTATGCCTGGCTAATTTTTTTACTATGTATGTGTGTATGTATGTATGTATGCATGTATGTGTGTGTGTATGTAGAGATGGGGTCTCACTATGTTGTCCAGGCTGGTTTTGAACTCCTGGGCTCAAGTGATCCTCGTGCATCAGCTTCCTGAAGTGCTGGGATTCACATGTGTGAGCCACAGCACTCAGGCCATCAATTTTTTTAAAAATGAAATGGAGTAGAATAGAGAGGCCGTGCACGGTGGCTTATGACTGCAATCCCAGCACTTAAGGGGGCCAAGGTGGGAGGACCGCTTGAGCCCAGAAGTTGGACCCTGCAGTGAGCTATGATTATGCCACAGCACTCTAGCTGGGTGACAGAGTAAGACCCTGTTTTTTTTTGTTTGTTTTGTTTTAAATAAATAAAAAAGAGAATGTCAGAATGCACTGATCACTTTTTGTGTGTTGGGGGTTGCAATGTAAAAATGTCCCGCATGTTTCCACTCAAAAAAGTTTGAGCTCCTTAGTTCTAGAGAATGGAGAAATGATCCAGAAAGGGGCCGGGCACGGTGGCCCATGCCTATAATCCAAGCACTTTGGGAGGCCGAGGTGGGGGGATCACTTGAGGTCAGGAGTTTGAGACTGGCCTAGCCAATATGGTGAAACCCTGTCTCTACTAAAAATAACAAAAATTAGCTCGGCGTGGTGATGCATGCCTGTAATCCCAGCTCCTCTGGAGGCTGAGGCAGGAGAATTGCTTGAACCTGGGAGGTGGAGGCTGCAGTGAGCTGAGATTGCACCACTATACTCCAGACTGGGTGAGAGAGTGAGATTCTGTCTTTACAAGAAAAAAAAAAGGAAAGAAAGAAATGAGCAAGAAAGGGAACCAAGAGAACATTTGCTACTTTCTAGCATTCCCAAGGCAGGATAAGAATGACAGCCACTTATCTTTAACAGCTGCCCATTTCTGGAGAAGACCAAGCTCAAAGAGATGGCGTGACCTGCCCACAGTAGTGTAGCCAGCTAGTTGACAAGGGAGCCAAGGCGACAGGCCCAGGGAACACGGGTCTGCAGGGAACCAGCCTTCCCCCATGTGGACCACGTGGAAGCTCTGCCTCCTTGTAGCCTGGTCTCACTGTGGAGTGGGGGCAAAGTTGCCCATTGCGGGGCTCTCAGCAGAGCAGCTCATCTGTGGCTGGGGAAGAGGTTTAATTTGGGTGGGGACGAGGTGAAGTAGCAAGCTCACGTGGCTTCAAAGCTTAACCTCTGTATTCACCACCTAGCGTGATCAGTTAGGTGCAAGTACGGTATTTTGATTTCCATCTGTCCGACTTGGGTTTACTCTTGGATTTACGGCACTGGGTCAAGGAGACTGCTTTATATATTAATAGTGAAAGGCTGTGTTCAAATTGTTTGTGAGAAATTTTTGCTTGGTGTTAAAAAATAGGTGTGTTTAGCTGGGCCAATGGCTCAAGGCCGTAGTCCCAGCTACTCAGCAGGCTGAGGCAGGAAGATCACTTGAGCCAAGGAGTTCGAGTCCAGCCTGGACAACATAGCAAGACCCCGTCTCTTAAAAAATAGGTGTGCTTTGAAAAAGCTGTTCTTGCTTGAGTGTTCTCAAGCTGGCGGTTGAATTTTAAGGGGTGATGTGCTCCACAGTTCATCCTTGTCCCCGAATCAAGACTCTTTGTAATGAAGTCATCATGGCCATGTGATAAGTTTCCCCTGAATCTGCAAGATCCTTTCGTGGCTGTTGCTCTAGGAGTCACGGGCCTTGGAAGGGGAAGGTTATTCTCACCAACAGGGAAGTGTACAGAGCTCTGGCCTGGGTGGAAAAGGATGGTCTAGTTGTCAATCGTCTGATCAATTTTTTCTTTTTTTTTTGAAACAGAGTCTTCCTCTCTTGCCCAGTCTGGAATGCAGTGGCATGATCTTGGCTCACTATAACCACTGCCTCCCTGGTTCAAGCAATTCTCCTGCCTCAACCTCCCGAGTAGCTGGGACTACAGACATGCACCACCACGCCCGACTAATTTTTGTACTTTTAGTAGAGATGAGGTTTCACCATGTTGGCCAGGCTGGTCTTGAACTCCTGACCTCAGGTGATCCACCCCCCTCAGCCTCCCAAAGTGCTGGGATTACAAGCATGAGCCACCGCGCCCAGCCAATCATCTGATCTATTGCAGTGGGCAGGGCAGCCTCAGGAGGCCATCAGGGAGATGTCCAGCTAGCGAGAGAAATCAGGAAGGAGGCCCTTTTGTCCTGCCCTCACCTCTCACTCCTGACCTCTCATTCCCACCTCCCTCTCATCCCAGCTGCCCATCAGGAGCAGGGCAGTCTGCCTTGAAGGAGTCATCCCTCTGGCTAAGTCTCGAGGGCTAAGGCAGCTTGAAGTGCCACCTGTGGGGAGTGGGAGTCCAAATATCTGCCCTTCAGTGCTACACAGCTCAGGATGGGTTTTCAGTCACCGATGACTTTCTACTGCTCCAGTTCTGAGTATCAGCTCTGCCACTTCCTGCCTATAGAGTCTGGGGAGCACGTCTGTCCTGTCTCTGTGCCTCCAAGCCACGATTTCCTCACTCATAGCATGAGGATGAGCATGGGACTAGCTTTCTAGAGCCGTTGTGAAGATGAGATGAGCTAATCGGTGTAAAGGGCTTAGCCCAGTGCTTCCTGGCCTAGTGCTCAGAGCTGGTGCTACTGATCTGTGGAGTAGGGTGGGCTGGGGGAAGCTGTGCCCAGGGCAGCAGACCCTCGGGGAGCTTTCCCAGTGGGAAGATTCCCTGTCCAGGAGCACAGAGAGCCAAGCCATGGGGCTCACCACTTCCTTCTCCTAACTTGGAAACTTCGCGCAGATGGTCCAGACTTAGGGTGGTTCAACTTACGACTTTTCAAGTTTGCAATGGGTTTGTCGGGGTATTAAATGAATTTTTGACTTAGGATGTTTTCAGCTTACAATGGGTTTATTGAGAGGCAACCCCACTGTAGGTCAAGGAGCATCTCTATTTCCCGAGTCATCATACTCAACGTTCATTATTAACAGCAGCTGCCAACTGTTGAGCACCTGCTGCATACTTAGCCCACGGTATGGTTCATCACAGATATTGTTGTTAATCTTCCACACAGCCCCATCACGAGAGTTGAGTACGTTCCTGGTATAAATGTCAGGAGAGGGCAAATGCCCTGTCCCGGGTAATATGGCTGGCAGGTGGAGTCGAACCATGTGTCTGACTCCAAAACCCATGCTCTCTGCTCCCAGCCACCCAATTGCTCCTCCAGAGTGCCAGCTTTGGAGATGCAGAGATGAACACCACCTGGGTCTGACCTGGAAGCGCTCGTGCAGCCAGACCCTGAAGGCCTGGGGACAGGGACTGGGCCTGACAATCTTGGCAGATTCCACACAGAACAGCCTAGGTCTTGCTCAGAGAACATTCTCAGGAAAGACTGAACAAGCTGGAGAACCAAGTGAAATTCTTTAAAAAATGCTCTAACAAATGCTTTAATAAAAAAGATATTTATGCATTCTAGAGTGTCGCCCTGGAACCTTCCTCTGGGTGCCTGTCTGGTCCCCAGATGAGCAGCAGTTCCTCTCCTCTCCTTCCATCTCTATCACCGTCACCATCATCATCACCATCACCGTCACCATCATCATCACCATCACTGTCACCATCACCAACACTTTAAAAGTTTTCACTCTTCCGGGCCTTTTACACATTAACTCTCCCAGTCCTCACCACAGTGCTATGAAGTAGGTGCTATTATTTTGGTCCCGATTTTACAGACCAGGAAACTTGAGAGGGGTTAAATGACTTGTCCAAGCAGCTAATGAGTGCTGGGGCCCGAACTCAAACCTAGCCGCCTGGCACTGAGTCTTGAGCTTTTGCCAGTGAGGCCCAAACTGCCTCCCTTCCCTCCAGCAGGAAGCCCATGATGGCCTGCCCCAGGTTTCATTGATTCCTGCACCACCCTGGTGTGCAATCCTGATCAAAGGGAATGAACTTGTGATTCCGTTCAGTCAGTAAAACATGCAGTGAGAAGACTTAGCTATGAAGTGCTGTGTGACCTTGGCAAGCCACTCAGCCTCTCTGGGCTCAGTTTCTTAATCTGTAAAGTAAGGAAGTTAGATTCCACAGTCCCTCACCTTCCCCCTGGTTCAAACACCTGTGATCTATAATCTTTAGCTCCTGATGGATTTCAGCAGCTGGTGGAGGGAGGGCGGTGAGATGTACAGCTGACTTGGAAGCTTCCTGAGTGTGTTGTGTATATTCTTTCAGCCTGTCCATGAATATGTTCAGGTTTTTTTTTTATTTGCTTGTTTGTTTTTCACTTATAATCTAGGGAGCAGAATGAACATTGAGGTTTTGAGGGTCCATAACCTATTTCTATTTTTTAGTTGCTTCTCACAGGGGTCAGACCAGCACCCTCCATCCCCTGAGCCCTGCGGTCTGTGTTCAGGGTCTCCCTGACCCCCTCTGGGGGCTCTACAGCTTACTCCTGCACCATCCTTCCTAGCCTCATGAAGCCTGAGGCTCCTGCTATTGCCAAAACTGTGGACAGAATCCCCGAGACTCCAGACCAGGAGGCCCCCGAGGCCTGGAAGTGCTATGCCGTTTCCTTATCCGCCAGCCACCCCTCACCCCGAGCAACTGGGGCTACGGATGAGAATTCTCTGAAGACCCCTTCCTTCTCCTGCCCACCTCCCCTTGCAGCTCCCACAATTTAGGGCCTGGACTGGGCAAACCCAGGCAAAATTCAGGGCTAAAGAAGTCAGACGGCTTATCACACCCCTGGAGCTCCCGTCTCTTGTCTTTGCATTGGCAGAGACAATATTTTTGGCCCTGCCTGCCCTGAGGTCTTGGTGAGGATATCCTCCTCCCTGTCCCTCTCATTCCTCTTGCCCCCACAGTATTCAGGATAATTCTCACTTTGGCTCTCATTACGGCATCCCATGAGTTTTATTTGCTCTGCACAGTGTTTAAAAATTTTTTGAGCCAAATTAAAAAAAAAAAGGTTTCTTTTAATTTTGTTTTGCTTTTTAAACACATTTCAAGATCCAGGCGTTTTTGAAAAATAGGACATCCTGGCTCCACTGGCTGCATCTCTGGAGGCCCCAGGCAGTGGCGGTGGCCCTTGACTTCTGTTTCGTCCACGCCTCGCTGGCACCTTACGGTCGCCATGTGTGTGGAGAGACCTGGCTTCAAACACATGGCAGTGTCTGCAGCGAAACATATGCAGTTTCACACTAAGGGGGATGTGTCAAGATTATAAATAGCCTCCCATTCGTTCAGGTCAGGATTTGCACCAAATGCATTTGCCAGAAACTTACAAATGTTTTTTGGGCTTTGGAATTACAGATGAATATTTGTTGACTTGCATGATGGGTCCCAGTTTACAGAGGAGGAGGCTGTCGTGGTGCATGGGAGTGAGAACTCGGCAGGGCCAGAATTCAGCCCAGGGCGGCTGGCTTTGTAACCTGCACTCCTGGCCCCTGCCTCTGGCTCACTCCTAGGTCCTGCCGCCCCTGCACCCTGGGAAATGGAGGCAAGGGTGTGGCCTGCTTAGGGTTTGGCAGGCACCCGGATTCACAGGCCTGTGATAATGACCGATGATAATAAAATGACAGCATCCTTACCCTGTGCAGACCCCAGGACAAGGATTTTTCACAGAAGACCCCATTTCTTTCTAGAGCCTCAGAAGACGGGGTGCTATCACCACTTTGTTCCACAGATAAAACACCTATGACTGATTTAGTGTAGTTTGCAAGTCAGGTGTTCCCTTTTTCCCGTAAACAGTGATTCCTTCTAACAGTCCACAGACCTCCCCATAGCTACAGCCATCGATGTCCATGAAATACAATAGATCTGCCTGTGTTTTGGGTAGGATTCTGGATTTTCCTTCCTCGAATCCTATATGTTGGCTGACTTGAAAGGTCAGAAGCCCCTCTTTTCTGAAACGACAGTCATCTGTAGAGTTGGAGCTGTATCAGGGCTTTAGGGAAACGAAGGTCGTAAAGGACCAAAATTCCCTTTCTTGGGTTGAGCACAGATGAAATGATTGGTTTATGATTAGGCGGCTTTTATGTGCAAAACACATATAGAGTCACACTGGGCTTACACCAGGAGAGGCCTGGGAATGGAGCCCGCAGGAAGGAACAGCAGATTCAGGTCTCTAATCTGGCTCACCCAGGGCCTGTCCCAGTGAGCGGACAGTGGGTCGTGGGCAGAATGACCTTTGCTGTTTGAATTGTTATTTCTCTCTCCCACTAGTAGTCTGCTGTTGCATGAGTTTCGCACCATATACGGTGTCTCTGCTGTCACAGAGACAAGGCTTTGGTTTTGTTTAGAGCTTTACCTACCCCAAAGCTCTCTCATGCACTAGACTTGTTCTTTCTACCCACAGCCCTGTGAAGAAGGGACCATGCTCACCTCCATTTTCAGATCAGGAAACCGAGGTTCAGAGAGGCTGAGTGACTTGCCCAAGGTCACACAGCTAGCTGGTGGTAGAGTCAGGAGAGAAACCCTGTCTCCATCACCTGACAGGGCCTGTGGGAGTCTACCCCAGGGAGGCCCCAGAGCCTGCTTGCTCTGGAGTACAGATGGGGGAAACTGGGGCCAGAAGGAGGGAGGGGTTCATTCCAGATGTCTCTGTGGGAATCTGTGGCAGTGCATGGGACCCTTGTCGTCTCTGCAGACTGCCACCACCCATTTCCTACGCTATTCCTACCGTATCTGTCCCCCGGAGAGGAGTATTAGGGTCCCTCTGGACACCATGAAAGTCAGGCCTTGAAAGGTACATGATGGTGATGATGATGCTGGTCACGGTGATAGTGGTAGCTATAGAAGAAGTGATCCAGGCCCACAGTCTCTTATCTGCAATTCAAAATCCAGAATCTAAAAGTCTTGTTCTAATGCATTTGGTGGGAGGGTGTTTGCTGTCTTTACATCCCTCTAAGTGTGCAAATTCATGTTTCACTGCAGAAATGGGAATGTGTTGAACGCAGGGTGCTGCCCCAGGCCTCACTGCGTGTGTTAAGAGCACACAGTATGTACACAGTATTTCCTTCTACAATCTGAAAGCTTCTGGAGTTCCAAATGCATCTGGCCTGGGGTTCAAGATGCACTTGAGGACCTGGAGAGGTGAGAGTTATGCTCACCTCTCTGCTCCTGTGTGGCTGTCCAGTGCATGGGAGAAAAAGCCCAAGTCCTCACGGGGGCATCCGTGGCCCTCGTGGCTGCCTCATCGATCCCCCACTGACCTGCAGCTGGAGGCCCCTCTGCCTGCAACGCTTCTCCTCAGGTCCCACACGGTGGGCTCACTCCCTTCTTTCAAATATTGACTCAAATATCATCTTCTCATGAGAGCCGCTGAATCCTCCCCAGGTACCTCACACCCCACCAAGGCTTCCGGTCCCAGCCCTCCTCTATCTGTCTGTCTCCACACCTCTCATGACCGTCTAGTATTCGCATAATCACTAGCTTAGCTTGTGTCTTGTTTGTCTCCCCATCACACCCTGACTATTATGCCAGATCCACCAGGGCAGGGATTTTCCACCGTTTTGTTCACTGCTGTGTCCTCAGCACTTAGAACAGCATCTGGCACATAGTAGGTGTTCAATCCATACCTAGTCTCTGAATAAACCCGATGTAATTATTGCAGTGATCTTTTGAGGTGGACACAGCAAGGAACCCCTATTTTTATAGATGAGACCCTGAGAGATGTTCACTTGTGGGTGGCCAAGCAGAAATCAAACTAGGTCTGCATTGCTCCAAAGCTCCCCTCCACAGGGCTGTGCACATATGTGTTCATACGCAAACACAGCACATGGACACACACACACACAGTAGATGTTCAATTTCACACACACACACAGAATAGATGTTCAATCAATTTTGTCAGGTTGAGCTGAATTCGCCGCCTGGTCACTGCAGGGAAAACCCCTCTGAACTGATGGTGACAGAGTGACCCAGGAAGGCCAGGTCCCTTCCTGGGCCCCCAGGTCCCTTCATTCCCTGCTGGAGGTGGGGAGCTCTGGGTCTTCGAGGAGGATGATCCAACCAGGGCCTCGCCCAGCCTGGGACAGTGGGCCTGCTGCCCTGCTCCCAGTAGGAGCCCCACCCTCTCAGGCCTGTCCTTCCCCCTTGCCTTTGCCCTGCCATCCGCTCTGCCTGGGACCCTCTTCCCTTTTTTCTCTGCCTGGCTGGCTCCGTCCCTCATTCAGGTCTCGGATTCTCAGATGAGACCTCGCCTCCTTAGAGAGGCCCTCCCTGCCTGCCCAGCCAAAGGGATGTCCTCCTATCCTAGTGCAGACTGTATTGTGCCTGAGGAACTTGCTGTTCTCCTCATTGCACTCAGTATTTCAAAATGTGTAAATATTTCGGGTGCCTTTTTTTTTTTTTTTTTTTTGAGATGGAGTCTTGCTCTGTTGCCCAGGCTGGAGTGCAATGGCGCGATCTCGGCTCACCGCAACCTCCGCCTCCCAGGTTCAAGCGGTTCTCCTGCCTCAGCCTCCTGAGTAGCTGGCATTACAGGTGCGTGCCACCACTCCCGGCTAATTTTTGTATTTTTAGTAGAGATGAGGTTTCACCATGTTGGCCAGGCTGGTCTTGAACTTCTGACCTCAGGTGATCCACCCGTCTTGGCCTCCCGAAGTGCTGGGATTACAGGCATGAGCCACCATGCCCGGTCTTTGGTGCTTGTTTACTTGTGTTCTCTAACAGCTCTCCTGTTAGCTGATCAAATCCTTGAGGGCAGGGACTCCTGCCTTGGTCCCTGTATCCCCAGTGTTTTGCACAGAGCTGGATGCACAGGAGATGCTCAATAATATTTGTAGATGAAAAATGAATGAATTAGTGAATAAATAGCCTGTGCAAGAGGATTGAGGGGTAGAGAGATTGACGGCTGTGCAGGCCTCTGGCAAGACCCTCCTCCCCATTGGCTCCTACCTCGCATTGTTTCTTGCTGACCCTGGTAATAATAATAATCATAGTTGTTGCTGTTATTATTGTTTATTGAGTACTTACTATACTATATGCCAGGATTGTACTTAAGCTCTGTGTGCATTGATTCATTGAATCCTTATAAGCCTCTATGAGGTACTGTTGCACCCAGTTTACGGATGAGAAAACTGAGGCTTACAGAACTAGTCCAAGGTCGCCCAGTTGGTAAGTGGCAGACTGGAATTCAAACTGCAGAGTCCATGACTTTCCCACGTCCCAGTGCTGGCTTTCAGAGTCGCATCGGCTAGGCCAGTCAGGGACGTGCAGTTTGTGTTAGAGCCGCTTCCCCGCCTCACTGCCAGCAGCTGTCCAGGCAGGCTGGGGCTGAGAGGGGAGCAACTGTGGGAAGCCCTGGCCTGTCACTAGCACCCAGGCCTGCTGGGGGCATCTTCATGCCTCAGGATCCAAAGGTCCCCAAGCCCCGATGCCAGCCAGGAGGCTGTGGTGTCCCCAGGGCTCTGGCATTGCTGCCTCTCTCCTTGGAATGGCTCAAAGGGTGCCTGCACTGTTTGACTCCAGCAACCCTGGCCCTTGGTGTCCCCAGCTCTGGTGGCTGTATCTCTGCTGGTGGAGGTTGTGTCCCAGGGCCATTTTCCTGCACACGGAAGTGCCTTTGGTGGCCTTCCCTTTTAGCTAAGGGAGGGGCCTCTGTGAAGGCAGGAATGCTGGGCTGGGGTCAGCTCGGCTGTGCACCAGCTGCTGCACCCTGGGTTTGCACTCGGCCTTCCTGGGCCTCGCTTTTCCCCACTGTAAAATGGGGCCAATGGGCCCACCTACTTCATTGGCTGTTGTGAAGCTTGCAGCAGAAAATGGCTTTAAAAGTGCTTTGTAAACCGTTACCCACTGAACAAAGGGAATGCTTGGTACCCACCGGCTCACTCAGACACTGGGAACTGAGTATTCCTGGGGTTCAAGGAGGTCCCCATACTGGGGTGAAGGGGCTACCTCCAAGTCTTCCTGACTGTGGCCTGTGTTGGGCCAGGGGACTTGCCTGGTGCCATCAGGAGCCTCACCCATGATGGGATTCAGTTGGGAGGGCCCTAGAGCAGGACACGGGTTCCCATACTCAGCTGGGAGCCGCCCTATCTCAATGAAGTCTGAGGCCAGAGGTGAGGAGCAGGTGGGGGGTTTAAGGGCCTGGTCCCTCCTTAGCAGGGTCCCTGAAGCCAGCCAGAGGTCTGTCTCAGGCCTCTTACTTTGGGACAGAAGGCATTTTGTACCTGTTGTTGTTACATGTGAGAAGAACCATGTGAACATGTGTGCACAGGTGCCATTGTCACATGTGTTGGGGAGATAATCCTGCCTTTGGAGGCCGCATTGTGCTCATGAAAGCACACACACACAGTTCTCACACACATGCGCACAGACTCCCACACACAGACTCACACACAGACTCACACACAGACTCACACATTCCCCCCACACAGTACTCACACACATGCCCAGAGACTCACACACAGACTCACACACAGACTCACACATTCCCCCATACACAGTTCTCACACACATGAACACAGACTCACACACAGACTCACACGCACAGACTCACACTTTCCCCCCCACAAAATACTCACACACATGCCCAGAGACTCACACACAGAGTCACACATTCCCCCCCCACACACAGTACTCACACACATGCCCAGAGACTCACACACAGACTCACACACAGACTCACACATTCCCCCCCACACAGTACTCACACACATGCCCAGAGACTCACACACAGACTCACACATTCCCCCCCAGACAGTACTCACACACATGCCCAGAGACTCACACACAGACTCACACACAGACTCACACATTCCCCTACACACAGTACTCACACACATGCCCAGAGACTCACACACAGACTCACACACAGAGTCACACATTACCCCCCAACACAGTTCTCACACACGTACACACAGACTCACACAGACACACATAGACTCACACATTCCCCCACACACAGTTCTCACACACATGCACACAGACACACACACATGCATTCCCCCACACTCACACCTGCACACCCGGTTTCCCTAGAAGGCTGCTGAGGCTCCCTGCTCAGGCAGGCAAGGCCTCCGGACCCTCTCCCTGCCAGCCTGGAAGCTGCTCGCATCCTCCTGTTTCCAGCCCAGAGTCACGCACCTCTGTCACCCTGCCAGACCTTCTAAATCCTCAGGAAGTGGGTCAGGCCTCATCCAGTTCACACCCCCAACCCCCACATTTCATAAATGGGGAGATCAAGGCCTGGAGAGGCTTGGGGACCTATCCGAGGTCACACAGGGTTGGGCTTACAACCCAGGGCTGGAGTGAGAGCAGGCCCAGCGTGTACTCATCCCAGCCGGCCTGGCTGGGCCCCTCTGGGACTGACCCAGGACTGGGCATGAGAGGGCCTAGGACTTCCGCTATGAGTCCTTGACATTTGCTCAGACATCGTCCTCAGAGGCGGCTCCACCCTGCCTCGGCCCACTGTCTGTCCAGAGCATCATCAGAGCTGCCTCGGAGACGGCGAGTTTCCATGTCTCTGGAGGCGACCAAGTAAAGGCTGGGCTGTCAGTGGGGGACCTCGCAGAGGGAGGCCTGAATGCTCTGCTAAAATCCAACTCAGCCTAGGAATCAAGTTGTCTGGGCCCCATCAAATGCGGGTCCCCCCTGCAGTCTCTCTTGCACTGGAAGGGTAAAGCAGGGTTCTCAACAGCGCATGAGAGAGGCAAGGTTGTGCTCCTGGCGGGTGGGACATGCAGGACAGAGGGCCAAGCTGCGGCTTAGTGGGGGCAGGCAGGGATCCCAGTGGCCCCAAATCTCCACAACGCTCCAGAGGGCTGACATGTGGATCCCAGAGTCAGCCTTGGGTAAAACTGGGAACTCCTTCCTTGCACTGGAGCGAGCCCGGGTGTTCGCAGGACACCTGGGAGGGGTACTCACCCAGCATCCCCAGCAGGTACAAGGTGGCCAGCGGTTGCAGAGACCCCATGGGCATGGTTTCTGGCCTTCTCTTGCCTCAGCCTGGGCAGCTGGGCACCGCAGGTGAGGGTGTCTGGCCGGGTATCTCGCTCTCAGAGAGGGAGAGGGCGGGGTGGCGTGCTCAGGGAGGGGTGGGACGGGGAGCAGGCAGTGTGGGGCCTGCGTCACCCATGTTTGAAGTTGAACTGTCAACTTCCTCCTGGCAAAACCACCTGCCCCTGTTTGAATGGCAGCCCTGGCCTCTGCCAGCTTCCTGCCCAAGGTACCCAGGGCTGGGGCAGTGCTCTCGGCCACCCCCACACAGGACAAGGCCATGCATCCTGGAGGGACAGGGCTGCAGGGGGTGGGGACCCTGAGCGGGGGTTACGGAGGCTGAAGGCCTGGCTGCAGCTGAGGGCTGGGCTGAGGACAGGCGTCCCTGAGGCAGGGGTCTGGGTGGGGAGAGGCGGGAAATGGGCAGCATGATGCCAGTTCTTGTTGCAGACTCCAGTGAAAGCCAAAACCAAACCCTCCATTCCCCCTTTGTGAGGGATGAGGTTGGAAGTTTGAGCTGACTTTCCACAGGTGGTGTTTTGCTAGCAAGTACAAGAGATGGCTGCGCCATGAATGCTGGGCTTGTGCCAGTGTGTGTGTGTGTGTGTGTGTGTGTGTGTGTGTGTGTGTGTAGAGAGAGAGAGATCTCCATGTTGACTTGTGTGATCTCTGTGTTGTGTGTGTCATCTCTGTGTTGTGTGATCTCCATGTTGAGGTGTATGTGTGAGCTCCATGTTGAGTGTGTGTGATCTCCATGTTGATGTGTGTGTGAACTCCATGTTGATGTGTGTGTAATCTCCATGTTGACGTGTGTGATTTCTGTGTTGTGTGTGATCTCCATGTTGATGTGTGTGATTGTGATCGCCATGTTGATGTGTGTGTGATCTCCATGTTGATGTGTGTGTGTGATCTCCATGTTGATATGTGTGTGTGATTTCCATGTTGTGTGTTTGTGATTTCCATGTTGATGTGTGTGTATGATCTCCATGTTGACTTGTGTGATCTCTGTGTTGTGTGTGTGATCTCCATGTTGGGGTTGATGTGTGTGTAATCCCCATTTGATATATGTGTGTGTGATCTCCATGTTTGTGTGTGTGAATGTGATCTCCATGTTGATGTGTGTGAATGTGATCTCCATGTTGACGTGTGTGTGTGATCTCCATGTTGATGTGTGTGTGTGATCTCCATGTTGATGTGTGTGAATGTGATCTCCATGTTGATGTGTGTGTAATCTCCATGTTGATGTGTGTGTGTGATCTCCATGTTGATGTGTGTTTGTGATCTCCATGTTGATGTGTGTGAATGTGATCTCCATGTTGATGTGTGTGTGATCTCCATGTTGATGTGTGTGTGTGATCTCCATGTGGATGAGTGTGTGATCTCCATGTTGATGTGTGTGTAATCTCCATGTTGATGTGTGTGTGTGATCTCCATGTTGTGTGTGTGTGATCTCCATGTTGATGTGTGCGAATGTGATCTCCATGTTGATGTGTGTGTAATCTCCATGTTGATGTGTGTGTGTGATCTCCATGTTGATGTGTGTGTGTGATCTCCATGTTGATGTGTGTGAATGTGATCTCCATGTTGATGTGTGTGTAATCTCCATGTTGATGTGTGTGTGTGATCTCCATGTTGATGTGTGTGTGATCTCCATGTTGATGTGTGTGTGATCTCCATGTTGATGTGTGTGAATGTGATCTCCATGTTGATGTGTGTGTAATCTCCATGTTGATGTGTGTGTGTGATCTCCATGTTGATGTGTGTTTGTGATCTCCATGTTGATGTGTGTGAATGTGATCTCCATGTTGATGTGTGTGTGTGATCTCCATGTTGATGTGTGTTTGTGATCTCCATGTTGATGTGTGTGAATGTGATCTCCATGTTGATGTGTGTGTAATCTCCATGTTGATGTGTGTGTGTGATCTCCATGTTGTGTGTGTGATCTCCATGTTGATGTGTGTGTGATCTCCATGTTGATGTGTGTGTGTGATCTCCATGTTTATGTGTGTGAATGTGATCTCCATGTTGATATGTGTGAATGTGATCTCCATGTTGTGTGTGTAATCTCCATGTTGATGTGTGTGTGTAATCTCCATGTTGTGTGTGTGTGATCTCCATGTTGATGTGTGTGAATGTGATCTCCATGTTGATGTGTGTGTGTGATCTCCATGTTGATGTGTGTGAGTGATCTCCATGTTGATGTGTGTGTGTGATCTCCATGTCGTGTGTGTGTGATCTCCATGTTGATGTATGTGTGATCTCCATGTTGATGTGTGTGTGATCTCCATGTTGATGTGTGTGTGTGATCTCCATGTTGTGTGTGTGTGATCTCCATGTTGATGTGTGTGTGATCTCCATGTTGATGTGTGTGTGTAATCTCCATGTTGTGTGTGTGTGATCTCCATGTTGATGTGTGTGAATGTGATCTCCATGTTGATGTGTGTGTGATCTCCATGTTGATGTGTGTGAGTGATCTCCATGTTGATGTGTGTGTGTGATCTCCATGTCGTGTGTGTGTGATCTCCATGTTGATGTGTGTGTGTGATCTCCATGTTGATGTGTGTGAATGTGATCTCCATGTTGACGAGTGTGTGTGATCTCCATGTTGATGTGTGTGTGATCTCCATGTTGATGTGTGTGTGATCTCCATGTTGATGTGTGTGTATGATCTCCATGTTGACATGTGTGATCTCTGTGCTGTGTGTGTGATCTCCATGTTGGGGTTGATGTGTGTGTAATCCCCATTTGATATATGTGTGTGTGATCTCCATGTTTGTGTTGTGAATGTGATCTCCATGTAGATGTGTGTGAATGTGATCTCCATGTTGATGTGTGTGTAATCTCCATGTTGATGTGTGAATTTGATCTCCATGTTGATGTGTGTTTGTGATCTCCATGTTGATGTGTGTGAATGTGATCTCCATGTTGATGTGTGTGAATGTGATCTCCATGTTGATATGTGTGAATCTCCATGTTGATGTGTGTGTGTGATCTCCATGTTGATGTGTGCGAATGTGATCTCCATGTTGATGTGTGTGTGTGATCTCCATGTTGATGTGTGTGTGATCTCCATGTTGATGTATGTGTAATCTCCATGTTGATGTGTGTGTGTGATCTCCATGTTGATGTGTGTGATTTCCATGTTGATGTGTGTGTGTGATTTCCATGTTGATGTGTGTGTGTGATCTCCATGTTGACTTGTGTGATCTCTGTGTTGTGGGTGTGATCTCCATGTTGGGGTGTATGTATGAGCTCCACGTTGATGTGTGTAATCCCCATTCGATATGTGTGTGTGATTTCCATGTTGATGTGTGTGATCTCCGTGTTGAGGTGTGTGATCTCCATGTTGATGTGGGGTATGTATGTGAGCTCCGTGTCCCTGTTGCTCTTAGAGGGTCTGGAATCATCCCCCTTGAAGAAGAGGCAGGGTCTCTGCAAAGAAGATGGGAAGCCCGGGGCAGGGGAAAGTCCCTGTGTTTCCCTGGGCTGGGCTGGGTTCCGTTTTTTCCTCACATCCTTTGTGCTCCCAGATGAGAAAGCTCCTGGCTCCTTGGGCTTCCTGTACTCTGGGCCACCCCAGGCAGGTAGGAAGTAGTTCAAGGACGTGATCACTGGTCCAGGTCCACTAGGGCCTGGGGCCTCCCCATCCCTGGGCTGGAGAGGCTGGCTCAGTGATGCCTCCACTTAGATTCCACTTAGACCTGTAGCAGGACAAGCCACAGACAAAACCCCTCAGACACCAAGTTAAAGAAAGAAGGGGTTTATTCAGCCGGGAGCATCAGCAAGACTCCTGTCTCAAGAGCTGAGCTCTCTGAGTGAGCAATTCCTGTCCCTTTTAAGGGCTCACAACTCTAAGGGAGTCTGCTTGAGAGGGTCATGATCGATTGAGCAAGCAGGGGGTACATGACTGGGGGCTGCATGCACTGATAATTAGAATGGAACAGAATAGGACAGGGATTTTCACAGTGCTTTTCTATAAAATGTCTGTAATCTATAGATAACATAACAGATTAGGTCAGGGGTCGATCTTTAACTACCAAGCCCAGGTGTGGTGCCGAGCAGATTTCATTTCTGCCTTTTAGTTTTTACTTCTTCTTTCTTTGGAGGCAGAAATTGGGCATAAGACAGTATGAGGGGTGGTCTCCTCCCTTATTCCCCTCTTTTGAGAATCTCACTCATGAGTGGGAGTTCTCACTTTCATTTTCACTACCATGTCTTCTTGCAAGACAGATCAATAGTGATTCACATAGTACACTTGGGCTGAAGCATTTTGGTGAACTAAGGTAGCGATGAAGCTTTTTATCATTTGAAGAAGTACAGGTAGCAAACAAGGGAGCAGTAAGCAGGTTCCTATTACTATTAAAACTCCTATTATAAGAGTTTTAAATCCTCCTAGTGCTGGGAACCATTTTCCAAACATGGCCCCAGGATCAAATTCATGCCACACTTGCACGGGCACATGTGCCAGTTTTGTCCTATCTCTAACTATATCTTCAACTACTTGTCCTTGATCATCTACGTGTAGACAGCAATTAGTAAGGTTAAATTTCCCATAGACCCCTCCTTCAGCTGCTAGCAAGTAGTCGAGAGCCAATCTATTTTGAGAGATAGCATTTCTCATCTGAGTTTCTTGCCAGGCCAGAATAGTCAAGGCTCTGCTGATTTTATCAGTGATTATTTCTAAGGCAGCTTGTAACCGTATGATTCGGTTGAGCACGTAAATGGGGGTCTGGTATCCCCACAAGCCGTCTTGTGCCCAAGTAACAGGCCCATAATATTGTATGATTCTCTCAGGGGGCGGCCATTCATCATCTTTCCAATTTTCTATAGCTATGCTTCTCTTTTTGCGGGAAGCATAGACAGGGAAGCCCAGGAGTTCACCTGTTTTTATGGGCAGTTGGAAGAAAGATGGTTTAATAGTGCCAATAACACAACTACCTGCCCAGTGGTCAGGTAATTTGGCGTAAGCTCTATGCCCACATATCCAGTATAATCCAGTGGGGGCTGTCCAGTCCTGGTGGGACTCCGGGTGGGTCCACACGGTTTGCAACTTTGGGAATTTACTAAATGGATTCCTCTCTATGTGATTTGAACTCCACCAAGTGACTGTTTCTGTGGTACCATTATACAGTTTCTGTCCCAGACAACTAAGTCGTCCTACGGGGTGAGTGAATTCTTTTCCTTCTCTAGCTATGCAATATTGTCCAATAATTGAGGCTTTTGGGACCCAGAAATTATCAGGGTGATTCTTTTGAGCCAAGAATTCATCAGGAACTGGGTCTGTAGGTAGTAATTCTTGGGCTTCCCATGGCCATTGACCTCCCATTACAGTTCCTCCGCATACATAACATGAAGTGACATTGAGAGACTGGGCTACGTGCTCGGCTAATTGCAAAAACAAATTTCTTGTTTTTCCTGGAATTTGTGGTACTGGCACATTGAGTTCATCTTAGAAAGTTTGAAACACTGGCTCAGGAGAGGGTTTGTAAACTTCTCCTCGGACCAAGTCCTGTACTGGCCAGTAGTCCTTGGTCCCTGGTTTAGGGACAGGTAGGAGGGGGGTGTTCCGTGGAGACTGGCAAGGAACTATAATTCCATAGGCTGTCAAGCGCCTGAGAGGAACCTGGATTCCTTCGAGAGCTTCTCTGGGAACCAGATACTGCTTTTGTCTAATTGGTTGGGCCCCAGGCTTAACTTCTATGAGTACAGGGGCTTGGCTGACCACCAGTCCTGGAGGATTATCCTCTGTCCATACTTGGGGCCATTGCTTAGCTAGAGCTGGTTTTATCTCTTGGCCTGGCTTGGTTAGAAAAAGTCTTCATTCTTCTTCCCGGGGGACCGTAAGGGCCATGATAACTCCTGTTGCTGGTAACTTTAGCTGTAAAGAGCCCTGCTTTGTAAAGGAGATGGTGGTTCTCAACTTGCTAAGCAAGTCTCTTCCCAGCAAGGGCAAGGGACAGTCAGGCATGTACAAGAACTGGTGAGCTATCTCATGTCCCCCCACCGAGCAGGTCCGTGGTAGACAGAAAGCCTGCTTAGTGGAAACTCCTGTTGCTCTGATTATATCAATGGTTTTCTTGGATGAGGGGGTGACCGGGGTGGTCACTACTGAAGGTTCAGCACCACTATCAACCAAAAACTTAACGTCCTTGCCCCCAGTTGTAATCCTGACCTTGGGCTCCTTGGGGGTGCTTGCGCCCGGTCCCCTTCAGTCCAGTAGCCCTTCAGCCAGATTGAACAAAGCTCCCTCATCTTTATCTGAGGTCTTTTGTTCTGAATCACCTTGCTTTTCCTTCAGTTGGGGACACTTATCTTTCCAATGCCCTACTTCCTTACAACAGGCGCATTGGTTACATTGCAAGCATGGGAGATTAGACTGGGTATTCTTCCCAGAACCCCCCTTTCCCTCTCCTTTCGGGGGAATTCCCATAATGGCCATGGCCAGTAAGTCGGCGTTTCGCCTAGCCTGGCGTTCGCCTTCCTTACGGCTTTCTCTGTGGCTTGTTGCATTCTCAAACACTTGATTGACTATTTCCAGTAACTGTGAGGTATTCATACCCGCAAACCCCAGTAACTGTGAGGTATTCATACCCGCAAACCCAGCCTGTTTCTGCAATTTTCTCCTGATATATTCCGTGCTTTGACTAAGTAAGGCCATGTTAATCATGGGCTGATTCTCAGGGCTATCTGGATCAAAAGGAGTGTACATACAGTAAGCCTCACACAGTCTTTCATAGAATTGTGCTGGACTCTCCTCTTTTCCTTGGATGACCTCAGAGACCTTATTTACATTTGTAGCCTTTTGAGCCCCTTTCCTTAGACCTTCTATTAATGCCTCACGGTACCGTCTTAGCCTCTCCATGTCTGGTCCCTCGTTCAGGTCCTATTGGGGGTCTGTTCCTGGCAGCTGAATTCTTATATATTCTTGGGGGTTTTGGTAATTGGCTGGGACGTGCTTCTCTAGCCACTTAGTTGCCGCCTGGAGCACCCTTCACCTTTCACCTGTATTAAAGAGGTACATGAGCAGCTGGTGGCAGTCAGCCCAAGTAGGATTATGAGTCTGTATAATAGTTTGGAGCAAGTCAATTAAAGCTTGAGGCTTTTCAGTGTAAGATGGAGTATTATTTTTCCAATTGAGGAGGTCAGCAGAGGTAAAAGGTTGATACACAAAGGCACGCCTTTCCACCATGTGTCCGTCCTCATCTACCCCAGTATATCACTGCTCTCTCAGGGGCATTTGGATTCCAGTCTTGGGCTGTAAGCGAGCTTTCAAGGGAGGAGTTTCTCCCGTGGCTTCACTTCCTCTTTTGTCTACTCTGGGTGGTCTGGGGTGTGGTTATCTGGTGGAGTTGTAGGTGCTGTGGGCTCAGGAGTGGGGAGCCCTTCCTCTTGATAAGGAGGGGATACTGCTGGTACCAATTCCTGCTGTGACTCTTCTGGTGTTGGGTTGGACAGGACTTTTGGTGCTGACTTCCCTCGGCGGGTGGGATCGAGAACCTTCCTTAACTAACTGTCCCTTTGCTACTAGTACTGCTGCTGCCTGTCCTCTTAACCACTGCGGGGGGTCCAAAACTAGCTGTAACCAAGAATCTATATGTGAGAACTGATCTGGGTGCCCTGGCTTACAGGTTACCCTGTGCCATACCTTCGAGACAAGGGACCTGTCCAGGCTTCCTTCCGATGGCCAACCCACCTCTAATGCTGGCCAGTCTATCTCACACAAAGCTCTAAGTTTTCCTGGTGTCATAGTGACTCCAGAGTCTCCCTTAAATCCCTTTTTGAAATTTTTCAACATAGTTCCTAGTGGGGTAGGCTTACTTTGTGTCTGACCCATGTTTCCTCGAGACAAAACACCATGCTCACACCACAAAACAAAGAACGGGTAAAAAGGGCACACACACACTTTTACAGTTTACGCCAAGCCAGAATCAAAACCAAAATCAGAGTATCAAGAAATCCAAGCCAGGTCAAAACCAAAACCAAAGTATCAAGCAATCCAAGACAAGTCAAAAACAAAAACCAAAGTGCTGGTACAGGCACACTGTGGGTGATCAGGACACGCTTCTACTCAAATGGAGTAGGCAAGTTCCCAAGACCAGTCCTGTCAAGCGATTCAAACCAAGTCAAAACCAAAACCAAAACCAAAGTGCTGATAAAGGCATGCCATGGGTGATTGGGCCATGCTTCCACTCAAATGGAGTGGGCAAGTTCCAAGGACTAGTCTTACCAAGTTTCAGTTGTCCGGACTCCAAGTGCCAGTTCCTTCCCTGTGTTCAGCCACTGCGTTGATCCTCCACAGGGGCCTGCCATGCACTGCTCTGACGAGGCATTCCACTGGGGCAATTGCCTACCTGGGAGCGCTCTGAGGATCCGTGTCGCTCAAGCTGGCCAGAGTTCCCCGCGGGGATGCTCCACAAGGCAGGCCTAAGCTGCCTAAGGGGCTGCCTCAACTGTCCGTTAATCACTTTGCTTCCTGGTCAGGGAACCAAGAAATGTAGCAGGACAAGCCACAGACAAAACCCCTCAGACACCAAGTTAAAGAAGGAAGGGGTTTATTCAGCCGGGAGCATCAGCAAGACTCCTGTCTCAAGAGCCGAGCTCCCTGAGTGAGCAATTCCTGTCCCTTTTAAGGGCTTACAACTCTAAGGGGGTCCGCTTGAAAGGGTCGTGATCGAATGAGCAAGCAGGGGGTACGTGACTGGGGGCTGCATGCACCGGTAATTAGAACAGAACAGGACAGGGATTTTCACAGTGCTTTTCTATACAATGTCTGTAATCTATAGATGACATAACCGATTAGGTCAGGGGTCGATCTTTAACTACCAGGCCCAGGGTGTGGCGCCGAGCTGTCTGCTTGTGGATTTCATTTCTGCCTTTTAGTTTTTACTTCTTCTTTCTTTGGAGGCAGAAATCGGGCATAAGACAATAGGAGGGGTGGTCTCCTCCCTTAGACCCACTTAGACACTCCCCGGTTTCTGCTCACTCAGGGCTGGAGGGTGCTGCATGCTTGAACCTCTTTGGCAGAGGGAAGCTTTGACCCCCACCCCAGGATCAAGGAAAGAGAACTCCTAAGGTAGCTGTGATTGGGGCCACACCCATCCCTCATCCAGCCTTCAGAGGTGCCTTTTCCTCCCGCCAGAGGTGCCCTCAGCCTGGGATGGGGAAACCTCACCCGGCCCCTCCCGGCCAGGCCTGGCCCAGTTCCCTGCCCCCTGCCCCTTGCCCTCACATCCATCCTTCCTGGTCCCTTGACTCTGGAAATCCCAGCCTCTTTCATTCATTCATTCATTCACTCATTCATTTATCAATATTTGTCCCATGCTAAGCCCAGGGATGTGAAGACGAAAGAGACAGACATGGCTCCACCCTTCTTAGCACCAAAGACTCTGCTGGGATGTTTTTTCTTGATGAGTGCTGTTCGTGGGTCACACAGCTGTGTGCAGTAAGCAGCCCTTCACAGCCCCTGTTCCCACACTCAGTGTACATAATTGCAGCCCAAAAGAGCGAGGAAAGTTTTACTAAGCACCTTCCTCTAGCCAGAGGCGTCAGCTCCTTCAGTCTTCCCAATTATCATGGAAGTGGGCACAGCTTTCCATTTCACAGATGAGGAAACTGAGGCTCAGAAGGTAAAGTATTCGGCCCCAGGAGGTCAACGCTGAAGTATGATCCCACGTTTTCCTCACTCTGCCACCCTTGCCACCACTCCCCACCTCCTTACCCAAAGAAAAGAAAACAAACCAAACATTTGGGCTTTGCTTTGATCTCAGAGTCTTCATCACAGTACAACTTCTACTCTTTTTGTTTGTTAGTTTGGTTTTGGAAAACTGAAAGTAGCTCAGGGCCTCGGGTTGCTGTCTTCCAGGCCCCCAGGGCTTGGCACTGCCTCGACCCTAGTGGAGGGGGTCGCTGCCCTCTGAGAACACTGCCCTATAGGCTCCCTCCCTGCTGCCCACCCCCATAAGTTACCCCTGCCCCTTTCACCCCTCCGGGCCTCCAGGTCCAGAAACCTCTGGGCCCCTGTCCCCACTCAGACCTCAGATCCCTGGCGGGAGTTTCCTGTCCCCATCACTGCACTTTCCATGACACAAGAGGAAGTCAGCTGAGCCCAGGCTGGGTTTTCCAGGCAGCGAGGCCCAGTAGAGGCTGAAGGTGGGGGAAGGGGTTGCTGAGCCCCCAGGGCCGGGTGTCAGAACCTCCTCAACCTCTACCGGAGAGGTGCCTGCCGGTGCTGCCGTGGGCCACACCAGGTAATCTGGGGTGGGGTGTGCCTGTGTCTGTCACCCCTCTGGACTCGGTGACTCCTCAGTGCCCCCAGGTGTGCCCTCTTCACTGGGGCAAAGGGGCACTAGGATCTGGGGAAAGGGGAGGAGCTGAGGGTGGGAGGGAGGAGGTGAAGGAGGCTGAGGAATGTGACTGGTGCATAGTAGGACCTCAGGGTTTGTTGAATGAATGAAGGAAGAAATCTATGGAATGATTCCCAAAGATAATGGATGGCCTGGTGGCCAGATGAGAAGGGCAGAAGAGGCCTACAAGTGTGTGTGGATGACTCAGTGACCTGGATCCTTGGAAACCTCTGTTTGGCTGTGGGGGTGGGGGCACCCAGGGAGCTGACTTCGCAACACTCCCCTCCCCGCCAGCTCAGGAAGTGCCTCTCCTCCCCCAGCTTTGTTCCCACCCAGTTTGGCTGTTGGTGGGGGGTGGGGAGGGGGAGAAGGAGGATCTAGGATCCAGGTCTGGACATGCATGTGGCGTGCAGTGTGGTGGAGACGCGCTGGCCTGGTGGCACCTGCATTCGAGTCTCACCTTTGGCACCTTTGCAGTCAAGTCCCTGTCATGCTCTGGGCCGAGGTTGGCTCATATGTAAAATGCAGAGATTGGATGGTCCCGAGGCCCAGCTCTCTTGTCCTAGGAACCCAGCATGAAAGTGTTTGACTGGCGTGCCGAGTCCAGTCGGAGGTGGGGGATTTCTCTGTGTGGGGCCTGGAGGTTTACCTCTTTCGCTAGTGTGAGAGGGAGCTGAGTGTTGAGTGAGTGTCAGGGCTTTGGGGAGGGGCAGAAGACTGAGGATTCCAAGTGGCCTGAACAGGGTCCCGCTGGCTTGGGAAGGTGTCTCAGTGTGTGTACTTTCCCCAAGTCCAGGTGCGAGTCGAGCAGCTGGGGAGGAGGCCGTCTTGCCTGGAGGGACAGATAAGGCTCCCCCACTGACCCCCTACTTTCCTAGCCCCTCACGGACAACACTAGGCAGCCTCCTGTGGCTTCTGGAAGGTCTGTGATCAGTGGTACCCTGGCGTGAGCGGGCTGGTTGGCTCAGGCTGCATTCGCCCCCGCCTCTGCTGGGCCCTCCTCAAGTTCCCCTCACTGGGGCTGTGTTCCTGGAGCCCCTTTCCATTGCTACCTGCCCCCCAACCCAGGCCTGCTGTAGGCCTGCCCACAGCCCGGGGTGCCAGTCACACATCCCGCAGCCTGAGGCCCTGAGGACTCAGCATTCATATTCACTCTTCCGCTGCTACTGTAAGATTAGACTTGTTCGACCATAAGGCATAGGCTTTGGTTGAGAAAATAAGGCCTCCTAGTAGTGTACGACAGGTGTTAATGAAGGCTGTTGTTCATGTGAAATAATTGAGGATCAGAGAGGTTATGTGAATTCTCCAAGGTGCACAGATAACCAACAGTGAGCTTTGGACTGGACCGCCAGGCCTCCTCTTCCACAGGCACCCCTTGCCCTGGTGCAGCCTCTCTCTCATCTCAGGCTGGTGCTTCTCGTGGCCATTTAGGGGTTTCGCTGTGTCACAGTAGAGATCTTGGGGGCCTAGGAGGCCGGCTGACCCAACTGTGTGTCCTCGGTGTGGCAGCCTTGGCCCTTGGAGCCTCAGATCCCATCTGTAAAACGGGTGGAACACAGCCTGCCTTGAAGGGATGTTGGGAGGCTGGCCGGGTGCACTTGTGGAAAAGGCTCACGTGGCGGTCAGCACGCAGAGCTTCAGCGTGGCTCTCAGCTTCTTAGAGCAGTGCTTAGCGTTCCTGAAGACCTGACACTGGTCAGGAGCGCTCCTGCCTTCTCTCCCCCGCACCTAGCACCCGGCACAAAGCTATTTCTTGAACAAATGAATGATTGACAGAGAAGCTTTCAGCAGGGACACATGAAACAGACTGACAAGCACACCCTGCTCCCCGCACCCCCCACCACCGCCCTGAGCTTCCAGCCCAGTGGGGAGGCTACCTGACAGGCAACTGGGACACAGCATGGAAAGGCCAGGCCTGAGGGAGCACAGAGGGGGACGCGTGTCCAATCCAGCCTCTGGGAAAATCAGGGAAGGCTTCCTGGAGGGGGTGACATCTAGATGAAGACCCAAAGGATGAGTGGTTTTCCAGCTTGGTGGTGGGATCAATTTTCCAGGCTGAGGGAAGCATGAGGACAATGACTTCTGAGTCCTGCTAGCGTAGTGGCTTCTAGATGGGTCCAGAAGTGGGACGCTGTGGGCAGCATCCTGGCTCAGCCCCTCACTGGCTCCGTGCCTAGGGTGGAGTCTCTCCCCCCGGGTCTCAGTTTATCTGTGAAATAAAGGCGCTGCACCAGATGGTCCACCAGATTCCTCAATCTGTCAGTTGAAGCTTGGAGTCTCATTTAAAGAATATCAGTTACCAGAAGCTGGAAAATTGATACAGCCATTTTTAAGGGATAAAATGGCAAAAGCCACATTAAAAAAAAATCTCGTATACACTATTACCTTTAGAGAAGCCTCCTATACTCACCAGGGTGCAAGGCAGTATGCACAGGGGTGCTGAAGTCACCAACGGATAATAAAACACGGGAAAGATAGGGCAAAGGGCAAATAAGTTCCAAACCAGCTACACTCTGGAATAGTTGGGAATATAGCCATCAAGAAAGGGCTCATAGATCCCCGTATCCTGACACAGAGAAATGTCCATGATATTTTTGCTCAGTGAAAACATTAAATTTCAGAACAATTTATATATTGCAGTCTTATTTTCATAAAATAAAAATATCAATGAGTTGAATAGTTTCTACATTTACAGAAATTAATTGTGGGGGTGAGATTTGATCAAGATGGTAGCATGAGGTTGGGTAAGGATTTTATTTTAAAAGGGGTCTGCAGAAAATCTTTTAAAGAAAAAAGTCCTGGTATTTGTTTGTATAATTATGTAAAACATATAACATTTTTATAACGTGATTTTTTAATAATAAAAATAATGCATGCTTTTGTGAAAAATTAGCAAAACTATAGAATATAAAGAAAAAATAAAACCACTCACAATCCTACCATTCATTATGACCACAGTTAATATGTTATATATTTTATTCTTTTCAATTTATAATTACGATAATCTACTGTTTCAAAATTAGTATCATGTATTTGTGATATACATGTTTATATGTACGAGGTATATATATTTTATATAAATTATATATCTTTTATAAATATACTTAAGATATATACACACAGATATCTATATGTAGATATATATAAAGAGATATCTTTGTATCTGCTTTTTTTCTTAAAGTATATCTTGAGTGTCGTGCCATGTCATAGACTTATATAACATGGTTTTTAAAAATGGGTCTACAATAGCTAATAAAAGTTCTGATTTTTACTTAACCAATCCCTATTATTGGACATTTGTGTTGTTTACTCTTTTTTTTTTTGTTTTTTTTTTGAGACAGTATCTCAGTCTGTTGCCCAGGCTGGAGTGCAGTGGTGCGATCACAGCTCACTGCTACTTTGACTTCCTGGGCTCAAGTGACCCTCCTTCCTCGGCCTTAGCTGGGACTACAGGCATGAGCTACCACGCTTGGTTAATTTTTAAAAACAAATTTTTTGTAGAGATAGGGTCTCGCTGTGTTGCCCAGGCTGGTCTCAAACTCCTAGGCTCAAGCGATCCTCCTGCCTCAGCCCCGCAAAGTGCTGGGATTACAGGCGTGAGCCACTTTACCCAGCTCCTCATTTTTTTTTTTTTGCTATTAAAAATAACTGTGATAAATATTTTTGCACAATCATATCCTTATTTCCTTTAATTAGAATTATTTGAATCAAGGATTATGACCATTTTAAATACTAAAAGCACACTGTAAAAATTGAATTAGTTACCTCCATCCCAACTTACTTCTAGTAGATCTGAATACTGATTGGCTGAGTTTACTTAAAGAGGGACACACTTGAGTAGGTTTATAACTACTTTAGGGATCAGGATTTTTCTGTTCCATGATGGGCACTCTAGGTGCCCTGTGACTGTCAGTGTGGAAGAGGTCCAGGTCCACCTCGAGGGACAGGTTTGATATAAGAATAAGACATGTTTGTGATCATTAGTGAGTGTCCAGGACTCCACCTTGGGGGACAAATTTGATATAAAAGTGAGACATGTTTGTGATCATTTACTGAATGTCCAGGACATTCCTCGAGTGACTTCTGTTTGTCTTTGATGGCGGGTCCTTCCCTTTGCCCATTGCTGGGAGGTTTGGAGGAGCTGAGGTCACCAGCCTTGTTTCAGAGATGAGGAGACTGAAGTTCTGAGAGATGAGGGGATGGGTCCAGGTGCAGTCAGCCTTGGCCTGTGGCAAGAGGCAGGTCCCCAAGGCAATCTGGAGAGAGTCGGTTCTGGTCTGGTGTGGAGGGTGGGAGGGCATAGCTCAACAACTTCTACCCCATCCACACCGATGTGGAGCGCTCACCTCGATATGTGTCCCAGCAAGCCCCAACACTTCAGCATGGGTTATATGTTCCTAATTCTGTAAGCTCTTCTGAGGCCAGGGCCATGTTGGGTTGACCCTGTGGGATGATCTGGAAACAAATACTTATTGGTGTTATATGTGGTGATGATGATAGTGATGATCATGTCAATGATGAGAATGATGATAATGGCAGTAATGATGCTGATGGTGATGATGAAATGATGAAGATGATGGTGATGATGATGTCAGTAATGTTGATGAAGTCGATGATGATGATGATGGTGGTGATAATAGCTACCATTTACTAAGGGCTTACACAGTGCTAGGGACTCTATGTAATTACATTATCTTAGTTTTTTTCCCCAGAGTGAGTATGACACCTTGGCCGGGCGTAGTGGCTCGTGCCTGTAATCCCAGCACTTTGGGAGGCCGAGGCAGGAGAATCACTTGAGCCCAGGAGTTAAAGACCAGCCTGGGCAACACGGTGAAACCCTGTCTCTATAAAAAAATTAAAAAAAAATTATCCAGGCATGGTGGTGTGTGCCTGTAGTCCCAGCCACTTGGGAGGCAGAGATGGGAGGATTGCTTGAGCCCAGGAGGTTGAGGCTGCAGTGAGCTGTGATCATGCCACTGCACTCCAACCTGGGTGACAGAGTTAATATATACATACCACCTTCACTGATGTGGAGGATGACTTGAGGTGGCTCACAGATGAACATTTTTATCTTAATAATGTGTTTGTTTTACTTTATATTAATTTATATACTGAAAATAGATAACTAGCTCACCAGATTCATGGTTTATACATTTCATTTTTAGATTAACTAGTGAGTTGATTTAAAGGAAAAATATTAAGTAAAAATAATATTTGGTACTTGGATAAGGTAAACGTGAATGGAAATTTTGAATCATTGACATTTGGAAGCATTTGGGGCAGATATCATTTTTATTCTATTTTGCAGAAGAGTGAGTAGATACTCAGAGAGTTTAATTAGCCTGAGATTATACACCATCCAGGTGGTAAAGCTGGGCTGGAACCCAGATGCTTAATTTAAAACAACAACAACTTTTTACTTATATATGGGATACACACAGCACAGTACATGCAGTGTGTTATAAATGTAACTTCACACACTGCACGTGCTGGTGTAACCAGCACCTGGGAGGCTCCCCACTGCCCCGCACTGCTCCCTACCCAAGTATCCACTGTCCTGACTTCTGTCATCATAGATTGGCTTTGCCTTTTCTTTGAACTTTATTTTATTTATTTATTATTTTGAGACAAGAGTCTGTCACCCAGGCTGGAGTGCAGTGGTGCCATCTTGGCTCACTGCAGCTTCTGCCTCCCAGGTTCAAATGAGTCTCCTGCATCAGCCTCCCGAGCAGCTGGGATTACAGGTGTGCACCACCACGTCTGGCTAATTTTTATTTTTTATTTTTTTTATTTTTTTTTTTTTTAAGAAATTTAGATTTTATTCTTTTTTTTTTTTTTTTTTTATTATACTCTAAGTTTTAGGGTACATGTGCACATTGTGCAGGTTAGTTACATATGTATACATGTGCCATGCTGGTGCGCTGCACCCACTAATGTGTCATCTAGCATTAGGTATATCTCCCAATGCTATCCCTCCCCCCTCCCCCGACCCCACCACAGTCCCCAGAGTGTGATATTCCCCTTCCTGTGTCCATGTGATCTCATTGTTCAATTCCCACCTATGAGTGAGAATATGCGGTGTTTGGTTTTTTGTTCTTGCGATAGTTTACTGAGAATGATGGTTTCCAATTTCATCCATGTCCCTACAAAGGATATGAACTCATCATTTTTTATGGCTGCATAGTATTCCATGGTGTATATGTGCCACATTTTCTTAATCCAGTCTATCATTGTTGGACATTTGGGTTGGTTCCAAGTCTTTGCTATTGTGAATAGTGCCGCAATAAACATACGTGTGCATGTGTCTTTATAGCAGCATGATTTATACTCATTTGGGTATATACCCAGTAATGGGATGGCTGGGTCAAATGGTATTTCTAGTTCTAGATCCCTGAGGAATCGCCACACTGACTTCCACAATGGTTGAACTAGTTTACAGTCCCACCAACAGTGTAAAAGTGTTCCTATTTCTCCGCATCCTCTCCAGCACCTGTTGTTTCCTGACTTTTTAATGATTGCCATTCTAACTGGTGTGAGATGATATCTCATAGTGGTTTTGATTTGCATTTCTCTGATGGCCAGTGATGATGAGCATTTCTTCATGTGTTTTTTGGCTGCATAAATGTCTTCTTTTGAGAAGTGTCTGTTCATGTCCTTCGCCCACTTTTTGATGGGGTTGTTTGTTTTTTTCTTGTAAATTTGTTTGAGTTCATTGTAGATTCTGGATATTAGCCCTTTGTCAGATGAGTAGGTTGCAAAAATTTTCTCCCATGTTGTAGGTTGCCTGTTCACTCTGATGGTAGTTTCTTTTGCTGTGCAGAAGCTCTTTAGTTTAATTAGATCCCATTTGTCAATTTTGTCTTTTGTTGCCATTGCTTTTGGTGTTTTGGACATGAAGTCCTTGCCCACGCCTATGTCCTGAATGGTAATGCCTAGGTTTTCTTCTAGGGTTTTTATGGTTTTAGGTTTAACGTTTAAATCTTTAATCCATCTTGAATTGATTTTTGTATAAGGTGTAAGGAAGGGATCCAGTTTCAGCTTTCTACATATGGCTAGCCAGTTTTCCCAGCACCATTTATTAAATAGGGAATCCTTTCCCCATTGCTTGTTTTTCTCAGGTTTGTCAAAGATCAGATAGTTGTAGATATGCGGCATTATTTCTGAGGGCTCTGTTCTGTTCCATTGATCTATATCTCTGTTTTGGTACCAGTACCATGCTCTTTTGGTTACTGTAGCCTTGTAGTATAGTTTGAAGTCAGGTAGTGTGATGCCTCCAGCTTTGTTCTTTTGGCTTAGGATTGACTTGGCGATGCGGGCTCTTTTTTGGTTCCATATGAACTTTAAAGTAGTTTTTTCCAATTCTGTGAAGAAAGTCATTGGTAGCTTGATGGGGATGGCATTGAATCTGTAAATTACCTTGGGCAGTATGGCCATTTTCACGATATTGATTCTTCCTACCCATGAGCATGGAATGTTCTTCCATTTGTTTGTCTCCTCTTTTATTTCCTTGAGCAGTGGTTTGTAGTTCTCCTTGAAGAGGTCCTTCACATCCCTTGTAAGTTGGATTCCTAGGTATTTTATTCTCTTTGAAGCAATTGTGAATGGGAGTTCACCCATGATCTGGCTCTCTGTTTGTCTGTTGTTGGTGTATAAGAATGCTTGTGATTTTTGTACATTGATTTTGTATCCTGAGACTTTGCTGAAGTTGCTTATCAGCTTAAGGAGATTTTGGGCTGAGACGATGGGGTTTTCTAGATAAACAATCATGTCGTCTGCAAACAGGGACAATTTGACTTCCTCTTTTCCTAATTGAATACCCTTTATTTCTAATTTTTATTTTTTTAGTAGAGACGGGGTTTCGTCTTGTTGGCTAGGCCGGTCTTGAACTCCTAGCCTCAAGTGCTCCATCTGCCTCAGCCTCCCAAAGTGCTAGGATTACAGGTGTGAGCCACCGTGCCTGGCCCTTTTCTTTGAACTTTAAATGTATCACAAAGTTTATACCTTTTGTGTTTCAATTTTTTTCACTCATTATTCTTGGACGATTCATCCATGTTATTGTGTATAGGAGCTTGTTCTTTTTCATTGCTGTATAGTATTCTGTTGTGTGACTGTACCACCATTTATTTCCACATTCAACCACGACAGGCATTTGGTCATACAAAGTCTACATCTTTTAAGCTTGAAGCTCTGCTGCCACCCGCAGATACCTGCATATCACAGAGTAAACAGGACTTTTTCTCAGAGAGCTGGAGACCAAGGAGGGTGTGAAACACACAAAGCCACAATTACAGAGGCAGGTGCTTTCCCAATTGTAGAGTGGCCTCGAGGTGGCCTGGGTGGTGTATGGTTTGGACACTCTTAATGCCTCTCTTGGAGCACTGCACTTTACAAAGCATTTGCACGGAAGCATCGCACTTCATGTCCCTGACAGCGCTGTCAAGCAGACAGGTGCCCCGTCCCCGCGCAATCAACGAGGAAACTGACTACGACATCCCCAGTGAAACAGAAACAGAGGCAGAGCCTGCACTTGCATCTCCGGATACTAAGTCCTTGGCTGTTTATACCTCGTTCCAGTTGCCTGGTAAATCCAGGGGAGATCTGAGGCCCTGGAGATCCTTTCTGTCCCCTTGCAGGGAACTTGTAGTCTGGGATTTGAGTCTCCCTCTGTGAAGGATTTAAAGGCAAAACAAGTCTCTGATGTTTTTGGAGTGGAAACCTGCTTTCCCTAGAGCCTCACTTTACTTCATCTGCAAAGCAGGGGAGGGTCCCTGCTCCCGGGCAGGGCAAGGGTTGTGGTCACCATTGTCAGTAACAACCCCTGCCTGTGTCTGCCTCGAGTCATCTTCACTGAGCATGGCACTTTCACATTCATCACTGAGATCAACCTGATCTTCATAACAACCGGAGGAGGAAGACAGCGAAGATGACATTTGCCCCATCTTTCAGAGAGGTGAAGCGCCCTGCCCATGATCACACAGCAAGTTAAGGAACCAACAGGGACCCAGGGCTCCTGATTCTCCCGCTGAGAGGATACCCTCCGCTCGATCAGGCGTTGTCCTCTACGAGGTCAACTTCTGTTAGGACATACCCAACTCTGAGGCCGTGGGGCCCTACACACAGGAGCATGGCGGTCCAGCAACGTTAGGGGGCTTCCCCAGGATGCTCAGCAAGAAGGGTTGGGCTGGTGGGAACCCACAGCTCCTGCGTCCTAACCTCTCTGCAGGACAGGGTGGGATGGCAGGGAGACTAGGTGATGAGGGTCAGCAGGGGGTCCCAGGACAGACTGGTTCTCAGGGCAGCCTCCCTGGCAGGGACAGGGGGTTAAAATGGGTTTCTAGAGCCCCTTTTTCTTTTCTGTCAATCACCAGCTGTGCAAGCTCCTCTGAAAGATGGGAATAACACTAGTACCTGCCTCATCAGATTGTCATGAAGATTAAATGGCGTGAGGTAGGTAGAGCAGAGGCCAGCATCTGGCAGGAACATTCACTACTCACCCACTTCCCCACGTGCTCTGCCAAGGAGGGCAGCTTGGGATGAGTGTGTGCCTAGGAACACAGGTCCCCTCCCGATATTCCTGAAGGGACGTGATTTGTAACTGTGAAAAACGCAATCCAACTGTCAGAAGCAGATGGCACCAGCCGGGTAATCTGTGACCTCGGAGTGTCGTTCCTTTGATTCTGTACCAAGACCACTCTGCCGCGTGTGTACCAGGCTGGAAAGTAAAGCGTGCCCCATGGCATACAAGCCACACCCTGCCTGTGGCCTTGCCCGGCAGGAAGGGGGCTGCAGGGGAGCCCCTTTACTGGGCTGTGTGTTTCTGTGGGGGCTGGATCCTGCCCTCCAGGGGGCCACTCTCAGTGCCTGCTCTCTGTGCCCCTGTGAGGTTTATCTGACCAGTGTGCAGGGCTGCCGAGGTCCCTGGATGAGACAGGCATTGGGCAGGAAGCCCCGGGCTTGATGCTGGGCAACACGCCCATGGGTGAGGTCTGGGTAGGGTGTGGGAAAGAGTGTGGGGGGCGGAAGGAAGCTGGACCTGGCCCTGCCTCCGCTCTCACCCTCAGCCAGGCCCTGCCAAGGCTTCCTCCCCCAGGAAGACCTCCTCGGTTCCCTCTCTGCATTGAGGTATGGCCTGCTCCTTCTTCCTCCATCTTTTCTGGAGTCTAAGCTCCCTTCTGACTTTCCCCTCTGACAAAGGGGTTAGATAGAAAAGTGAGAAGTCTCAAATTCTGTAATCCCGAGAGCCCATTCCTCTCCAGACCCCGCTAATACACAGTGCGGACAGAGCGTGTCCAGTCAGGTTCCAGGACAATTTCTGATACAGGATGTGTGGAGAAAATGGGTTACTTAAAGCGCAAATGAAGATTTCTCCTGTGGGGTCCAGAGCTTAGCTGAAGTCCTTCCAGCATCTGGATCCCAAAGAGGGAGGCTGCATGCTGGGGACAAGGGCTGATGTCGGGGATCAGAGAGGCTTCTCTATGTTGAGGTCCAGAGTCGGGCATGCCACGGAGCAGCCACCCCTGGAAATGGGATCTTTCAGCCCAAGAGACCCTCAAAGGCTTTGGGACAGAGAACTCCTTTTTTGAGGTCCTGTTATTCACTGCCCCCCAGTTGTGAGTGAATCTAAAGGGAGGCCTGTGGGGCCCAGCTAATGAGCTCCCTTTCTTCTGGCCAGAGTTTGGGAATCCCAGGGAGCGGGGAGGAGGTTCTACTCCCAGCTTCTCAAGGTAGCCAGAACGACACGTGGGCCCCAGAGCTGGGGACAGAGCTCCCTCTCCAGGCACTTCATTGAGAGCTACTGGGGCTCTAGTCTGGTTTCTGGCTCCTCTGAGGGTGCCCCTGGCATAGGAAGTTGTCTAGGGGCACACTGAGCCCTGGGTGGAACAGGCGTCCTGACCTTGGGATCCATGTTTGTCCTTCAGTGTTCCACAAGCTGCCTGACACCATGGGTGGTCATTTGTGTGTTTTTCTGGGGAGAAGGCCCGCACCTTTAGTCTGCACCTCAGTGCCTCCCATGCCCCTAAAAAAGGCTCTATGCTGGGCTCATGCCTGTAATCTCAACACTTTGGGAGGCTGAGGCAGGCGGATCGCGAGGTCAGGAGATCGAGACCATCCTGGCTGTGGTGAAACCCTGTCTCCACTAAAAATACAAAAATTAGCTGGGCATGGTGGTGAGCGCCTGTAGTCCCAGCTACTCGTGAGGCTGAGGCAGGAGAATGGCGTGAACCTGGGAGGTGAAGTTGCAGTGAGCCAAGATTGCGCCACTGCACTCCAGCATGGCAACAGAGCGAGACTCCGTCTCAAAAGAAAAAAAAAAAAAAGAAAAAGAAAAAAAGAAAAGAAAAGGAAAAAAAAAGGCTCTAGAAGCTCTGGTGCAGTACAAGGCGGGTCTGCCTGGAAGTGTGGTTTCATATTTTGTTGGTTTGCCAGGTTTAGCTGCAGAGAATGCAAGTTCTCCCCACTTCGGAGACCGCGGCTTGGTGACCTGGGGTTTGTGCTTTGTGTCTTCATTGCTGAGCTCCTTGTGCAGTTACTTGTTCTGCTAGAGATTATAGCATTTCTTTCGTCTTCCCAGCTCCTGCAATGAGGTGAGGATGCCTCTGTTCTGAGGAGCCTCAGGTAGGGTGCTGGGGCTTGTTTGATTCAATAGTTGGAGCTGAAATGAATCCGTTATATAGAGAAGAAAGCTGAGTCCCCCCAGGGTCAAGTGACTGACACAGGCCCACATAGCTGGTCCAGACTTAAGGTTCTGGATCCCGGGTCCTTTCATCCTGTTATTCCTCAACCTTCCCTGTTGCTGTGGGAACAACAGAAGGGGCCAGAGAGGGTTAATTCTAGTAATTTTCATGCAGCAGCCGTGTAACCTACTGCACACTGCCATCCTACAAGCATGGGTTCTTGTCCGTGCATTATAGCTGTGGCCCAGAGTGGATGGTTCTGTTGTCTGACCCCAGAGTCCCTGAGTGTCCCACAAAACTATCCTGTTCCTTTGGATTTTCCTGATCTCTTTTTGCATCACCACAGGCTTCTTTGACTCCAGGAACAGCCCATTCATGTCAACCAAAATTCTAAATTCAGCACCTCAGAAGTATGACCAGCAAAACCGATCTGACACTAAGTCCCACTGGCCCCCTACTTTTAGTGGACAAAAAGGCCTCACAGGCTTCGTCTCTCCCAGGAATTTGAGGAGTTCAGAGATGAGGAGAGGGGATTGGACACAGCAAAGCCTGGCCTGGCAGAGAGGGGGGTGGGCGAGCCTCACCCTGAGAAGGTGTTTCTTCCTCCTTATGGCCGTGGTCCTTTTTGATGTTAGATGCTTTTGTTTCCCAGGTGTATGGGGACCTGGGACCTGTGGGTTTTGGAGTGCTTGTCATGACTAGGCCCAGCTTTGGGGACAGGGTGGGGACGACTACTCCCAGGTTCTCAAGAGGAAAAAACTTCTGTACATTTCAGAAATGCAATAGATCTGTTATCAGCTCTACGCACTGCAAAACGCAAGTTCCTTTCTTATTTGATCTGACAGTGAAAAAATTCACAGATGTTTTATTGGAAGGTTAGAAAATAAAAAAGAACCCTTTCTCAGTCCAGGTAGTCTGCCCCCCATCACCTTGGCGTGTCTGCGGCTGTGCTGGGCCTGGGCTTGTGCGTGGATGAGGAGACAAGGCTCAGAGTGGAGCAGGGGGAGGCTCGGAGGCCTTTGCTTTGCAGCCCCACCCGCAGGCTCAGCAGGGTGGGCCCCTGTGCTAACACTCACCCCCACCCTGCCCCTCAGTTCTTGTTTCCATCTACCTTCGTCCCTCTCACCAGTCCCAACGCAGAGGGCCAGGTTTTCTTTAGTTTTCTTAACTACGTCTTTTCTTCTGGTTGGGAAAAATAATATTTACTACCTCTTGTACAGTTTGGAAATACATAAAATATGTAGAAAAAAATTAAATGTGGCTGGACGTGGTGGCTTGTGCCTGTAATCCCAGCACTTTGGGAGGCCAAGGCAGGCAGTTCACCTGGCTGTTGGTCAGGAGTTCGAGACCAGCCTGGTCAACATAATGAAACCACGTCTCTACTAAAAATACAAAAACTAGCCAGGTGTGGTGGCGGGTGCCTGTAGTCCCAACTACTCAGGAGGCTGAGGCAGGAGAATCGCTTGAACCCAGGAGATGGAGGTTGCAGTGAGCCGAGATCACGCCATTGCACTCCAGCCTGGGTGACAGAGTGAGACTCTGTCTCAAGAAAGAAAAAAAATTAAATCAGCTCAGAATCCCACAAGGCAGAGGTCTCCCCAGTAACCACCAGCTGCAGAGGCTGTGTGCCTCAGTTGCGTGCCAGCTGATGACCTCCTCAGCACAACCAGTTAAACCTTTATTTATTTCAGCTTTTCTCTATCTTTATAAAGCTTTTCCCCCCTTCATTGTGAAGATAGCATGCTCATTGGAGACAATTTGGAAAGCACAGAAAGATATTTTCATGCTTCTTTAAGCAAAGAGAGGAAATTTATTCCCATCTCCCCAAACTGCCATCAGCAGTTTGGAGTAGCTCCTGGTCTTTGTGGACTTTTGAAAAAGCACATGTTGTCTGGGCGCAGTGGCTCATGCCTGTAATCCTAGCACTTTGGGAGGCCGAGGCGGGTGAATCACAAGGTCAGGAGATCGAGACCATCTTGGCCAGCATGGTGAAACCCCGTCTCTACTAAAGACACAAAAATTAGCCGGTCGCAGTGGCGTGCGCCTGTAGTCCCAGCTACTCTGGAGGCTGAGGCAGGAGAATCACTTGAACCCAGGAGGCGGAGGCTGCAGTGAGCCAAGATCATACCACTGCACTCCAGCCTGGGCAATAGAGCAAGACTCTGGCTCAAAAAAAAAAAAAAAAAAAAGCATATTTTTTCCAGTTGAGAGCATGTTCTATAGAAGATTCTGGGTCCTGGTTTGTCACGCGACAACAGAGTAACATAAGCATTTCCCATGTTAATACAAACAGCAGTCCTCACGTATGTTCTGGGCTCATGTGCACAGACTCTACCCAGCACTGTGCAGGCACCATCTTGCTCAGTTCTTGAGAAACCTTATGAGGCAGGTGTGGTTATTAATTTTGCAGACAAGGAAGCCGAGCTGACCTCATCTGAGGTCTGAGAGCCAGGGAGCAACAGGGGATTGGCGTCGAAGGCTCAGCCAGCTTAGATCCCTGCTCTTAATCACTAGGTTATCTCTCCTGTGAATTTTTAGTGACCTTTCTAGTTTTGTATAAAACCAGAAAATGACCTTTGTTAAAAATTCAGGAATTACTGAACAGCATAAAGAATATTCAGAATCCTATCACCCAGTGATATTTATTCTGGCAATTGGCAGTTTCTTGTGCATAGTCTTCATATTTTTATAGTTGATGTTATCCTAACCTTTCAGTTTCGAATGTGGTGTTTTTTAAATTTATTTTTGTATGTATTTCCCAAGTCATTAGTTCCTCTTGGCAAAACATAATGTTTATTGATGGTTTGTCCGTCCATTGAGTGGTCGGTCTTGATGGGTGTAATCACTTCCCTGAGGTTGGGCTTTCAGGCTGCGGCTCTCTGAAATAATAAATAATTTAGGAATCAATACGTTTCTGCACAAAATGGTTTGTGTATTTCTGACAATTTCTTTAGGCTGCGCATATTCCCAGGAACTGAATTGCTGGGTTGAGGGTTTTTACAGTTCTTAACTTATATTGCCAAATTATTTTCCAGATGGTCCGTAACTCTTTACTCTTCAATTAGCAATACCCTGTTTACTCCTAACTAGATGAATATGTGACCTTGTTTTAGTTTGCACTCCTTTTATTTCTAATGAAGCTGAATTTCTAAATGTGTTTATTGGTCACTGGTGAGTCTTCTTTTGCGCACTGTCTAAAGCAGTGCTTTCCAATCAAGCTTTCTGCAATGATAGAAATGGCCTGTATCTTCCTGTTTAATAGGGTCCACGTGGCCTATATCTGCCTGTCCAGCAGCAACCAGCCAAATGTGTCCATTGAGTACTTGAAATATGGCTAGATAACTGAGTAAAATTTAAATTTAATTTTATTTAAATTTAGACTTAATTTACCTAAGGTTTTAATTTAAACTTGATTTTAATTTAATTTACCTAAGATTTTAATTTAAATCCTAAATTAATTTAAATTTAAATAGCCACATGTGGCTAGTGGCTACTATATTGGATAGCACACTCCTAAGCCTTTCCCCAGTTAGGCATTTGGGTCTCAGTGGGTGATTTATATTGATTTGTATGAGCTCTTTATTTATGATGGCTACTAATCTTTTTTATGTTTGTTGCAAAGATTTTACCCCACTTGCTATTTGACCTTTTTTGTTCAGGTTGTTTACAGGGTATCAAAATGTTAGGTAGCCAAATCTAGTGATCTTTTTTTTGTGGTTTCTCCCATAGCTTTAGGGTTAGAAAGTCCTCCCCCACACAGAGGTTTGATAAATACTCTCATCAACTTTTTTCAAGTCTTTCTGTGATTTTTTTTTCCTTTAGCTCTTTAATCCACCCAGAGTTAATTTTGCTGTGTGCTATGAGGTACAGCGTGTCTTAGTCACCTCTCTGCTTGGTGCAGAATATGTACCGAGTATATTTTATCTTAGATGGGACAGTTGGGTGCTCTGCTGGTTGGGTTTGGGTGGGTGGTAGGTAAGCAGGATGAAATTAGATAGTAAGTAAACTACTGCTATTTAAAATATTGATCTCTTTTTAAATTTTGTTGTTTATGAAGACTTTAATGACAAAAGAAAATGAATCTGATACAGTGTTGTTTTCAAAGAGAGATGCAAAATCACACCTACAATGTAATATGAACCATGTTTATAAACGCAATTAAAATATTGGAAGAAATATCCCAAAATACTAATGGTAATTGTCTCTGGGGGGTTGGTATTTTTTTTCCTGCTTCTTAACAATTCTATACTTCCCCAGTTGACTACAGTAGTTTTGATTATCTGAAATATTATTAAATACAGCATTTGGAGAAACAATGCATGATCACTTCCTACCTCTAACTCCCCACAGCCGTCATCCACCAAGTCTGCAATTCGCACAGCCACGCTCTGTGCTTAGGGCAGGCGAGTTGGCAGGGAAGGGTCCTCCCTGGCTTTCAGTTCAGGCTGGGACTGGAATTCCTTTGTAGTCACTCACAGCATGTGAGTTTCTTGGGCAAGTGATAGAACTCAGGACTGTTTCCTCATTCCTAAAATAAATATTGTAACAGCTTTGCACAGGGCCAGTGAGGATATGTTTCTTTGTTAATTATATAGGCGTGTGCACACACACACACACACACACACACAGTATATGTATGTGCAAAACTGCAGATATCATCAAGACGCATTCAAAGAGCACCAACTTACATTTATTTTATTTTATCTTATTTCTTGCTTTTTTCATTATTGAAATATGTGAAGGATATCTTTTATTTTTTTTCAATTTGACCAACATACATTTTTAAATAGCAACATTCCATCTTCCTATCACTCCCACCGACCCCACTCCTCAGCTGTAACCACCACTAAAAATTTGATCTGAATCTTTATTTATTTATTTGTTTTACAAAATGGAAATGGGATAATATTATACTGATTATTATATAATTATTTCTTTTTTTCCACTTTCCAATAAATTGTGTGTGACTTTCCATGTTGATACAGGCAGATTTATGTCATTCTCTTTAATATCTGCACAGCCATCCATAACATGAATGTGCAATAATTTTTTTTTGAGATGGGGGTCTTGCTATGTTGCCCAAGCTGGGCTCAAACTCCTGGCCTCAAGCAATCCTCCCACCTCAGCCTCCCGAGTAGCTGGGACTACCATGATTTATTTTATCCTTCTTTATCATTCATCAACAATTTGTCTGCCTGTTACAAGGAGAGCACAGCAAACATGTCTTTAGGCACCTGTGTTTAGTATCTTGTAGGATGGATTTCCAGATATGATGCTGCTGCATGGATATGAACATTTAAAAATATTGAAAGATAATGCCCAAGTTGTTCTTTTAAGAAAGCTGAACCATTGACATTATTACTGTCAAGGAAGAAAAGCTTTGATTACCTTCCACGTCCTCAATTCTGAATGTTACCAATATTTTTTGACTTTTACTAATATGGTAGGTATAAAATATCATGAGTTTTAAATTTTTATTACTTTAATTAGTAGAGAGATTGAACACTTTTTAAATATGTTTTGCATCCACAAAACATTTGTGTTTCTTCATTGGTTATCTATTCATATTCTTTACCTGTTTTGGTGGGGGTTGTCAGTCCTTTCCTGGTGGATTTGTAGGTGCTCTTTATATATAATGGATATTAATCCTTAGTCTGTTGCATGTGTTGAAAATATTTTCTCCCAGACTGTCATTTGTTTTCTACTATTTATTTTTTATGATATCTTCCACTATTCATACATTTTAAATTTTCATGGGGTCCAAATTCTTTCTCTTCAGGATTTTTAGTTTTTATACTATGCTAAGAAAGACATTTTCCACATTCAAGTTATAAAAAATTTTTCCCCTATATTTTCTTCTAGTGTCTTTTTTTATTACACAAATCTTTAATCCAATTGTACTTTATTTTTGAGTAGGTGTGAGATGTGACTTGTTTTAATTATTTAAAATTAACTCTAAAGTTTTTTATTTTTCAGTTTGTTTTCCCCAAAAAGAGAACAGCTGCTTCAACATCACTTTTTGAAAATTCCAGGTTTCCTTCCACTGCTTAGGATTAGCACTACATCATTGAATTTTAAAATAAATGAGATGAATTTCCTTTTCTGAATTCTTCCTTCTTTTCCATTAATTAATCTGTTCCTAAAATGGTATACCCAGTTTTAAATTGTGTAAATCTTTAGATTGAACTATAATCTTATTATGGGAAAGGACATTACTCGTCTGCTTCTAACACTTCTTAGCTATCCTTCTTCATTTTCAAATAAATTTGTCAGATCTCCCCAACTCCCCCCAATCCCATTAGATTTAAAGTTCAGTGAATTTCTGGATTGATTTGAAGTAGAATCAACATGTTTACAATATTGAGCCTTTCCACCAAGGATCTGATATTAGACTAAATACAGTTTATTCTCTTGGGTTCAATTTCCCCATTGGTAAAGAGAGGAGGTTGGATTCGATTTGAAGTTTCCTTCAGGCTCTATAATGAAAATCAACAATAACAGCAACAATGATGACAGCAGTCATTATCAGGCCTAAAGCCAGGCTGGACACGAGGGGAGAAAGCTATGGAAGACATAATCCCCATTCCCCAGGAGTTTTTCATCCAGAGGGAAGATGTAGCATGTATGAGAAATTTTGACCCAAATGTTCAGTTAATGTGTTTCAGATTCATGGGCAGAAGTAGATTTTTTAAAAAGAAAAAGCCATTAATAAATGGCTGGAGGGAGCTGCAGCTGTCAATCTGGCCAAAAACATTGTTGAGAATGCTTTGTGCGTGGAAACTTTTTTCACTATTTTTAGTGAAATCAAAATATGAAAAAAGGGAAATAAATTTAGTAAAAATAAAAATAACAATGGTGCCTGTATCTAAAAATTCCTAGCCCACCCCACACCTTATTTTAGTGGCTTTCTATTTTTATTTTGTATTTTTATTTTTCTTTGAGACAGAATCTTGCTCCGTCACCCAGGCTGGAGTCCAGTAGCACGATCATGGTTCAATGCAATCTCTGCTTCCTGGGTTCAAGTGATTCTCCTGCCTCAGCTTCCTGAGTAGCTGGGATTACAGGTATGCACCACTACGCCTGGCTAATTTTTGTATTTTTAGTAGAGATGGGGTTTCACCATGTTGGACAGGCTGGTCTTAAACTCCTGGCCTCAAGTGAACCACCCTCCTCGGCCTCCCAAAGTGCTGGGATTACAGGCGTGAGCCACTGCGCCCAGCCTTTCTATTTTTAGTGACCAGCTAGTTTGGCTGAGTGTTTGCCTCTGACACAGTAAGAATGTGTCCAGGCTTGGACTCAGAGCTTCTCAGGATCAGATGAAACCTTGGAGACCAAACTCTATCGTGCGGATCAGGAAAATGAGTCCCAGAGAAGGGAAGGGACTTCCCCAAGGTCACACAGCAAATTAGAGGCAGGAGGACTCCTGAAGGCGCTGTGGGTGCCTTGTGGTTTATCCTGTTTCCCTCCTGGCCTCTGGAATTTGGGGCACAATTCTTCTCTGTCAGGGACAATTGCAACCCTGGCCGCCCCAACTCCCAGATGGGGAGCATGAGGGTCGATGGAGGGTCTGGTGGGTGGGGAGTGGGGACTGTGCCCCAGTAGAGCAAGCTGCTACCACTTCCTGCTGATTCAGGCCTCTTGGGAAGCCCTGACTTTTATCGCCAAAACTCCCCGTGGTGCACCGTACGTGAGGCCTGGAGCCCTGGCTTCGGATCCCGGATTGGATTCTGACCTGAGCCTGAGCAAGTCTTCTCTCTCTGGGCCTGCAGAAAGAGGACACCTGAGCAGATGGCTTCCATGTCTTCCTACCAGGGTTCCCGCCCACTGGAGCCAGCTGGGCTGTTTTATGGTGTCTGCCAAGGGTTGGGTCTTCAGCTCTGTGTGTCCATCCTGGTGGTCTGGGTGTGACCACAGTCCGAGTGTGTGTGATGGAAGGTGATGGTTTGGCAGTGGTGACTGAAGTGGGCTCCAGGGTCGTGGCAGAAGATCAGGGAGGAGGGGCACAACAGCCTCACAGTCACGCTCACTGTGAAGCCATCTTGATGCACCGAGAGGCCCATCTCCCAGAAGTGCCCAGCCCCCTGGCATCTGGCCACATGCACAGGGGACCAAGCTGTGCCCAAAGAGAGCTAAGTCTCCCAAGTGACTCAGTCTAACAGAAGTCCTTGACTGGTGTCCTCACCTGGCAGGCGGGGAGCTGGCGGAGAATGGGACTTGGGCCTTATGATCTGAACTCCTGTGGACTGGCCCTCACCCTCTAAAGGCAGGAGACTGAAGCCCAGCAATATTGTCATCACCTCCCTCTGGTGAGACTGCCCCAGGCGGGCCCCACTTCTTCCCAGAAGCTGACTCCCCCTTCCTCTGCACGATGAGGAGGAGTCCTCTGGCTTGTCTAGTAACCAGGCCTCAGGCATTCCCGACTCAGTCTTTCCCTCTTCTCTCTCTTTAAAAATAGCTTCTTTGTTTGGAACACAGCTGCACCTCCACCCGCTGAGAAGCCCAGCTCACGTTGAAGACATTTCTTTCCAAAGTAGTAACATAGGTCATCTTTGCGGATGGCTCATTCATTCATTCATCCTTTCGCTTAATAAGCGAGTACTAAGCACCTGGCCTGGGCTGGGCACCCTGAGTACAAAGTGGATAGAACACAGTCCACCTCATGGATCCAGATTCTACCTGGAAGCCTGGCTTTCCTTTGCTGGTGGCTGTAAGGGGTTTGGTAAGGGGTTTCCTCCAGGCTGTTGGGGACCTGCCCAAACATTCCTTAAAGAGCAGTGGGATCCTATCTGGAGGCCCTGCCATGGGTGTGGCCCTGGAGACCTGCAGGGGAATCCATGGGTCGAGGCCACCTGCTGGCTCTTGCTTCAGACCCTGTCCCCTAAAGCAGGACCGGCTCCATCCCCACAAGGCCCACTGGGCATGTCCCACTCGCAGGCCTCTTCTGCCTGTGATCACCGGCTTTTGGTTAATGGCAGTGACAGTGCGGCTGAGCCCTGGTCACCGTGAGGGCCACACTGCCCTGTCAGTCAGGGTGGCCCCCTGAGTCACGTTCACATTTGCTGAAGGAGCCTCTAGTCCTCACCTCTGGTGGGTGTCTCTCCTCCCTCAGAGCCGCCACCACCACCAGCTCTGCAGGAAGTGGTTCTTTTCTCTCTGTTTCTCCCCCCTCAGTCACACACAGAGGCTTGGATGGAGGTGTCAGGCCCTCAGCTTCGGAGGCTTAGAGGCTGCCTTCAGTGGGCAGGTGCTGGGTCTGGCTGGAGAGAGGGCCCTGGTGGGCTTGGCCCATCGGGGAAGTCTCTGGAGCATTTAAATTTGTTTTTCTAAAATGCATGCACCTTTACTGTTTTATTTACTAAAAATATTGATATATGCTAGTCGTAAAATTATTCATAGTGGAACAGGAATGAAAAGAAATTAAAAACTGTGTAATCAAAAACTCAGCTGAATGTAAGAAAACCCAGTTCCCCTTGAGGAAGAGAAAGGGCTGGAGTCCTTTAAAATTAACTGCCTGTTTTTCTTTCTGTGGCCAGTGAGACTTATCTCTCCCTTTCCCAGGCATTGTGAAGACTCTGTTTCTCTAGCTGTGCAGCTTCAAGGTCACTTGACAGATAATCTCAAGTCGTAAAACATGTTGTTCCTTAAAAAGTAAGAAATGATGTAATGCATGTCTCAGTTGAATAACTGTCTTTGTTTCTCACTTCTGTAATATGCTTCCCTCTGCACAGATTACCCCCCCCGCCCCCGCCCAACAAAATGCTTAAAAGGTAACCGGACTCTTTGTTTGGGGCTCAGTCCTTTGGATGTTAATCCGACTGGTTTGGTGCACCTAAATAATTACATAATTCTTCCTCAACCCCTCAGTCTCTCTGATTCCTTAATTATCCCACAGCAATAGAATACAGAAAAGAATGAAAAAGAGAGTGAGCTCCCTCTAGGCTCACTAGCAGCAGTCACCATTACTGCACCTGATATACTTCCTCCTAGACACTTTTTTTTTCTTTGAGATGGAGTCTTGCTCTGTTGCCCAGGCTGGAGTGCAATGGTGCGATCTTGGCTCACCGCAAGCTCCGCCTCTCGGGTTCATGCCATTCTCCTGCCTCAGCCTCCCTAGTAGCTGGGACTACAGGTGCCCGCCACCACACTCAGCTAATTTTTTGTATTTTTTAGTAGAGATGGGGTTTCACCGTGTTAGCCAGGATGGTCTCAATCTCCTGACCCTGTGATCCACCCACCTCGGCCTCCCAAAGTGCTGGGATTACAGGTGTGAGCCACCACGCCTGGCCCTAGACACTTTTCTTTGCAAACACGTACATTTAAAAAAAACACACACACACGAATGGGCCCATACAACACAGAATTTTAGGCTCAATGTCATTGCCGGCTTTCCGAGTTAGGAAATGTAGGTGCACATTCATTGTTTTCAAGGGAGTCATGGCGTATAAATCCCATTCCCCTATCTGGGGACACTGAGAAGGTTTCCATTGTCCTCCTCTCACCAGCACTGCTCTGCCAAGCACCCCGTATAGCTAACCCTCACTGTTCTGTGTACACTCTTTCCCTGATGGCTTTGCAATAAACCTCTAGGTGTAGGGCTATGGGGTCATGGGGACATGCACTTAAAAAGCTCAGGGTATTATTGCCTCCTGTGTTTTCAGCAGAATCTGCTTTAGGTTGGTTGAGGGGAACCCAAACAGAATCCCCTTCTGTCCTCCCAGGCCCCCTTGAACCCTTTAATCCCTTCTGCACCCCCTCCCCAGTCCCAGTCTTCTTGTTGCTGGTGGACTCATTTTCCCCTGTTGCAAGAGCCTCACTGGTTTTGTCTGTCCTCCATCCAGCACCGTCGTTGTCATCACGATTGGCTTGCAGTGCTGGCCTGGAGGAAGCAGGTGGTAGGGACAGGGTGAATCTGAGCAATGACCAAGCTTGCTGTCAGGATGGGTGTTCTCCTCCCTTCTAAGCTGTGTGTCTTTGGGCTGTTGCCTGGCTCTCCCAGCCTACGCAACAAGGATGCTGAAACCTTACAGGGCTTCAAAGCTATTTGTACATTGTCAAAGGCAGGGCAGATGTGAGGGAGACAGATGATGAAGGAGGCAAGAGGCATCTTGAGGCTTGGAACTGATGGATCTCTTGTTCCCACCACTAAGGGGACACAGGGACCTGCTGGAGACACACTGGGTACCTGGAGTTCTGCCCTGAGGGGGGCACTGAGGGGCCAGAAGAAAGGGGGAGAGCTTTGCTGTCAAGCCTGTGGTTCCAGAGGGAGGTCACTGATCCTGATTCATTCACTTATTCAATAACTTACTAGGTGCCTGCTATGCACGAGGCACTGTCCTTGGTGTTGGGAGACATGGCAAGAACAAAACAGACCCCAAACTTTCCTGCCCTCATGCTCCTTACAGTCTAACCTGGGGCAACTGACAATGAACAAAATAAATAAGTAAAAATATATTGTGTGTCCAGTGGCAATAAATGCTACGGAAGAGACTAAAACAGGAGAAGAGAAGGGGGAAGGGGGAGGGAGGGGTGGCGATTTAAATAGGGCTGTCCAGGAAGGCTCCACCCAAGGCGAGGAAGGGAGTTGAGGGCTCTCCAGGGGAAGAGCCTTCCAGCCCAGGACCAGCAAAGGCCCTGAGGCTGTCCAGTGTGTCCGATGGCCAGCGTGACCCAAGTGGTGTGAGCAGGTAGAGCAGTAGGCTGTGAGGTGGGAGACGTCATGGGTGCCTTTTACATGGGATCACTCCACATCCAGCAGGGAGAACACCCGGAAGGGAATGAGGGCAGGAAGCAGGAAGGCAGGTGAGGAGGCAGAGAGGACGGTGGCCAGGATCAGGGCGGTCGCAGTGGAGGGGGTGGGAGGTGGCCAGAGTCTGACTACATCTCGAAGGCAGAACCCATAGGATTTCTGGCTGGATTGCAGCTGGGATGTGAGAGAAAGAGGAGTCACAGGTGACACCACAGTTTTTGGCCAGAGCACCTGGAAGGATGGAGAAGCCCTGTCTTGAGATAGGGATGGTCAGGAGTTTGCTTTTGGCCATATGACACTTGAGATGCTCTCGGACACCCAAGTGGAGATGCTGAGCAGACAGGGCTGGGTATGAGTCTGGGGCCCAAGGTGGGTGGGGAGAAAGAGAGAGAGAGAGAGATCCAAGCTGGGAACATATTGGTGTTACCACGGTGGATTGGGAGGGATGGGGGTCGTTGGCAGCAGCGCACGTGAAGTCACTGCCACTGCCTGGCCTTTCTCTGCCCCTCAGTCGTGCCTCAGAGAAGAGAGGCAGACATATCTGCCCCGGAGCCCACCCAACTTGGCCCGCCTGCCATTCCCCTCCCCACCTCCCCTCCTGCCTTCCTTTCGTAGTCACCTGTTGTCTAAGTGTGGGCTGGGGGAGGGCGTTGCTGTTTTGGGTTCTCTCTGCCCCCCACTGAACAGAGGAGAGTGCACGGGAGGCCATCAACGCCAGCCCCATCAATCTCGAAAACTAGGTCACGCTGGAGCCTGGGGCCTCCACACTGGGCTCCAGCCACATCTGTCATTGACCTGAGACTCATGCATCCCTGCTCCTGGCAGGCACCATCTGTCACCCACAGCTCCTCTGTCTGTGCTCAGGATGCAGAATGGCCGACTCCTTTGCTGGTTCCAAGCACAGGCCATGGAAAGGGGCCTTGTGTTCATTGCATTTTTCACAGAGAGACTTATTCCCCAGGCTGACTGTCCACTGTGACCACCAGGAAGTTCAGTGGGTTTGCAAGGGCCCCAGTCTCCTATTTCAAGCTATCCTCCTGCCTGGGCCTCCCAAAGTGTTGGGATTATAGGCATGAGCCACTGTGCCCAGCCATAATCAGTGCTTCATACCATCAGATCTGGTATGTGGATTGAAACCTGTTTGTTAACTCGGATCTACACAGAGCCAAGCAGTACAAGAACTTGGAAACTTGGTTGAGTTTTTTAATCTTTTATCCAGGTTTTATCCAGGTTTTAACCTAGATGCTCACTGGGTAGAATTTAAGAGCTCAGGGAAGATTCAGAACCCAGGCAAAACTGTTTCTGGCTGAAGCTTTTCGTCATTTGATCAAGCATATGTAAGGTTAGCTCTGAAAAAGAAGTGTAAACACTGTTAATGATTTTTAAAAATGTAAAACTTTTTTTATATATATTGCATGCACACACACGCCCACACACCCACACACACATACACCGTGTAACCTCCACCCAGCTCAAGATCTAGAACATTTTCATCCCCCATTAAGGTTCCCTAGAGCCTCTCCTATCAGCCGCCCCCTCCCACCAAGAGCTAAGCACTGTTCTGGTCTCTCACTATGGGTCTGTTCTCCAGCTTTCCGTAAGTAGTGTTTTGAATTGCAGCGTATGGACTCTTCTGTGCCTGGCCTCTTCAGCTCCTCATTATACCCATGAAATTCATCCGTGTTTGAGTGTAGCAGGAGTTCCTGCTTTTTAGTTGCTGTGTTGTGCTTTATTGTATGAATACCACATTTTTTTAGTGCTAATGATTTTACTTAAGCAACCTGAAGACGTAGATACTGTGTCTTTTTCAGGATTGTAGCCACAGAGCCTGGCACGGACTTTGTCGAATGAATGAATGAATGAATGAATGAATGAATTGCATTATTGCTCTTACTTTCAGTGGGCTTTAGCCGGGGCTGGGTTCTATCCTCACAGTGTGGCATTGTCACCATATTCATAGACTGCCTCTCGGTCATGCTGGGCTTCTCTATCGAGGGCCTAGTAGTTGCTCATGAAAAGCTCTGGGGAGGACCTCTGGTCCGCAGTCCCTGCCCCACCCCTGCTCTGGCCAGGGCCTGTCCTCTCTATCAGCCCCGTGGCAGAGCACCACCTTGTTATAATCCTGGTTCTGGGGTTGCTTGAGCAATTAACTGATGTGAGCCCTTTCCTTACCTTGGGGAAAGGGATGGAGACATTCCTGTATCGTGTAACCTGAAGTCATCAATGCTTGCTGCAGGGGGGAGGTGCCCAAATCAGAGAGAGGGACTGGACCCAGAGCCCCGCTGTGTGACAGTGGCCACACCACTGCCCTCTCTGGGCCTTGCTTCCCTCAGCACAGAGAGCCTGGCTTTGTCTCACTTCGAGTTCTTTCAGGGCTTTGGTTCACCTTTGCCACAGTTGGCTTGGGAGCCTGTAGGATGGGACAGGTGGGTGATGTTCCAGAATGTTCTGCCTCTGTTAGCTGTTGGGATGGGCCAATGGATCCCGAAGCTGCGGTCCCAGAGTTGCCTCTCCTGGCAGAAACCTGTTGCTCAGCCACGCATGTTGCCGATTGGGCCACATCCCCCAGCTCTGCCCCGGCCCTCGTCTTTGATGGTGAAATGTGAAATCAGGAAGCGGCGAGCTCTTGAGTGAAGTTGTATCGAAATGAATCCATCAAGGCAAATGGGATCTTGATTTTTCTTCTGTTCCGTGGTTGCTGTTTCCTGAGTTGGAAACGCGAAAGGTGACAGGGTGCTTTCAATAGAAAACGGAGTGAGATGGATGATGGAGTGAACGTGGAGTGGGCATGCGAACATGAGGCCCTTGGTGGGGAAACGGGTGCCTCCGACAGGCACTGCACCTTCCAGCTGCGTGCACTGAGGCTGGTCTACGCAGGCCAGACATCTGGGGGGGCCCAAGTGAAGAGAGGCAGAATGTCTAGGTCAAGTTTGTCCAACCCGCATCCCAGGACGGCTTTGAGTGTGGCCCAACACAAATTTGTAAACTTTCTTAAAACATTACGAGATTTTTGTGTGTGTGAATTTTTAGCTTATCAGCCATCGTTAGTGTCAGTATATTTCTTTTTTCTTTTCTTTTTGTTTTGTTTTGTTTTGAGATGGAATCTCACTCTTGTCGCCAGACTGGAGTGCAGTGGCGTGATCTCAGCTCACTGCAACCTCTGCCTCCTGGGTTCAAGGGATTCTCCGGCCTCAGCCTCCCGAGTAGCTGGGATTACAGACGCCAGCCATCATGCCCAGCTACTTTTTGTATTTTCAGTTGAGACGGCCAGGCTGCATGTTGGCTAGGCTGGTGTTGAACTCCTGACCTCAGGTGATCCGCCCGCTTTGGCCTCCCAAAGTGCTGGGATTACAAGCATGAGCCACCGCGCCCTGCCGTGTCAGTGTATTTCATGCGTGGCCCAAGATAATTCTCCCAGTGTGGCCCACGGAAGCCAAAAGCTTGGACAACCCTGGCCTAGGTGTTTTGTCTACACAGTAACAAATATGCAACACGCATATGACTGCTCTGTGTGCTCCCGACAGCATCTCTACTCCATCATAGTATGCGTGTCTGCTGAGTTCAGACGCGGCTCAGACTGATTCTCTGCATAATCGGTGTTTCTTTTTCTTTTCTTTCTTGCTTTCTTTTTTTTTTTTTTTTTTTCGAGACAAGGTCTCACTCTGTTGCTCTGGCTGGAGTGCAGTGGCACAATAATAGCTCACTGCAGTCTGAACCTTCCAGGCTCAAGTGATCTTCCCACCTCATCCTCCCGAGTAGTTGGCACCCCAGGCACACACCACCATGTCCAGCTAATTATTATTATTATTATTTTTTTTTGTAGAGACGGGGTCTCGCTATGTTGCCCAGGTTGGTCTCAAACTCCTCGGCTCAAGCAGTTCTCCTGCCTTGGCCTCCCAAAGTACTGGGATTACAGGTATGAGCCACAGTGTCCGGCCATAATCAGTGTTTCATACCATCAGATCTGGTACATGGATTGAAACCTGTTTGCTAATTCCAGTCTACATGGAGCCAACCACTATGAAAACCTGGAAACTTGGTTGGGTTTTTTAGCTTTTATCTTGGTCTCTGGCTTGATTGAATGTAGATGCTCATGGGGTAGAATCTGAGCGCTCAAGACACGACCACCCAGTGCCTCCTGAAATATCACTGTTAGTCACTCCTTAGGGTGCCCTTTCAAAGTAGGAAATGCGGGAATCTTTTTGAATAGCACCTTCGTGTGGATTTTATAGCCTAAGAAAGGGTCCTGGGATAGCAGCAGAGCTGGGAAACTTTGGGAAGGGAGAGAAGGAAAGATGGAGGGCTCGACCCTCTCTGCAGACTTCCAGCCGGGGGACCAGCCCTGGATTGAAAAACAGGCAAGTGGCCAGGCGCGGTGGCTCACACCTGTAATCCCAGCACTTTGGGAGGCCGAGGCAGGCAGATCACCTGAAGTCAGGAGTTTGAGGCCAGCCTAGCCAACATGGTAAAACCCTGTCTCTACTAAAACTACAAAAATTGGCTGGATGTGGTGGCACGTGCCTATAGTCCCAGCTACTCAGGAGGCTGAGGCTGGAGAATCACTTGAACCTGGGAGGCGAATGTTGCAGTGAGCAGAGATCACGCCACTGTACTCTAGCTTGGGCAATAGAACGAGACTCCGTCTCAAAAAAAAAAATATAGTAAAATAGGCAAGCAATGATGAAGAGGACACATAGCAACAGGGCCTCTCACATCCACAGGTCACTTCCCAGTGTACAAAGCGCTCTCATTTAAAAGATGAGGAGACAGACACAGAGAAGCTCAGCCAGGCATCAGTGCCACACAGCAAACAGGCAGAATTGTCAAATGTGACCCTAACACCCAAGACCTTTCCACAGCTGAGTGAAGTGTTGTCATAGATCTCCTAGTTGTCAAATTACTTTCCTGCTTTTTTTTTTTTTTTTTTGAGACAGAGTCTCGATCAGTTGCCCAGGCTAGAGTGCAGTGGCGTGATCTCGGCTCACTGCAACCTTCGCCTCCCGGATTCAAGCAATTCTCTTGACTCAGCCTCCCGAGTAGCTGGGACTACAGGCGCCCGCCATCATGCCTAGCTAATTTTTTATTTTTGTAGAGACAGGGTTTCACCATGTTGGCCAGGTGGTCTTGAACTCCTGACCTCAGGTGACCCGCCTGCCTCGGCCTCCCAAAGTGCTGGGATTACAGGCGTGAGCCACCACCGTGCCCCACCCTTTTCCTGCTTCTTTCCTGACCACACCATCAGCAGGTCTGTAACTGCTGCTTCTCTGCAGCGTCCCAGAACTAAGCACGTGAATGGCACACGTGAAATAGAAACATGATGTGTCTTTCTCACTCGTGGTCCATGGGGCTTGGCCCCATCTCCCCAACTGGAGGGAAGCTTCTCGTGGCACCATGATCTCGGGCTGTCCCCTCTGCCCACCTCCAGCCTTCCTAACAGTGCTCCATGGTTCAGTGTGGCTTCAAGTTGAAAACATGGTGGGCAGGAGAGGTTTTGGGGGCTGGGAGTAAAGTGAAGTGGTTGACCTGGCCACTGTTTTTTAAGCCTCTGCGACTGGTTTGGTTTAACACTGAAGTGGAATCTGTGTATTAAATGCTGTAATGCCTTAAAATTAACTCCCCCGAGAGCATCTGCCTAATTTTTCTCCTTTGGCTCTATGTAAGTTGCCTTGGCAGGGTCTCTGCGAATCTTAGTCTTCCATATGAAAAAGTACTGCTTGCTAAGTATAGCTTATATCCTGAGCCCCAGGGAGAAAATAGAGAAAAGATTTCCGGTAAAATCAACCTCCGTAGAAGTTCAGTAGAGGGACCTCTTCACACTTGCCCCGGTTCTGATCCTGCATGAACAGTACTTTATCCTCTCCTCCTCTTCCCTGCTGCAGTCTTATGCTCCATGCAGTCCCTCTTCCAGGGAGCTGCTGGACTCATCTCCACGCAGTAGGAGTCTGGCTGCATCACCACTGCCCTCCTCTTACTGGAAACGCTTCAGTCCAAGTTCTGTAGCTCTGTGCCCTGACTCTGCCCTGTCTCACACACACCAGGCAGGTCACGTTGGTGGATTAATGGGACTGGATGAAGGGGACATCAGGCAGTGGAAGTGGCTGTACGGAAACAGGGTGAAGGCTACACCCCATCTAAAGAGAACCAACCCAACTCTGATTATTGCCATGGAAGAATATGGCCTCCATGTTTCCAGATCCTGATTGTTCAACATAATTTTGGGAATCTGAGTTTTTATATGAAATAGCCTAATTTTCAAGCGTTGGTTTATATATATATCTTAAAACACTATATGGGCCATCAACAAAGCGTGTCTGTGGGCCACACACCCACATGTTGGGACCACTTTTGCCCTTTGCTGTGTGGCCCCAAGATGTTGGCAGCTCTCCATAAATGCCATGCCCTTTCCTCTCTGTGACTTTCTCCGTCCTGATCCCTACGCTGTCTTTGGCAGGTCAGCTTGTCCTCATATAGTGCTTGTAACAGCTATGTGACTTTGGGCCAGTTACTCACCATCCTGATGCCTCAGTTCCCTCCTCTATGAAGTGGGAATAAGGGTGACTGGGAAGAATACGTGAGTTAACAAATGCAAAGTGTTAGAAAACGCTGCACATATTGTTCATCAGTGTCATCATCGTCATCATCCTTATTATTGTCCTCCATCTAGTCTTGGCTGTCACCTCTGAGATGCCTGCCTAGACTCCTTGAAAGCAGGCTGTCCCCACCCCACCCCAATTCTGTAACACCCCAATCCCCACAGCCATCTCACTGCATTATCTGTTGGCTTCTCAGTACGCCCTGGACTGTGGGCACCTTGAGAGGAGGAATATCTTTCTGTCCATACACAACTTCGAACAAACACTTGGCCCAGAAGAGGCCTCCATAGAGGCTTACTAAGTGGATGCACCTTTCATGAATGGTGGTCTGGAAGCCTGATACCACTTGATATTTCCATCCAGATGTTATTGTTACCACCCAGGCCAAGAATGTGCTTCTTCTGGAGGCACAACAAGGTGGGGCTTGTCTGGCTGCACCACAGCATAATATCTATCCCTCCTCACAGCTCTGCTCTCTGATGGAAGCAAGGAAACAGGAAGTGAAATTGACAGGCACTGACCAACCTGGTTTCACATCAGGGGTGAATGAAAAGGACGAGCCCCCCTCCCTAGGGTGGGGCGGGAGGGAGGTGGGAGTGGGGGTGGGGATGGGACATGAGTCATGATGTGTCACTGAGATTTTTTTGGATGCATTTTTCAGTTTCAAAAGCATGAGGCGTTATTACTATGGGTTGAGAACCTGGAGTGCCAAATGACTGTGTCCCAAACAGGATGGCGCAATTGGTGTCTGGTAAAGTACCTGGGAGTTTTCTTTGTTCCAAGTGGGGTTTGTGGCTCAGCACAGGGGCCTTACAGTGATGTTATGGTCCCCATACAGTAGCGATCCGGAAGATCTGTGCCCTGACTAATTCTTCTGCCCTTGAGCTGGTGTTTAAAAGAAAAAAAAAAACCCTCTGTGGTCGCAACCAAGATGTAATGATAGACTTTGAGCCCCGAGAGTCTCACCCAGCCTACTCCGGCACGTTTTGGGATGCTGCGAAACTGAATTGAGGTGCCTGTCATCATAAGAGAACTGAACGAGTGGGGGTAAGAATTAAGATCAGCAAGAGCTGTGTTTCTCGCTGGTTGTACAAACAGGCACTTGCCGGAAGCTGCCTCAGTGGGAACAAGGTGGAGCTTCATGAGGGCCCTGTTGAGTCTTTGCTGGGAATGATGGAGGTTTTTTCCATTTTCTCATTTTCCATTACTCTAATATGGTTATAACCTGGGACTTTTTGTGTGTGGGGTCCTGGAAGGATGTTTGTGATATTCAGGAGTTCTGGTGGGAGTCGGGTAGGGTGTGGATAGGGTGAACCTGAAACTTGCCCCAAATTTGTGTTCCATTCATCAATACCAATTACCCACCACATCTTTTAGCATTTATTCAAGAAATGCATGTTGTGGCTGGAAGAATATGGGATTTGGAGTCCACTGTGCCTGGTCTTTCCTGGACAACTGGGTTGGACAAATTCCTCTACCTCTCTGAGCCCCGTTTCTTCATCTTCAATAATGCGTTTGTGATGTAGAGCTTTTGGGAAATAATTAAAGGGATGATGTGCAGACAGGTCCAGACAGACTGACCACAAGGCTGGAGAAGGTCAGTCTTAGGACCCTCCCAAGGCCATTTATCTTTTTTTTTTTTTTTTTTTTGAGATGGAGTCTAGCTCTGTCGCCCAGGCTGGAGTGCAGTGGTATGGTCTTGGCTCATTGCAACCTCCGCCTCCCGGGTTCAAGAGATTCTTGTGCCTCAGCCTCCTGAATAGCTGGAATTATAGGCGTCTACCACCATGTCTGGCTTATTTTTGTATTTTTAGTAGAGACAGGGTTTCACCATGTTGGCCAGGCTGGTCTAAAACTCCTGACCTCAAGTGATTCACCCGCCTTGGCCTCCCAAAGTGCTGGGATTACAGGCACCCTTTATCTAATTTTATTTGTGTATTATCATATTTTTTAAAGAGGGACCCCCAAATTGTATAGGCTTCAGGCTCAACAGAACCTGGACCCAGCCTTGATCTTGTATCTTGAATAATGAAGAACTGGCTCTGGGAGTAAGTGCTGGAATCCTGGCTTCATCTGTCGATAGGGTCCCGCTATTGGCATGCTGTATTTGTTCACCTCATATGCAGTTGCTACGAAGAGCATTTACTTATTACCCCAAATGGGAATCACACCCCTGGGACCAGCCACCCTGTGTAGATAATAACTATGGATAATCCTTGCTAGAAAATAAAAGGTCCAAGGTGATATATATATATATATATATATATATATATTATTTTTTAATTTGCTTCAGTGGCAGAAACAGGAGTAGATGTGAAGGGCTTGGTCCTAGTTGAGAAGTTTCTCAACTGATAATGACGGTTAACATGTACATCAGCTACTACAGGATCTCACAGGTGGGGTTATCAATGGATAGGATGAGGATCTGTGAAGTGGGCAGGGCAGAGGTCATCATGATCCCCTTTTAGCAGATGTACAAACAGACCCAGAAAGGTCAAGGAGGTCATTGGAGGATGCACTGCCACGAAAGGCACAGCCAAGATTCAAATGCAAGTCATCAAAACTCCAAATGTAGTGCTCCTTCAAAGCGTACCACATTGCCTCTCCAAGAAGCTGAGCACAAGAAAGATGGCAGGGTGGAGCTGCTGACAAGTATTTGTTCTTTATGCAGAGTGACCCCATTTTAAGGCTGCCTACTGCGGTGGACGAGAGCAGAGTGGATGGTAGGGCTCTGTTTACTGAGCATTTCTGCCTGCTGGACTCTGTGCCCGGTGGAGCTCACGCAGCCCTCTCAATGCAGCCAGGTACACATCAGTCTCTCGGGTTTATGGAGGAGGAATCTGAGGCTCACACAGGTGGCAGAGGCTCTTTGCTTCCTCCACTCTCTTTCCTTAGTTGTCAGGGTTCGAGGTTAATCTGATGAGGTTGGCAACCTCAACTTGTGGAAAACCAAAACCCCAACTGAGTGTCTTTTATTCTTTCTTTCTTTCTTTTTTTTTATTAGAAGAAAGGGTCTCACTATGTTGCCCAGGCTGGCCTCGAACTCCTTGTCTGAAGCAATCCTCCCGCCTCAGTCTCCCAAAGTGCTTGGATTGCAGGCATGAGCCACTGCACCCGGCTGTGACGACCCTTTGATTCTGCGACTCTATTTCTCCTGACTGACTGTTGAATTAAGACTTTGGTATTGCGTAGGAGGAGATTTTCTTGTGTTTTGATTAATGTTGAACGTTACTCATCTAAGAGGTTAATGTGGAACATCCGTTGCAACTAATCTACCTATACACCTTCAGTCGGGGTACTTACCAGTGCTAGGAAGACTCCTAGGATGTCAGGATGAGAAGGGGCTTTCGAATGTGTCTATTCCAGGGGCTGCAAACCTAGGCACCTACAGGGGTCAGGCAGATGTCTATACCCTGTGATCAGGCCAGGCCAGGTACAAGCCAACAGGGTGTGGCAGGGCCGTGGCATTCAAATTCAAGAACGTCAACACTCTACTGACCGAACAAAACTTGTCATATAGAGAAAATGTGGCCCACCTGCTGTCAGTTTACAACTCAAATGCGGGCAGACCCCTTCATCACACCACCAGTTACTTTGCTGAGGTCCTGAGGGTGAAAGTAACTTGCCCGGCTGGGCGCGGTGGCTCACGCCTGTAATCCCAGCACTTTGGGAGGCCGAGGCGGGCAGATCACGAGGTCAGGAGATCGAGACCATCCTGGCTAACACGGTGAAACCCCGTCTCTACTAAAAATGCAAAAAAAATTAGCCGGGCATGGTGGTGGCGGGCGCCTGTAGTCCCAGCTACTTGGGAGGCTGAGGCAGGAGAATGGCATGAACCCAGGAGGCGGAGCTTGCAGTGAGCCGAGATCACGCTACTACACTCCAGCCTGGGTGACAGAGCGAGACTCCGTCTCAAAAAAAAAAAAAAAAAAAGAAAATAACTTGCCCAAGGTCAAGTTAGACCATGAATGAGTTCACCCAGTCTTGTTTGTTGTTGTAAATTAAAAAACAAAACAAAACACCTACATTTGGATGTAAGGTTTTATAGTTTAGTGTGGTCTCACAAATTATTTTAGTGGGTGCTCATGATATCTTCACTTTAAATATAAGGAGATCGAGGTTCCGAGAGTTTAGCTAACTTCAACTCCATGTTGGGTGACCCCATATCCTGCTTGCCTGGGACAGTCCTGACCAACACTGTCCTATCATCATTATTAATAGCTTAAAAGCCTCTTTTACTCTTCAAAGTGTCCTGCTTGGGGGATAAATCACAGGCCACACTATGGGCCTCAGCCCAAACCATAGGCGGGACTCAGCCGTTTTCCTGGCCTCCTGAGGCAACACGCCTAGTGCACGGCTGTGCAGCTCCGACTCCTGATCTGAGACTCTTTCCTCCTGTGTCTTCTTGTGAGAAGGACGGCAAGGTAGGTGGAGCAGTGTGGCTGTAAAAAGGAGCGTGGACTGCGGTGTCCGTCTGACTTGAGTTCGAATCCTGGCCCTGCCACTTACCCGCCTGAGTTACTTAACCTCTCTGAGCGTCATTTTCCATGCCTGTGAAATGGAGGTAGTAACAACAGCTGCTTCATAGCCTTAGTTTGAGGATGCACTGAGAGAATGCACTCTTAGTGCTGTTGAGTGCTTGGAATCGGTTAACCTTGGGCCCCTGGGGGAAACGTCACATTCTAAAACATTTGAGGCAATCTGCAGCCTCTACCAGCACTGACACCTCCCTGAGGATGAGCAATGGCCTGACCAGCTCCCAGGGCAGGAAGCCGGGCCTCGGCCCACATGCTTGAGATGCTGGTGCCCGAGCCAGGCCTGTGGAACTCAGAGGGGTGGCACTGGGGATGTTTGTGACTCCTCGCTTGTTTCATGGAGGAGGTGGGTTTGGAGTTGAGTTTCTAGAGTGGGAAGGTGACAGGTGGGCTGAGGCGCACTCTGGGATCTGGGTAAGACCTGTTTCCCAGGAACTGCAGGGGCTGGTAAGGTACAGCCAGGGGGCTGGGGGTCAAGGAAGGCTGAGCCGGTGAGCCTGCCAGGGACACGGGGCGATGGGTGTTCTCCAGGTAATCCAGGGAGAAGCACCCGGACCCTAACCAAGCTGCAGCTCCATGGCAGAGGAGCCTGAAATCCAGCCTGGCTTCCTTTGGGGCTGTTCAGCATCTCCTGGGGAGCTTCAAATAAGAAATCCTTTTGTGCAGGCAGCACTCCAGGCTAAGTCAGGATTCTGGGGTAGGCACAGACCTCAGCAGTTTCTGCAGCTCCACTAGGGTTGAGCACCAGGGTTCCAGGCAGTGCGCCAGAGCTCAACCCCCTATCTGGGTCTGATCCTCATTTGCAGACCCATTTGTTACTGTGACGACTAATTATCATTGTGAGCAAATCGGGCAGTGCTGGAAAAGCCCTTTGTAAACCATTAAGGGCCCTGCAGGCATAAAGTCACAGTGAGCAATCCATCCGGCTGGTCACTTGGGGCAGCACCTGCTGACAAATGAGTGTCACCGGGTTACCCCCGGTTTGGGATTTACACTTTGGTCATGGCTAGGTGCAGTGGAGCATTGACTAGATGAAGAAAAGCACCTTTGGGGGCTTCAGGATGGAGCTCTGAGGTCTGCATCCACCTGAACTTGCAGGCAATGGTGTAGTGACCAGCTTCATGTAGGCGGCTCTGGGCCTTCCCTTCTCCAGGCCTCAGTTTCTCCCTCTGTATATGGGGACAGGTGTGAGGCCACCACGTTGCTGTGAGAATTCAGTGTGAGGCTTTTGCTCATCAACACACTTTGAGGTCTCAAAATTTAAAAATCCCCATTTGTTCACAATGATAAATGCCAAAAGCCTTTGTGGCAGGCTGGGGCCTTCTCATTTTTTGTGATTCTTTGACAGGATAAACTGATGATCTCTTCTGATGGAACTTTTTCTATTTTTGCAGCTATTTTCCCACCTTATTTGGGGGCAGTTGTTCTCAAATTTCTTTTTTTTTGTTGTTTAAATAGAGATGGGGGGTTCTCACTATGTTGGCCAGGGTGGTCTCGAACTCTTGGGCTCAAGCTATCCACCTGCCTCGGCCTCCCAATAAGTGCTGGGATTATAGGCATGAGCCACCGCGCCCGGCTTAAAATTGCTTAAGAATTACCGGGGGGACACTTAAAAAATGCAGGTTTCCTGTTTCTAGGCCAGAGGTTCCACTCAGTTGGTTCGGAGTGGGGCCCAGGAACCTGCATTTTCACAAATGCCCTTGGAGGAAGTGTTATCTAGAGTGTGTTTGTTGAGAGGAGAGGTAAGCCCAGTGTATGTGTGGCGGGTGCAGAGGTAGAGCTGAGCCCCTATTCCCTCCCTCCCTCATTTATCCCCAGCCTCCTGCCCCACCTTATCATATCTCCCACCTTAACATACCTCCTCTGAGCACCTGCACTTGGGCTTCGGCATAAATAGACCAGGTTTGACTGCTGCTTCTGACCCAGGAAAATATGTTCCGTGTCTTGGAGGCTGAGTTTTCTTGGCTCTAATGCAGGGGACGATATAGGGCTCAATGAGAGTGAGCCAGCCTTCTTATGCTTCTTTGTACTAGGCACTGGGGGCTCTGAGATGCTCAGCCTGTGGCTTCTCTCTGACCTTGGAGCTGGCCCACTCCTGTCACCCTGTCTTCCTGTCCCAGGGACCCCACTCTTCCTCACCTACGCCTTTGGGCTGACCTCACATTGTGGCCAGTGTTTGGGGAACAGGAAGCAGCCCCATGATGGGCAGAGCCCAGCTCTGGGCCTGTGGGGCCGTGAGGAGGTTCAGGACAGATGACCACATCTAATCCGAAGCCCAAGGAACTGTGATGAATGGCGTGAACCTCAGAAGGGACATTGTGATGAACAGAATGTGTCTCTAGCCCTGCTCTTGATCTTGGGGTCCCCCACTGCGCTGCTGGGATAGAAGAGTGAGGATGAGGATGAGAACAAGAGCTGCCGTTTACTCAGTGCGTGACCATGTGCAAGGCTGTCCTCAGCGGCTTGCTCGTGTTAACTCATTTAATCTTCACATCAGCCCCGTGAGGCTGAAACTGTTACCATCTCCATGGTAGAGATGAAGAGGCAGAGGCCCAGAGTCGTTAGGGAACTTGCCCACGGTCCCAGCTAGTAAGTTCTGGAGTTCCGTGTTGATTCCAGTTCTGGTAGTGCGGTCACACCCACTCTCCGCTATAGCCTTATGAATCACTAGGGCTGGCCTCTCCATAGCACACGACAATTTTCAAAAACACTCTCCTATATGGTAACTGAACTGATCCTTACACTATGTGCCAGCCACTTTTTAAAAACAGCTTTGTTGAAGTATTATTTATATACTGTAAAATTCACTTTTTAAAAAGAAATGGGGCCTCACTATGTTGCCCAGGCTGGACTCAGACTTCTGATCTCAAGTGATCTTCTCACCTTGGCCTCCCAGGTAGATGGGACTGCAGGTGACTTCACTTGTTTTGGTTGAAACTAAAAGTTTAATTCTGTTTAGTAATGTTATGAAGCTGTGCAACCACAGTCCAATTTTATAATTTTTTTTCTTGTTTTTTTGAGACAGAGTCGGCTCTGTTGCCTGGGCTTGAGTGCAGTGGTACAATCGTGGCTCACTGCAACCTCTGTCTCCTGGGTTCAAGCGATTCTCATGCCTCAGCCTCCTGAGTAGCTGGGATCACAGGCGAGTGCCACCAGGCCTGGCTATTTTTGTATTTTTAGTAGAGATGGGGTTTCACTATGTTGGCCAGGCTGGTCTCGAACTCCTGACCTCAGGTGATCCACCCGCCTTAGCCTCCCAACAAGCTGGGATTACAGGCGTGAGCCACTTCGCCCTGCCCAATTTTATAATGTTTCTATCACTGTAAAAAGATCCCCTGGTACCCATCTGCAGTCACTCTTCACTTCCACCCCAGATTAAGGTGACCATCAATCTACTTCGTGTCTTTGTAGTTTTGCCTTCAGATAAATGGAATTATGCAATATGTGGTCTTTCGTGTGGGGCTTTTTTTACTTCGCATACTGTCTTTGAGGTCCATCCACATACTGTCTTTGAGGTCCATCCATGCTGTAGCAGGTAGGCATGTGTGTTCTTTTCCCCTGCTGGGTATTATTTAATTGCATGGATATACTGTTTTTGTTTTTCCATTCACCAGTTGCTGGACATTTTGGTTGTTTTTAGTTTTGCCACCAGGTTCCCTTCCTGTTATTGTGCCGTTTTGCAGCTGGACAAACTTGAGTTCTGAGGATTATTACTGTCCCCACTCGAAAGCTGAAATTCCTTGCTGTTTAACCTGCCACAAAGTTTCAGAGCCAGACTCGAACCCCGTCAACTCAATTCCAAACCCATCCATGGTCCCTGATAACCCTTGGCTTCAGCTACGAGTCTGAGCACCCGTTTTTTTTCCCATTTGCTTTTTTTTGGTTGGTTTGTTTTGTTTTTGTTTTTGTTTTGTTTTGAGAGAAGGTCTTGTTGCTCTGTTACCCAGAGTGGAGTGCAGTGGCACAATCTCTGCTCACTGCACCCTCGGCCTCCCAGGCTCGAGGGATCCTCCCACCTCAGCCTCCCAGGTAACTGGGACTACAGGTGCACACCACCACACCTGGCTAATTTTTGTATTTTTGAAATAGAGACGGGGTTTCATCATGTTGCCCAGGCTGATCTCAAATTCCTGGGCTCAAGCAATCCACCTGCCTTAGCCTCCCAAAGGGCTGGGATTATAGGCATGCGCCACCGCACCTGGCCCCATTTGCTTTTGAGAATCCCTATCCTTTTGCTACTGCAGCTTTCCCACAGAGGGGCAGCCACCAGCCACGAAGAACTTTCTGAGGCTGCTGAGGCCAGGAAATCAATTTAAATTGAATAGTGGCTCACTATCTCTCAAGAGACAGGGGCTCACTTCCTGCAGCGGGAAAGAGGACCATGATGTGTGGTTTGGGCTTAACCCGATTCCCCCAGGTAGGAGAGCCAGGAACACACTGAACACTGCTCTTCAGTGTTAATTAAAGAAAGCTCCCAGATGCTGAGAGACTAGACCCAGAAACAAGCCGCTCCCAGGCATATAGACTGTGTTTTCTGCTCTCCGTTCTCTCTTCCACAGTGTTGGGGAGACAGTGCAGGCTGTTCTGGGGACTGATTGCTCATAGCAGTGCTAGGACATCCACTTTCTCCACCTGCTGCCCCAGGTCTCCAGCCCCCAGGGCAGGACTGCTCCAGGGTGCAGAGTTCAGGCCATGGTTGGGAGATGGGGGCAAGGCGGGAGCCCCCATCTGTGGGTCCACGCTCACTGTGGTTGTGGCGGGATGGTGAGGTCAGAGCTTGCCTTGTCCCCCTTGGTTTGGAAGGCCTGCTCCAGAGAGGCAGGTCTGGGTGGGAACTGCAGACGAGGACCTGCCCGGAGCTACCCCAAGATGATGAACAGCCCAGCATGGGGTACAGGTTGGTCTGTGCTGGTGTTGGGCTGTCTAGCCGGGTGAGTCCCTGGTCAGGAAGGGAAGTGTGGGTGTGACGGGGAGTCCTGTACCCTTGACCTCCAGCCATCAGCTGCTCTGAGCTCCTGTCTCAAGAGGATGCTCATCTTTCCTGGGAAGCAACATGGGTCGGGGAGGGCATTGGACAGGGACTCAGCCAGACCTGGAGGGACCCTGGCCCTGTCGCTGTCCATGTGACACTGGCCCAGGCTCTCCTCCTTTCTGAACTTGTGTGTCCAAACCTGTGGAATGGGGTGGGACACCTGCCCTCGTACCTGCTAAGTATGTTTCAACTGCCTGAAAGAGAAGGGAAAGCTCCCTGGGATTAGAGCCCAGGCTCCAGGGATCCGGTGGTTTCACTGTGACCTGCTCGGAGTATAAAAGCCTCTCACTTTTCTGGATTCCTTCCCGAGCCCCAGGAAATGGCAAGTGCAGGTGCCTGCAGGGCCTGGGAGAGAATGCAACAGTTCTGTCCAGGCACTTGGAGTTGAAATGCTCCCTGTTTGATTCCTCCAGAGCTGGTTTGTTGGTTTTAGCTGGTGATTATAAATCAAAGGCCAAGTGCTCAGGAAGCCACTTCTACAGAGGCATTAATGAAGCCGAAGGGAGTGTGGGCTGGAGATGGCTTTTTTGGAACAGGGAATCTCAATGATTCTCCTATCCTAGCTGTGCTATTATGGCACCCAAATTAGCAGCTGGTCCTGTTAAAAATCAAAGACACTGTGAAATGAGGTCTGGGCAGCCATTAAAAATGATGTAGCAGCTTGTAATGATGGGAAACGCTATTGATAGTGTATAAAGTGCAGCTAGCAAGCTGCCTGTGTAGTTTACAGTGTAATCACTGATACATCGTATATTTTATTATTTTTTTCCTTTTTTTTTTTTTTTTTTGCTCAGGCTGGTCTCAAACTCCTAGCTTCAAGGGATCCTCTCACCTTGGCCTATATATTTTAATTTGTAATTTATAACTTTACATTTTTAATGTATAAAATGTTAAATATGTCATGTTTAAATATATTATAATTCTATTTTATAAAATATTGATTACTGATATTTCTGTACTGACAGTTTATATTTAAGTAGTTATGACCCAGTGGGCACTGACCACATGCCAGTTGTGTAGCCAGCCCTTGCTGTGTCTTAGAGTCCTCCAGCAACCTTGTGAGGCAGATCCTCATCTTCTCCCCATTTCACAGATGAGGAAACGAGGCTGAGGAAGGTTCAATGATTGCCCAAGGTTGCATGGCTCGGAGGTGAAGTAGCCAGGGTCTTTGCACCTCCAGGCCCCTGCTCTCTGTGCTGTTCTATCAGCTCACACTTCCTCTGTGTCTGTGCAGAAGGGGGTGGGAGGCTAGAAGAAAAGGTGCCTCGATGGAGCTTCATTGTCTCAGGGGTAGGTAGGTTATTTATTAGTGATTAAAGTTTTCCTTTAGACATTTGTGGATTTTCTAAAATGTCACATACGACTATGTAGAGGAGATAAAATAACAGCAACAACAATGACTTTTCCTCTACCCTCTTAGGTTCAGTGACTTGGGCCTGAGAATCAAACTGTTAAAAGACGATTGAACAGGAGAAAATATTTCACATGCAAGTGAGGGTTTCACAGGCAAGAAGTGAAAACCCAAAGAAGGGGTTATATACTATTTTAACAAAAGGCAGTAAATCTTGGAGAAGCAACTAGACTAAGAAAAAAGGAGGTTATGACTTCTAAGGGCAGTAAATTGTTGGAAGGTAAATATATGGGGGGAGCTAATGGAAGGTTAGGGTTATTTAATAAGGGTTATTGAGTAAGATTTGTTATGCAAACTCAAGCTGCCTAATAAAAGTGGTCCACATCACCTGTGATTAAGAGTTGTCCTCCTCTTCTTGGTATGAGAAAGAGATACCTTCACAAATGGAATTTTATGTTACTTTTACAAAGAAAACTTTTCTTTTTTTTTTAGAGAAGGTCTCGCTCTGTCGCCCAGGCTGGAGTGCAGGGTGTAACCATAGCTCACTCAACCTCCACCTCTCCACCTCCTGGGCTCAAACGATCCTCCCACTTCAACCTCTTGAGTAGCTGGGACCACAGGCGTGCACCATCAGGCTCGGCTAATTTTTTTAACTTTTTGTATAGATGGGGTCTCCCTATGTTGCCTTGGCTAGTCTTGAACTCCTAGACTTAAGTGATCCTCTCGCTTCAGCCTCCCAAAGTGCTGGGATTACAGGCATGAGTCACAGATCCCTGCTTTCAGAAAGGGGGAGGGCAGAGAGCTTATTGATTTCAGCTCAAATTAATCTTTATGCCAAAGTGGCATATTTGCGGATAGCATAATCCAATCTCCTTTCATTGTATATTACATTTAAACCAGGAAAAAAAATGTGATGACGTTTCTTGTTTTAAATGTCCTAACTTTAAGGACACAATTTAAAGGGGAAAGAGTTGTGCGCTTAAAATGTCCACCGTGAACTTATCTGTTGGGTAGAAAACCCATATGCCATTGATATCATAACTAAGGAAAGGACTGAAAAGCCACTCAGATTAAACAGGCATTAAAAATGACAGACTTTGGGGAGCAGGGGTGGATGGAGCAGCCCAGAAAAGACGAGTGAGCTGGCACAAGACACAACCCTGGGAGGCCACAGAGGAAACTGGAAGGGGAAGGAAATGGGAGGGGAACAGAGTCACTTGGAGCTGGAGCAGAGGGAGCCAGGGCCAGGACACAGTGGTTTGTGGCAGACAAAGAGTGGGGCTGTAGGCTGTGGACTTCTGTGGTGGACGTTGTTCCATTCATGCCATTTTAAAATGAGGAGGAGCCAAGGGGGAGATAATCAATCAATTCATTTACTTTAACAGGGAAAACAGGCCTGGTGCAGTGGCTCACACCTGTAATCCCAGCACTTTGGGAGGCCGAGGCGGGCAGATTGCTTGAGCCCCAGAGTTCGAGATCAGCCTGGGCAACATGACAAAACCCCACTTATACAAAAAAATACAAAAAACAGCCAGGCATGGTGGTGCGTGCCTGTAGTTCCAGCTCCTCGGGAAGCTGAGGATGGGAGGATCACCTTAACCCAGGAGGCAGAGGTTGTAGTGAGCCATGATCACACCACTAGACTCCAGCCTGGGAGACAGAGTGATGCCCTGTTTCAAAATTGTATTAAATTAAATTAAATTTTAAAAAGGAAAACAAAGAAAAGCAAACTAAACTTATGATGTGCCACCCAAATCATTGTTTCATTACAAAATAAGAAAAGTGTCCTCTTCCCACAGTGGTGAAACTGTGTAGTTGTACAAAGAACACAGAATTCAGTTGAACGTGCTATGTCCGTGTGTGAAAAATACATGTAAAGGGCTTTGAAATCTTAGAAGTTAGTAAGGAGCACACAGCATCAGCAGCTAGGGTTTATCAAGTGCCTACTGAATGCCAGGCACTGTGCTAAGATTGTCACAATGATTTGATAATTGTATCACTATTAGTCCCCGGCATTTGAAGATTGCTGGCCCCATTCTAAGCACTTTTCATGCCTTAGCTCATGTAGACTCAAAACAACCCGGTGAGATGAGGAAACTGAAACACAGAGCAGGGAAATAAACAACTACTTAGTAATGTGAGCTGGGCACCGTGATTACCTACATTCCACTGGATAAGAAATTGACAGGAGATGAGGTAACTAACGCAAGGTCGGGGGGTACAAGCGCAGCAAACATTGAGACACATTGTACGGAGGGGTGTTTCTTTTAAACTGTTGTTTTGTGATGCTGGGCTGGGTGTTGGGGTTTATCCTAATTTGAACCATTTACAAGATGCTGCAGCATGGGGAATTTACCATCACTTCTTGCCTAAGGTCAGGTCTTAATAACAGCTTTGGCTAAACTTTCGTTAAAAAGGAAATGTGTGTAGCCAAGCAGGTAGCTTTCTGTGATCTCATTTGAAACCGGGCTGGTGTTTCAAGAACAGGCATCCACGTGGCTTTAGCCGAGGGCAGCAGCCAGGAGGGAGGGGTGGGGGGACAGGGCAGGATTGGAAGCAGTTACCTGCTGAACGGTGCTGAGCTAGCAATAGGTGGAAACAGAATGGAGGCCTGAATGGATGGGTCAGGGAAGGCTTCCTGGAGGAGGCAGGGTTCACAGCAGCACCAGAGTGGATGGACCAGGAGGGAGGGTGGGCCAGGCAGCAAGGCGATGAGCACCGAAGCTTAATGACCAGAAGGAAGGTGATGATTGTGCAGTTTGGTGCAGACGTGCACTTGATGCCAACTTTTTGCCTGTGCTTTGCAGCAGTGTGGGGGCTTTAGGTGGTAGAAGGCGTTTTGGGTTTTGGTTTTAAATTCAGGCTTCCTTTCAGTCACCTTGGAACCTGAGAGGCTACTAATTCAGAGTTCTGGATCCATAGGAGATGGCCCTTCAAGGGTGATTTTGAGTTACTGACCTTGTCACTTTTACCTGGTGGGCAGGGAAGAGATCAGATCTGTTTTGATGGGTAAGAACAAAAGGTGAGGTGGTTGAAGAAGATGTGGAAAGGGCCCACGGTGCACTTTGTTCTGAAATTGCAGTGACTGGGGGTGACTCGGATCAGCCCATCAAAGTGACACCCCTCTTCAGGTGGCCCAATCATCAAAGGTGGGGGAAAGGGCTGGGAGCTAGGGGGCCAGTCTTTTGTCCTGTCTCTGACTTGTAACATTTATTTCCCTTCCCATTCACCATAAGTATGAGGCAACAGTACACAAAACGGAGCAGGATGAAAAATAACCCAGAGAACTCTGTGTGATAGGAAAGCACGGGTGAAAAGATGAATTGATGAGAAAGTTATCCACATGATGCATCATATCAAAAGGTCTGTTCATGTTGTAGGTGGTGGGACACTGGTTTGATTCTGAGCTTCCTGGTGGCCAAGGCAAAGAGGCAAACCCAGAGGCTTGAGGACCCTCTCTACTGTCTCAAAAGACATTCTCGTCATCTTTATGAGCAACAAACAGCAAGTTTCATCATGCTGTTTCCCACAAAATCCCTCAATTCCTGAAGGTCTGCCCCAAAGCACAAGTCAGTAAAAGCAGCTCTTCAGGGCCAAAGCAAGTGAATGCTTGTGAATGATACAAGCTGCTAGGTGCGATTACTGTTGTAGCGGGGATTTATGCATCAGAGGACTGGCTTTTCTAAACCTGGTTTCTAGAGTCAGAGGCACTTTTTAAAGCTGGAATTCTCAACAAGGGTTTTTCCTAACTGCCTTCAGAAACTGGCCAGTCTTCAGAAATGAAGTGATGTGCAAAAGTGAAGTGTGCCTGGCACATAGTAGGTGCCCAGTTAAGGTTTGTTGTTACTGTGGTTGGATAAAGCCAGTCTGCCTGGTTGAATCTCACTCTCATGCTTGCTATGCAACATCAAAAGCTCTTTTCTGGGAAGAGGCCCATTAGGAGCATTTGTCAGGGGTGTGATGCTGATAGCAGGTGGATTATTGAGAGATTTGCTGCAGAGCAAACACCGAGCTCAAGGCATCCTAATATGTATGTATGTTTGAGGTTCAAGGAAAAGTGCAGGTAAAGAAAATGGGCAGAACTCTGAGAGCAGTCTGTAGAAAAAGAGAACTCGACCACTGGGAGAAAGGCAGATGGCTGCACAGTTGTGCTTCTTTGAATGCTACTGGCCTGACTGAAGACAGAGCTGCATTCCAGCATGATTGTAGCCCAAGTTGGCATCAGAAGCCACCTTCCAGTCACCCTGCAGATCGGGAAATATGTACTGTTGAAGTCTGGTGGTAATTTGAGGGCTTCCACAGTATCATTTTAGAGAGGATCCCTATTCTTAGCTGTGCAGATTGCTCTAAATTACATTGAGCACTTCATATTCTTGAGAAACCAGCTGCCACTGCAGGAAATCAGAGAATACTACAGCTGGAGGCACCTCAGGAATCGCCATGTCCTTGTCTTACAAGGGACGAAACTGATGCCCTGACCTGAATAGTGAATTCACAGTAGAATATTAACACTACAGCAGAGGCTGACTCCCGCAGTCCATATCATTTATTGGTATGTTAATGATTAAGTGAAATATTGCAAACAACTTCAAGGTGCATCAATAGAGCATTGGTTAAATAAATAATGGTACGTCCATAAGACAAGATGTATGGGTGGAAATATTTTCACATGGACCATTAAGAAAGAATGAGGTTGATGGACTTTTATTGCTGTGGAAGGATGTCCATGACATATTGATGAGGAAAAGAAGCAATTTGCAAATAACATGCATGTGTCTCTGTATGTGTGTCTACATATAGGTATGTGTATGTATAGAGGTGGTTATCTCCAGGTGGTAGGATTCCAGATTATTTTTACCTTCTTTAGAGATTTTGTGCAGTGTTTAGCCTTTTTTTTTCTTGTTTCCTTTCTATGAGTGTGGATTTGTTATAATAAAAAGTTACATTAATGTTTTTTTTTTTTGAGACGGAGTCTCACTCAGTCGCCCAGGCTGGAGTGCAGTGGTGCCATCTCGGCTCACTGCAAGCTCCGCCTCCCAGGTTCACACCATTCTCCCGCCTCAGGCTCCCGAGTAGCTGGGACTACAGGCGCCCACCACCACGCCCGGGCAATTTTTTTTTTGTATTTTTAGTAGAGACGGGGTTTCACCGTTTTAGCCAGGATGGTCTTGATCTCCTGACCTCATGATCCGCCTGCCTCGGCCTCCCAAAGTGCTGGGATTACAGGCGTGAGCCACCGCACCTGGCCTATATTAATTTTTAAACATGTTAATTGCTCATTTAAAATAGGTTTCAAAAAAATTATCAAGGAAATACATGTTTATGGCACAAAACTTGGAAAACTATTTTAAAAACTAGAAAGAGAAAAAAGAATCCCATCCAAATCTACCATTCAGAGCATCGTGGGCAGCCCTCCTAGGCTTGTTTGCTGTACATCTTGCTGGGATTTTGTAAGAAGAATCCCTTCTGAAAACTGCATGAAATTCTCTTAGATCTAGATACCGGCATTTACCAGATGGGTTTCCTAGATGTTAGACATCTCATTCTAGTTTTTCCTTATATAGTAGAGGACATCTTTGTGCGTATATGTTTGTCTACACTGTTTTCTTGGCAGTTTCTAAATGTGGGTCTCCTGGTCAAAAGCGCAGGCATTGTTAAAGCCCTCGGTACGCATTTTCCAGTTGCTTTTAAAAGCTGTCTCTCAATTTACATTCCAACCTGAAGCACAAGGGAGTGCCTATTTGACCCCGATCTCATGGACGTGATGACTGTCTTTTAAAAATACTTACTAATTAATGAATCATCTTTGAGCACGCCTGGCAACCTGGAGGCTGGTGCAGAGCTCTGGGGTGCTGTGGGCATCATATCATATTGGCTTCCTGACCTTGGCATCCCTTCCAGCTGACTCCAATAAAGATCCCAGGGGAATGAGGGACAGAGGCCCCAAGTATCGTAACTTATAGGTTGAAGGCAGTTCTCCCTAAACCCAAATGGTATTTGTATGTGTGTAGTGGGGGGATTTAAGTAATTTTAAAGTTTACCTAAAGGATAAGCTGGAGACAATTACTGAGAATTTTTTGAAAAATGGGAGTGATGAAACAGAGTTTGCCCTTGCAGATAATAAGATTTAAGTATTTTATAAAAATAGAAAGAGAAGATAATATAGGCCAAAGCTTATCTGATTTAAGAATGAGGGAAAGACTTACCAGACATAGACTATAAAGGAGCTACAGAAGAAAAATAGAAATAGCATTTTGAATTCTATTTTAAATTAAAAAAAAGCGTGAGCAAAATTTGAAGCTATTTGTTTGCTAAGAACACATATTTGCAACATATAGAAAAAATGATTACTATCCCTTGTATATATTCCTTCATTTAACATTTCTTAAGTGCTTATAATGGTTGATGCACTGTTATAAATGCTGGGAATTCAAAAAATATATTAAATACTTTTATATTTCCATAAGAAAGAGATTGAACCTAATGAAAAAATAGATTAAAGTGTAAGCAATTTACAAAAGGAAAGGTAGAAATGGCCAATAAGCATATGAAAAAAATGCTAAGCTCCGTAATAATCATGAGCGTGTCAATTAGTTCAACAATGAGACATGATTATTCACTCTAAAAGTTAAAAAATTTTAGAACGATTGAACTGAATTTTGACCAGTTGAAGGGTAAACTGGTTAAAACGTTTTGGACACAATTTGATAACAGTTGTTTAAGATTATTAATATGATATATAATTTGATCTAGAAATTCTAGGACTCTATCCTATGCATTGAATTAGAGATGTGGCCAAATTTTATGACAAAAAGTGCTTATCACAGTATTACTACACACACATACACACACACACAAATAGACTCGACCAAGAGCTTTAACATTTGAGTAATAGTTTAATAAATTAAGGCACACTTATACAATGGAATAGTATGTAGATATTCAAAACTTTTTTCTAAGAATATTTAATGCCTGTTACTAGTTAAAAATATGATATGAAATGATATAAATTTTAAAATATATGTGTTCAAAAACATATCTTTTATACATGTTTTTATAACGCAATGTTATATAAAATGTTTTATAATGCAATGCTCATACACATATATACATATAAAGGACCGAACCCGTGTAAAAAATGTCTGGAAGGATGCAGAGCAGATTGTTAACTTTGGGTAGGAGGCTCTTATTTCAATTTTTAATTTTAAATTATTAATATTTTGTTTTTAAAATTTTGCTATGAGGGAGTACTGCTTTTGTAAATAAGGAGATATTTTAGGAAGTTAGTGTGAGATAAAAAATATGATTAATATTAAATATACACAAGCACCTAGCAAAACACACAGGAGAAAATAGCATTATGATGAATAGGAACTATATTTTTATTCTTATTTGTATTTTCTAAATCTTCTACAACAAATAAATGTAGCTTTTATAGCTGGCAAGTAAACCACAGCTATCATTATAACATGCGTAACATATTGAGATGACCCTTCTGATCGTTTTTCCAGGCTCAGGGTGGCCCAAAATTCAGGAAACATAGGATACACTTATTTTAAAACATTATATTTGTTATACCTCCAAATTCTGGGCTCAATATGTTTTTCTTTAACTGCTAGACACTTTTTCAGGCGTAGTACCTCTACATTTGAAGCAATGGGTCCAATTGTTAACCTGAACAAAGTACAATAAATAATCACTATTTAACCCTTGTTTCCCGAATTTCTGGATACTCTGAAATGTGTTTGTTGCACTGGGAGTTGCAGAAAAACATATTGCAATAGTATTCAAAAATGTCTTGTGCTGTTTATCTAAACATGGTCCAAACATTTTGGAAAATAGTTTGGCAGTTTCTTAGGCAATTAAACATACACCTACCGTACAACACGATAATTGCCCTCCTAGGTATTTGCCCAAGAGAAGTGAAAGCATATGTTGCTACGCAGCTTGTACACAAAAGCTCACGTCAGCACTGCTCGTTAACAGCCCCAAACTGGAAACCACCCTGATGTCCACTAATGGAGAAAGAGATGAATGGCGATATATGTACATCTACATGTGTATCCGCATTTCTCTGCAATACAAAAGGAGCAAACCACTGCTAACACAGTGTGGACTCCCAGACCATGACTGTGAGGGAAGAAGGCGGAAACGAGTGTGCAGCGTGCAATTTCATTTTTATCGTATTCTGGAAATGACAACGGTAAGCTATAGGGACAGTGTCAGTGACAGTGGTTGTGTGGGGTTGGGGCAGGGAGTGTGGTCGCACAGGGCGGGAGGCACTTGATGGGGTGAGGAGAGGTTCTATATCTTAATTTAAGTCGTTGCATGGGTATTTGTCAAAACTCATCCAACTGTCCACTTAAAATGGGTGTATTTTATTGTACGTACATTATCTCTCATCAAAGTTGATTTTTTTTTAAGCGAGCTTATTCCATGCAGGGCCAGCTACAGAATTACAAAGTAAGATGGTGGCAGCAGAGTGTTAAACCAAGCTTGGGGCCCTGCACGTGAAGCTGGCCCTGATACTGTTTCCTGACTTTTCTGATACCAGGGGTGTGTGTGTGTGTGTGTGTGTGTGTGTGTGTGAGAGAGAGAGAGAGTACTTTACATAAATGGTATCTTACTATCAATGCAGTTTTTAAATTTATTTTTTAACTCAATAATAATGGGCTGGGGTCGCCTCTCCAAGCCAATAAATTGAGCTCTGCGTCATTCTCTGCAGAGCATCCCGCTGTGGGTGTGTCTAACCGACGAACCCATCTCCCTTTGATAGCCTTTGAGGATGTTTTCCATTTCTCACACTCAGCATCACTCAGCCCCATGCAGTGCAGAGCTCTCTCTGTACAGCAGCCGTTTCTGAGCCCTCTGGCAGCAGCCTGGGCCCCTCCTCCCCAGGCGTGGTCTCCGGGTGCTGCTCGGAGGTTGTTTGCCTTGAGCATTTCCCTTCCCGCCTTCTCTTTGTCTTGAGCTTTAAATAGAATGGTTAGAGCTCTAGAATGATCGACTTTCTTAGCTCAGAGGCTGCTGCCACCACACCCTATCCAGGGCCCCTGGAGCCTGAGCCCTGGCACCTGAATTATGCCCTGTCACTCCAGAGGCCTGGAAGGAGTTGCAGGAGGCACAGCCAGGGCTCCTTAGGGGCCAAGAATCCATGCCCCCAGCATTGTCATCCAACGTTCCCCGCATTCCCCTCAGCCCTGCCATGCCCTGTGAAGGGCTCTAAGCCTTGGGATTTCCAGAATCTACCACAAGACAGCTTTATATCTCCATAGCAAGGGGCACTTCTCTGTTTCAAAAGAGCCTCAACCTGTATTTTCACCATATACAGCTTCACGTTGACTTCCCACGCCCAGAACTATTTTTGGGCTGCTGGCTCTTAGGGTCTGCCCACACGAACTGATCGGTGCTGTCAGGGGACTTGGGGTCACCCTCTGCTGGCCACGTGTCAGGCCACGCAGTGTTTATAGCCCTCAGGGCTGTTTGAAGTGGGAGAGGGACAGTGGCTTCTGACTAGCTTCCGTGGCCTTGGGAAAGTCTGCTGCCCTGTCCCCTTCCACTTTTGCTATATAATGTGATCTGTGTCTTAGGTGGGCCTTATGGAGAAAACTTAACAGTCCAAAATGTCAAGGTCTTGTTTCTTTTTCTTTTTCAAAAAAAATTTTATTTTGTTTTATTTTTGAGACAGAGTCTTACTCTGTTGCCAAAGCTGGAGTGCAGTGGCACGATCTCAGCTCACTGCAACCTCCACCTCCCAGGTTCAAGTGATTCTCCTGCCTCAGCCTCTTGACTAGCTGGGACTACAGGCACCCATCACCACGCTGGGCTAATTTTTATATTTCTGGTAGAGACAGGGTTTCATCATGTTGGCCAGGCTGGTCTCGAACTCCTGGCCTCAAGTGACCAGCCCGCCTCAGCCTCCCAAAGTGCTGGGATTACAGACGTGAGCCACTGGGCCCAGCCAAGGTCTTATTCCTTTTCTTCCACAACAGGAGGCACTTTCCTCAATTTAGAAGGAATTTAGTCTGTCCTGCCAGGGCATCTGACCTGGGCTCCCCACAGCACCAGCAAATAAATCCTCAGTGAAGAGTGCACTGAGGAAGGGGAGAGGCTCCGGTGGGAGGCGGCTCTCGTGGGAGCAGTGGCAGCTTCTGTTTTATCTTGTCTGGATGGGCAGCTCTGTGTCCTCTTGGTCTGGTGGCCTCTGTGATCAGTGTAGCAATCACCATGAGAAAGGATCCTCCAGCCCCATCTGGATTGAAGGTCCCACTGTAATTGATCATCGATCTGCCAGGGAGAGGATATTACCTGATCAAAGATAAACAAAATCAGCCCTTGTTAAAGGTGGTAAACACAGATCTATTCAGCGATAGCTTCTATAGTAGGGAAGAGGCTCTAGTGTAAGCTGAGCTCAACTTTGATTTGTGCAGAGGTAACTGGGTGATTTGTTTTTCCTTTTGGTTTTTGAGACAGGGTCTTGCTCTCTCACCCAGGCTGGAGTGCAGTGGTGCAATCACAGCTCACTGCAGCCTCAACCTCCTAGGGCTAAACAGTCCTCTTGCCTCAGCCTCCCAAGTAGCTGGGACCGTAGGTGCACACCACCACACCTAGCTAATTAAAAAAAAATTGTCGAGATGGAAGTCTCCCTGTGTTGCCAGGTTGGTCTTGAACTCCTGAGCTCAAGGGATCCTCCCACCTTGGCCTCCCAAAGTGCCGGGATTATAGGTGTGAGCCACCGCACCTGTCTTGGGTGCCTCTGACTGGGTTCCCTCGGTGCCCTCTGTTTTTAAGGGAGAATGAGGGAGTAGAGAGGAGTGAACCGGGGCTCAAACAATCAGAGAAGTGAAAAATTAGCGTGATGAGGCCAGCTGTGTAGATTAACTGGCCTTTATCAAAGTTAGGCTCCTGCCCTCCCTCAGAGGCTGGGACAGGCCCTATCCTTGCTGATGATATCATTTCAAAGAAATGGTTCTCAAGTCTTGAGAAAGACACTTCTGGGCTGTAGGAGGCACACATAGGACCCAAATGGAGAGAGAAAGGATGTACAACTGGAAGTTTTTAAATAAATGTCTATCCTCACGTGTTGGCTGGAACAAATGGTGAATTCTTTTGGCAGCCCTGAGCTTTTCCACACAGGAGTGCAAAGCGGCGGTGGGTTGTCCCAGGGGTGTGGCCTGAGGCTGCCAGAAGCTTTGCTAGAGCTTGGTTGAGTGTCGTAGGGCAGGGTTCGGATGGAGTTGTTCTTGCAGAGAGCTTTTGCAATTTCCAACACAGAGTATCTGTCTTTCTTCAGCTCTGTTCTAGGCTGGTGATCTTCAGATAGAAAAGGGTATGGGTAGTCTTAAGGGGAGTGGATTTCCAAGTCAGCTTCCTCCTGGACTTCCTTCCTCCTCACCAATGCGTCCCATCAGTTTGTCTGTCCCAGCTGCCTTTCTTAATTGCTGTTCTGCTTGACTTAAAATGATGCAGACCTAACCCATCCTGGATCCTAGTGGGTAAAAAAACTTCTGGGCACCAATAAAGGGACAGTTTGAGGTGTCGGCGTTGGAACCAAGACAGGTAATAAATCATTTTGCAGGTCAGATGGCTTTTAATATTTATCTTTAACATCATTTTATTATTTTCATTATTTTTATTTATTATTTATTTTGAGACAGAATCTTGGTCTGTTGCCCAGGCTGGAGTGCAGTGACACAATCTCGGCTCACTGCAACCTCCGCCTCCCGGGTTCAAGCGATTCTTCTGCCTCAGCCTCCCAAGTAGCTGGGATTACAGGCACGCATCACCACGCCCAGCTAATTTTTGTATTTTTAGTAGAGACAGTGTTTCACCATGTTGGCCAGGCTGGTCTCGAACTCCTGACCTCAAGTAATCCACCTGCCTCGGCCTTCCAAAGTGCTTGGATTACATACGTGAGCCACCCCACCTGGCCTTCAACATCATTTTAAAAAGTAAAAAATAATTTGACTCTAGATTACATTGTGACATTTTTGGCCTCCAACTTGGACAGAGTTGGGAAAATTCACTCTAACAAATTCCTTCTAGCTCCATGGACTCAGTGGTCATATCTATAAAAATGAAAACAGGATGCTAATTCCTGTCTTGTTCTAGAAACAAATAATATCCATCTCTGGGTATGTTAACTAAGTGAGAGGGAAAAACCTAAACACCCATTCAGATACCTTTCCAATAACATTTAGTTTTCTCTGGCTAATCATCCTTTATATTGATATAATAAATAGCATCAAAATTTGTAGTACCCATATTATTTTGCTTTATGTGTGAATAATAATCATAATGACAACATAATCTAGAGGAAAATGTTGTCAGAGCCTTATGATCACAGGAAATGATAACGTTTTAGCATTTTAATTTATATACATTTTGTTTCAAAGAATCAAAGGGCATCGGGCGCGGTGGCTCATGCCTGTAATCCCAGCACTTTGGAAGGCTGAGGCAGGCGGATCACCTGAGGTCAGGAGTTCGAGACCAGCCTGACCAACATGGTGAAACCCTGTCTCTACTAAAAAATACAAAAAAAGTAGCCAGACGTGGTGGCGCGCACCTGTAATCCCAGCTACTCTGGAGGCTGAGGCAGGAGAATCGCGTGAACCTCGGAGGCAGAGTTTGCAGTGAGCCGAGATTGCGCCATTGCACTCCAGCCTGGTGGACAGAGCAAGACTGTCTCAAAAAAAAAGAATCAAAGGATGATTACTGTAGGACTTCAAAGCGTGAAAACATATTAGGATAAGAATATGTGAGGCCGGGCGTGATGGCTCACACCTATAATCCCAGCACTTTGGGAGGCCGAGGTGGGTGGATCACCTGAGGTCAGGAGCTCGAGACCAGCCTGACCAACATGGAGAAACCCCGTCTCTACTAATAATACAAAATCAGCTGGGCGTGGTGGCGCATGCCTGTAATCTCAGCTACTCGGGAGGCTGAGGCAGGAGAAACCCTTGAACCCGGGAGGCGGAGGTTGTGGTGAACCGAGATTGTGCCATTGCACTCCAGCCTGGGCAACAAGAGAGAAACTCTGTCTCAAAAAAAAAAAAAAAAGAAAGAAAGAAAAAGAAAAAGAAAAAAAAGATTATGTGGAAGGGGTGGAATAAGAATCCAAAGAGAAAAAGGGATGGTGTAATGGCACTAGCTGCTCAAGAAAGGTGTACTCATATATTTTTAAAATGGATGATGGTGGGTATCAACATTGTATTCCACTAGGTTTATTTAAAAGGATGACATAAGTTTTAAAATGTCAGTTTTGAAAGTATGACACTGGATATGATATATGAATCACATCCTGCTTCGTCCAAATTAATGCAAACCATTTTAGAAAACAGCTTTGAAATGTGTGAGAGCCTGCAGTGCAGCTTTCTTGAAACCATTCCACCAGACCAGAGGTAAGCTAACTATGGCCCTCAAGCCAGAGCTGGCCCGATGCCTGGTTTTGTCCTGCCCACGAGGCAAGTGTGGCTTTCACATGTTTAAATGGTTGGAAAAAAGGAAAGAGAATAATATTATGTGACACATACAAATTATATGAAATGCAAATCTTAGCATCCATGGGTAGTTTGATGGGAACCTAGCCGCATTCATTCCTTTTTGTGCTGTCTCTGGCTGCTTTTAAGAGAGTTAATAGCAGAATTGAGCAGTTGCAACAAAGACTGTGTGGCCAGCGAATCCTGACATATTTATTATCTGACCATTTACTGGAAGAGTTTGCCACCCACTGCCCTAGACCACAGACTCAGGAAAGGCTCCTTGTGTCTCCTGCTCTGCTCCTGACTGTGGATAAATTAGAAAAAAAGATGTGCTGTTTGGACTAAGTGATCTCTGAGTTTTCTGAAAATTTAAGTCTGGGAAAGCAATTCATACTTGGGTATTAACGGCTGATACTTCCCAGGAGTGCCTGCCTTTAAAAATGAGCCCTGAGAAGACAACCCCTTTTAACGCAAAGGGGTGAGGTGGTAACAGCAGGATTTCGTGCACCTGCATGGGTTGTCAGTGGTGATTTCGAATGGGCTTTTCACCGCATCGGTTGATGGCAGTGTTTGTGATGAACAGACAAAGGTTTGTACAGACCAATCTGTCCATTTACAGATATGCAGCAACGTCCCTAGAGGCCAATTCTGGCCCATTCCAAGCCCACAAACTTCCCAGACCCCACAGAAGCCTCAGGGAAGGCCAGGCACAGAGGAACTGGAAGCAGCGCTGTGCTCAGCCAGGCTCACCCGGTGCCAAGCTTGGGGCAGGATCGGGCCAGCGCGTTGGCCTTTCACACCCTCCGTCCTCGTCTATGAAAAGCTCATCTCGGCCGGGCGTGGTGGCTCATGCCTGTAATCCCGGTACTTTGGGAGGCTGAAACGGGCGGATCACCTGAGGTAGGGAATACGAGACCAGCCTGACCAATATGGAGAAACCCCATCTCTAGCCGGGCGTGGTGGTGCATGCCTGTAATCCCAGCTACTCGGGAGGCTGAGGCAGGAGAATCGCTTGAACCCGGGAGGTGGAGGTTGCGGTGAGCCGAGATCACGCCACTTGCACTCCAGCCTGGGTGACACAGCGAGACCTTGTGTAGGCCTTGTAGGGTGCAGTGGGCAGTGCCAGGTGAGTTACAGGCCAGCCAGGGACAGGCCACACCTGCAGGCCCTGGCACTCCAGATGCCTGGGAGGACACTATGCAGCACCCCCAACCCACTCCAATGGGCTGTGCAGTGTGGTCTTTGCCAGGGGGAGAGCTGGGCATTCAAGGTCTCCCCCAGCATAGTTGGCCAGGATACCAGCCGGGCTCTGCCTCCTCAAGGGCTAAGTATCCCTGAGCTGGCTTTTGGGGAGGGAGAGGCCATGAGCAGTGGGGCAGGGGTGACAAACCCAGTACCAACAGGATCCCAAACCCATCTGGGAGGGCAGCCTCTCCTGGCTCCAGTCCAGCTGATTATAGCTTACTGTTAAGATTTCAGGTCCAGGGTGACCAGAATTTCCAATTTTTCAAAAGAAATAAAAAATCTGGAGTTCTATATGAAATCTCCTAAGTTTCAAATGTTCGCAATTCATTCCAAAGGAAATTCTAAAACACTGAGCTGGCCTCAAAAAGCACATCCGTAGGTTAAATTGGGTCCCCAGGCTGCCAGTCTGAGACCTAAACTTTGAGCCCAAGAGGCAGGACTCGTGTCTCAGCTCTGGCACTGGCCGTGTGACCTGTGGGCTTATGGCTGAAGCCCTGTGAGCATCAGTTTCCTCCTCTCCAAAGCAGGGGAACGTTCCTGTACTTCGCAGGCATATGCTGGGGCTCACCTCTGCCTCCAGCGAGAGGATCATAGGTGGGTGCGTGGAACAGGCCTCACGACTGTTGCTCTTTCCCTGGCTTGGAAACTTGGCAGTGATTTCTGATGACAAGAGGTCAAGTTGGGGCCTGTTATCTGGTGGACTTGAGGCTCTGCCCACTGAGGCATTTCTCAGTTGTTCTGGAAGGTAGGGCTAGATTATGTGGGTAATGGGCCACTTGGCGACCTAATTTAGCTCTTGTAGACTCTGCCAAAGGGCCACCTTGCAGTCCCACCACCCACCCAAGGAAGCCTCTCAGACTGGAGGCGCACTGTGTCCCATTGATCGAGACCCTGGGGAGGGGGTGGCTGGCGAGATGGCGCCGATAAACTTATCACACGACACTCAAGGCTGCCTTCCGGTTTTCGTGTGGGTGTCTTCCTCTTAGAGAAAAATCGGTTGTCCTTGAATTGATGTATGAGAGGGATCCATTCTCTCCTCCCTCCTCTAGGGGCCAAGGCCAGTGTGAGAACATCCCCAGAGAAAATCCTGCAGCCCCTGGTGCCCAGCCCAGCCTAGGCCCCGGGGACCACAGTGTGTAGTGGCAGAGCCCGGGCCTCCGACTCCTCGGGTCTGGGTGTGAGTTCTGGTTCTGCCGCTAGCCGTTTGTTGCCTAAGCTACAGGGATAGTAACAGTAACGACCACAGACGGTTGCTAGGATTCAGTGCAATGATGTATGGAAAATGCCTGGCACAGTGCAAGTGTGTGGAAGGGGAGGAAGAGGCGCCTTTGGAGTAGGAATGGAATAAATGTTTGCAAATTGAATGAAAACAGAAACGAGAGAAGGAGTAACATTCGTTCTAAACAGATCATACAGAAATGGTTTCTTTCTGCCTTTGGAATAACATATTATGATTCCCACTGCCGTGCCCCAAAGGCTTGCTTTCTAATTATGTCTTGTCTTTTCATCTTACTTAATTAAAAAGCGATGTACCGAGGGAGTTTGGGGTTCAGAGCTGTCACTCACAGCTCAGGCAGGGCTTTACACTGGAGAGTGGGGTCTCCCACCTCCACAGGCAAGGTCTGGGCTCCTACAGCCTAGGACTCACTGACTGGGGAAGGACAACCCAGGGTCATGTCTGGGACCTTCAGAAAACCTGTGTCTGACTCAGGGCGTGATGCCTGGGTGGGGGTGGGGTAGAGGGAGCTGATGCTGGGGGCAGGGGGCCTGAGAGGGGCAAGGCTGAGCTCTTTCAGTGTTTCAGACTGGGGCAGAAATGAGGGATGACAGTGACATTCACTTACAACTTTGTTGTTGTTGTTATTGAGACAGGGTCTGGCTGTGTCACCCGCGCTGGAGTGCAGTGGTATGAACATGGCTCACTGCAGCCTCGACCTCCCAGGCTCAAGTGATCCTCCTAGCTCAGACCCCTAAGCAGCTGGGATTACAGGCATGTGCCACCATGCCAGGCTAGGTTTTACAAATTTGTTGTAGAGATGGAGTCTCTTGCTTTGTTGCCCAGGCTGGTCTCAAACTCCTGGGTTCAAGTGATGCTCCTGCCTTAGCCTCCCGAAGTGCTGGGATTACCAGCATGAGCCATCTTGTCCAGCCCATTTACAACTTTTTAAAAACCTTTTTGGGACACAGATGTGCTGGTTGCAGCATAACCTATTTATAGAAACATACGTCAAAGGAACAGCAAGCCTACTTCTTAAACAAAGAGAGACAATTAACTGGAGACCTTCCTATACTGCGTAAAAGCTGTGGAATCAATTTCTTGAAGGGTGCCTATGCCTGCTGGACCTGACATGAAGCCAATCAGGGCCTCTTCATGCCATCCTTCCCCGCAACAGGGAAAAATCATGCCACAGGGTGGCAAGGCAGACAGTTTCAGGGATTTTCCTGAGAGTTTCCCAGAGCGAGTGGGCCAGATGTTTCTACTTTGCCCTAACAGTATTAGATTAATGAGGTCTAATCCTCTCACTGGAATTGGCCCTTTATGTCTCCATGTTCCATTCATCTTTGTAGAGTAATACTTTACCAGGTGTCAAAATAACTGCACAAGCAAAGGCATCTAGGAGGATGGGTGCAGGCAGTGGTAGCCCCAGCGCTCACTCACCTGCAGACGTGGGTGGTTCAGATTCCACATAGATGGGGACATTTAGGGGAGTTTATGTCTGAGGAACAAAACTGCAAGGGGTCTGAAAGGCACTGATGCAAAAGTGGAGACCTGCTACTCGCCTTCCTCAAGCATTTATTAAGCATGTATTATGTGCCAGGCCCTCTTCTGCGTGCTGGGGATACATCAGTGACCACAGCAAGCACACATCCCTGCTTGCACAGCGCTGGCATTCCAGTCTGCCTCTCCTTCCTTGTAGTTCTCTGTGGGGGATGTACATGACTTGTCATTCCATTGCATTCAGTGTTCAATAAATATTTGTTGGCACTGGGATCCACCAGGCAGCTAGCACCACGTCTTACCCACCTTTGCACCCCTAGAGATGAGCAGAGTGTCTACCCATGTAGATACTCATAAAATATTAAGTCTATTGTTTTAAAGACATTCTGCTGGATGTTAGGTTGCAGGAGTAGGGGCAGAAAGAACAAAACCAAGCCCAGGCCTTGCCTTTGAGCAGCTTATAATCTTGGGGAGAAAGCAGGAAACAAGTAAGATAGAAAAGTGACATATGGAATTAAACAATTAAGGAAATGGTTGGCAAGTAATGGGAGTCAGTTTCTCACTGTTGGAGTGGGAGGTTATGGATCAACAAGAAAAATCTAGAATAATCCATGTGTAATGGTTGAGATTTGGTGGCATTAGTATGAACTCATGTTTACCATTTTTTTTTTTTTTTTTGAGACAGGATCTTGCTCTGTTGCCCAGGCTAGCATGCAGTAGTGTGATCATAGCTCACTGTGACCTCAAACTCTTGGGCTCCAGTGATCCTCCCACTTTGGCTCCCAAGCACCTAGAACTACAGGTGTGTGCCACCATGCCCAGTTAACTTATTTATTATTCTGTAGAGACAGGGGTCTTGCTATGTTGCCCAGGCTGGTCTCAAACTCCTGGGCTCAAGTGATCCTCCTCTCTTGGCGTCTCAAAGTGTTGGGATTGCAGGTATGAGCCACCATGCCTGGCCCATCGTAACCATTTTTAAGTGTACTATTCAGTGGTATTAAATACATACATCATGTTGCATAACCATCACCACCCTCCATCTCCAGAACTCTTCTCATCTGGCAAAACTGAAACTCTGTATTCATTAAACACGAATACCCCAAGCCTTGCTCTCCAGCCCCTGGCAACCACCCTTCTACTTTCTGTCTCTATGAATTTAATTATTCTAAGCACCTCCTATAAGTGGAGCCATATGTTATTTGTCTTTTTGGAACTGGCTTATTTCACCTTGCACGATGTCTTCAAGGTTCATCCACGATGTAGCATGTGTCAGAATTTCCTTTCTTTGTAAAGCCTGGAGCATCTTGTAGTGCCAGAAAATCAAGACATGATCAATGGAACCCACAATGATAGGGGTCTGTGAAACTGTCACAGGAGCCCGTGGAACGAACTCCCAATGGCCACACCTGGAATAGCTTGAGTCACAAAGTAGTACTGGACTCTAATCCAAAGTAAATATCCGTGAGCCCATACTGATATAAATAGAAGATAGAATAAATAAAGAAAAGTAGGCTGGGTGCAGTGGCTCACTCCTGTAATCCCAGCACTTTGGGAGGCCGAGGCAGGTGGATCACTTGAGCCCAGGAGTTCAAGACCAGCCTGGCCAATGTGGTGAAACCCCGTCTGTACTAAAAATACAAAAATTAGCTGGGCATGGTGGTGTGGGCCTGTAGTCCCAGCTACTAGGGAAGCTGAGGCAGGAGAATCGCTTGAACCCAGGAGGAGGAGGTTGCAGTGAGCTGAGATGGCGCCACTGGACTCCAGCCTGGGTGACAGAGTGAGTAAATAAATAAATGAATGAAAGTAGACAAATATGAAGAAAACTTGCAAATAATTTTTGTAGCTGCTTTGCCCTTAAAGAGGTTGGGCATAATTCCTCATTTCTTTCTTTTCTGCTTTCTCCCTCCTCCCCAACCCCCTGTTCCTTAAGTGTGTGAGCTGTGCATAGTGACCTCCTTCCAGAGGGGACAGTGTGGAAAAGAGTATCTGCACAGTGGAGAAAGCTGACCAACACAGCCTCAGCCAGGCCATCAGGGCCGATGTCCACAGTGACAAGTCATGTTGATGGCAGGTCCCTTGAAATGATGTGATGAGAATAACACTTGACTTCTGCAGTCTTTCTCCCTCAAACCTGCCACCCAGATTTAAGCATGAGAAAAACAGACAAATTGCAGTTGAGGATCATTTTACAAAACACCTGAGCAAACACTTCTCAAAACTGTCGTGGTTATCAAAAACAGAGTCTGAGAGACTGTCACAACCAAGAGGAGCTTAGGGAGACAGGATGATTAAATGGGATATGGTATGTTGGGTGGGATCCTGGAAACAAAAAGGATATTAGATAAAAACTAAAGCAATCTGGGCTGGCTGGGCACAGTGGCTCATGCCTGTAATCCCAACACTTTGGGAGGCTGAGGTGGGAGGGCTGCTAGAGCCCAGGAGTTCAAGACCAGCCTGGGCAACATAGGAAGACCCTCATCTCTACAAAACATAAAAAATTAGCTGGGTGTAGTGGTGCGTGCCTGTAGTCCCACTACTTGGGGGGCTGAGGTGGGAGGAGTTCTTGAACCTGGGAAGTAGGGGCTGCAGTGAGCTATGATTGTGCCACGCACTCCAGCCTGGGAATCAGAGCGAGACTTTGTCTCTTAAACAAAACAAAACAAAACAATCAACCAACCAGCCGGGTGCGGTGGCTCATGCCTGTAATCCCAGCACTTTGGGAGGCCAAGGCAGGCAGATCATCTGAGGTTAGGAGTTCGAGACCAGCCTGGCCAACGTGGTGAAACCCCATCTCTACTAAAAATACAAAAATTAGCCGGGTGTGGTGGCGCATGCCTGTAATCCCAGCCACTTGGGAGGCTGAGGCAGGAGAATCACTTGAAGCTGGGAAGCGGAGGTTGCTATGAGCCGAGATCGTGCCACTGCACTCCAGCCTGGGCGACAAGAGTGAAACTCCATCTCAAACAAACAAACAAGCAATCAAAAAACAACAACAACCAACCAACCAAACCAAACCAAACCAAGCCAAACAGAAACCCTGAAGCAATCCAAATAATATGTGGACTTTGGTGAATAATCATGTATCAATATGGGTTCATTAATTGTGATGAATTTACCATGCTAATGTAAGATGTTAACAATAGGAGAAACTGAGTATGGGGTGTACAAAATGACTCGGCAATTTTTCTGTAAGTCTAAAATGATTCTAAAATAAAAAGTTAATTAAGAAAATGAAATATGCCCTGAAGAAAGATGGATAGAAAGGCGCCTTGGCAGTCAGAAGGAAGCAGAATGGGAAGCGGGTAGCAGGAAGAATCAGAACAAACACTAAATGGATTAGGGCATCAGGCTGCCCCGTGAAAGACTGTGGGCCCAGTTCCTGCCACCTTACTTCTCGCACACTGATGATGTTCTTTTGTCTTCGCCAGTTCTGAGCCACTACTGCTGGGTGTCTGCTCCTGGGGTACCTGCTGGCCCTGAATCACCCCTCTGGATTCCTGGGACTCCAGGAACTTTGGGATCCAGAGAAGCGAGCTCTTCCATCCCAGGACCCATGACTGCCCACGCTGTTGAGCTTCTGAGGGCAGGGACCATGTTTTCTCTCTCAGAGCCAGGGCTGCATGTTGGAACTGGCCCTGACAGTGTCAGTTAAACTTTCACGAAACAAATGTTCCTGAACTTGAAGCCATAGGACAGGACTCTGAAGATCACAGAATCACACAGTGAGAAAATGATGCCCTTTTCAGCTCTGCACCAGTCCTTCTCATGACAGAAAGGAGAGTGTCTCGGGTTGGTTCGAGGATGTCTTTAACCCCTCTCATCGTTGCCCGTCTCGACACAGAACCAAGAACAGGCGGGTCCTAGACTCAGACTCTAGTGGACGAATGTGTCCAGCAAAAGTAACAGCATTACTTTATTTTACAATTATCTTCAACGTATACCAAGTGATACTGGTTTTCCATTTATAATGGCAATGTAGCTTCCCTTGAGTTTGTTTTAAATTTTAATTCAATTTCAGACATACGGAAAAGTTGCGAGCATAGTAGAGTTCCTGGATGCCTTTCACCCAGATTCCCTTAGTGTTAATATTTTCTCCCAATCTCTCTCTCTGTGTCTCCCCCTACCTTCCCCACCAAACTACCTACCTACCTACCTACCTACACACACACACACACACACACACACACACACACACACTTTTTTTCTGAATTATTTAAAAGCATGCTGTTCTTTCACTGCCAGTCCTGGTAATGTCCTTTATGGCAAAAGAAAACCCCAGGCCATGCCTTGCGTTCAGTTGGGATCCCTCTTTTTTTTTCCTTTTTTTGCCATAGAGTTTCATTCTTGTCACCCAGGCTGGAGTGCAATGGCGTGGTCTCGGCTCACTGCAACCTCTGCCTCCCGGGTTCAAGCGATTCTCCTGTCTCAGCCTCCCGAAGTGCTGGGATTACAGGCACCCACCACCACGCCCGGCTAATTTTTTGTATTTTTAGTAGAGATGGGGTTTCACCATGTTGGCCAGGCTGGTCTTGAACTCCTGACCTCAGGTGATCCGCCTGCCTCGGCCTCCCAAAGTGCTGGGATTACAGGTGTGAGCCACCGCACCAGGCCTCTTTTACCTCTAAATGTGTCAGTACTCCAGTGTGTATTTCCTAAAAGCAAGACTATTTTATTACATAAGTATAGTACACTTTTCAAAATCAGGGAACTAACACTGATATAACCCTGTAGTCACTAGACCTCCTTCCTGTTTCACTGCCTGTCCTTGTAATGTCCTTTATGGCAAAAGAAAACGTCAGGTCATGCCTTGCCTTCACTCGGGATGCCTCTTTGACTCTTTTCATCTGAAACAGTTTTTGAGTCTTTGTATTCTATGACATTGGCATTTTTGAAAAGTACCTGCCAGATATTTTTTAAGATGTCTAAAAATTCCTTTTTAAATAAATTTAAGTTTTAAATAAGTGAGTCCACTTAAAGAAAAACTATCAAGTGACCCAAAGAACAAATGGTCTACAGATAAAGCAAAAACTGTGAAGATGTACATGGATTACAGTTTTGACAAATGTTGCCTTAAATCAACTTCCTTCTGCCCCTGGGGCTTCATCCCACTGGGATGGTCAGGCCTTGGGTCAGTGAGTTAAGAACAGTCAATAAAGTGGTGACACAAGGCTGTGCCAGCCTGTGTGCAGGGAGCTCACTCTCGGGGGCAGAGTCAGGGTTCTGGGCTCTCTGCCAGATACTAGTGAGGGGCTGGGAGGAAAGTGTGCTTTTGGGTGCGTGCAAGGTGCATACAAATCTCAAACATGTCTCAGTGAAAGAACAGGCAGGCCGGGCACAGTGACTCATGCCTGTAATCCCAGCACTATGGGAGGCTGAGGTGGGAGGATCGCTTGTGCCTAGGCATTTGAGAGTAACATGGTGAGACCTCGTGTCAAAAGAAAGAAAGAGAGAGAGAGGAGAGGAGGGAAGGAAGGAAGGAGAAAGAGAAAAAGAAAGAGAGAGAGAAAGAGAGCGAGATAAAGGAAGAAAAGAAAGAATGGAAAGAAAGAATTAGCTAGGAGTGGTGGCGTGTGCCTGTAGTCCCAGGTACTTGGGAGGCTGGGGTAGGAGGATTGATTGAGCTTGGGAGGTCAAGGCTGCAGTGAGCTATGATCATATCACTGCACTCCAGTCTGGGCAACAGGGCAAGACCCTGGCTCAGAAAAAAAAAAAGAAAAAGAAAGAAAGAACAAGCCATAAAATCAGGAAAGGAGAAGAGAGCTTGACAAAGCAGTAGGAAGACTTGAGTATGGGCAGAAGAGGTGAGTTTCCTGGAACAGGAAGGGAGGGAGGGGATCTTGGGGTTTTTACTGGGCAGAGCTCCAGGGTTAATGCTACTGCCATCACCCATGTACTTCAGAGGGGTCCCCACAGCCAGAGGGGCTTTGATGTTAGCAGGAGGACTTGGCTGCTTCCAGCCCTACACTAGCTATCCCCAGGGTAGGTGGCCTGGGGACGAAAGGCTGCGGTGGGTGGCCTTGCCTGGCCCTGGACCACAGAAGGGCTCTCTTACAGGATGGGTTGTTCTTGCTAGAGGGTGAGCGTGGGCATGAGCTGAGAGGGTCCTGCAGGGACAGACATGCGTCTGGGGCTGTACATCTCTAGCATGTACCGAGTCTCTCCTGCTGCACGCAGGATGCACCCACCTAGTCTTCAGGTTGCCAAGAAGGTGGGAGGACTGCAGGCAAGGGCAGCAAACGCAGAGCAGACTGCAGGAAGTCACGGCACCGGCCACAGAAGGGGGAAAAGAGGGTGACTATCGGAGTGATGCGATGAAGGGTATTGCTGTGTCTTGGCTATGCAGAAAAGTTGAGGGGGGCTACTGACCCCAGTTATTTTAGTATCTCATCCTCAGATAAGAAACAGCCTTCACCTGCCTTGAAACCAGGGCAGAGAGTGAGGCCTGGAGGGAGGGATGGTCACCCCAGAGGGGAGGCCATGGGAAGGAAGCGGAGCCCCATGGACCCAGTGCTGTTGTTTCTAGGGAGAGCCGTGTGTGTGACCTGGAGGCCATGGAGGGGAATGTGTCTGTGAGTGTCTGGACGAGGATCATTTTGTCTCCCCACTGTGTGGAAGAATGAAGAGGAGGCAGTGATTGTGGGCCTGGTCGGGCTAAGCGTAGGGAGGGGAGGCAGGAGACCTCGCAGGTAGAGGGACTCTTTGTGAGCAGGGGGCTTGAAGGAAAATGAATCTCAGCCAGAGCCCATGGCCCTGGGGACCACTCCCTCCCCTCCCCCTCCTTCTGCACTTGGTGGGTGGCTGGGCAAGTGGGACGAGCTGGGGGAAGGGAGCCAGGGAGGGGGCACCTGCCCTCAGCCAGGATAGGGCCCGGGTCCTCTGCGGAGGGGGTGGGGGATCCTTCCCCAGGACAGAACGTGTCATGGTCTCCCGGCCTCCCACCCACCCTCTCCCCCTCCAGCCTATCACCTTTCCATCTTCTCTCCTCCCCGCCCTCCTGCTTGCCCCGTGGTAGCTGCACTGACTGGCTGTGAACCTGGCTCCCCTGGTCCTAGCTGGGTGACCTTGAACTAGTCCCATGACTTCTCTGGGCTTCACTTTTCCCACAGGGAAGGTAACAGACGTTAGGAGACCTTAAGGCTCTGGGAGGTTTTGAGAATTAAGTGAGGCCACAATGTAAGGGGTCCAGCAAGTGCGGGGTTCGGGGCCAGGGAAGACAAAGGCTTTGTCTGGCTGCTCCTGCCTTCCACTGTCTGCTCAGGCACACCGCTCCCTCCCTCTGTCTTCCTCTTTTCCTCTCTGTCTCATGACTCTCTCTCCCCACCCCCCGCCCCCCTCCTTTGTCTCCCTTTGTTGCTATTTCGGTCCTTCCTCAATGATGTTGGTGAGAGGTGAGCCTCTTTTCATGTCAGGATGCCAGAACTCCGTCAAACTGGTAAACAGCTGAAGGATGTGGCGGGAGATGAACTTTCCACTGAAGCTTCTTTCAACCCATCCCTTCCCTGGGGCTCCCCTGCACCTCCCCACTCTGGAGACTCCATCCCATCCTCACGAAGCGAGGACGGGGGGCCGGGGACGGCGGCCAAGAGAGGTCCACGCCAGGTGGCCACACGGGCTCCAGCCGCTCTGTCCGTTCACCAGAACCATGAAGAGGGTCTTTGAGAGGGGCGGAAGTGGAAACCGCAGATGGGGCGATAGGGAGGGGTGGGGGATGGACAGGTGTACGTCGGAGGTGAGGTTTCCAGGGGACAAGGTTAGGGACCCGCAGGTGATGCCCTGCCAAGGAAGGAAAGCCAGTACCTGTGCTCCCTGGGAGCAGCCTCGGAGCCTGAGAGCCACATCCATGTGGGCCCTGGTGGGATAATCCTGCCAGAGCGTGCTCCTGACCTGGTCCCCTTGGGCTCTCTCAGATGTCTGGAGGATGCCAATTAATTGTGGGGCCTGAAGAGCTGTGTGTGGCTCCAGCTGGGCATTGGGAGGCACAGAAGTGAGCCTTTGGTGTGGATTGTACCTTCACATGGAAAGGAGGAGGGCAGGGGCAGTGGCAGCCAGGGCCCAGCCACACCATGTTCAGCTGATAGCCCTGGGAAAAACTGAACATTCTTGAGCCTGTTCCCTCAGTCATAAGATGGGGATGATGCTGGTTCTTCATGGGGCTGTTGAGAGCATACATGAGTCAGTACCTGCAGTGTGCTCAGAACAGTGCCCGACACACAGGTTCTGAGTGTGCCCTCAGGAATCGAAGCTATCATTAATGTCACCGTCATATTGTCATCATGGCTGGAGGCTGCTGTGTTGGAAAATCATCTCCCATGTCTGTGATCACTCTCCAAGTCCTGAATCCGTCTCCAACTCGTTCCCTCTTCTCCATCTCCCAGTGCTGACCACCCCCCAGCTGGCCTCCCTTCCTCCAGGCCCCAGCCCCATCAAACCTCCCTCCGCTTCATAGCGGCAACCTTTCTAGAGCATCCGTCTCATCGGATCACTTCCCTGCCTTAGAAACTGCTCGCAACTCCCAGCAGGTCTAAGACAATGACAAGGGTCAAGTTACACAAGACCCTTGGAGATGCTCCCCATGGTCTTTCCCACCTGCGCACCCCCTTTTCCCCTGGCCTTCAGGCGGCATGCACCATACTTGCACGTGTTGCTACTGAGAACATCCTTCACTCATCCATCCAGCAAACTCCTACACAACCTTCAATGGCCGACTTGATTGTTCCCTCTTTTGTCATGCTTTTCCCACTAAACCCTGGCAGTTAGTGGCTTCTTCCTCTCTGTCCACACAGCCTCTGTAGTGGTGTGGTGGAGCCCTACATGAGGCAAAAGTTATCTGCTTGGACAGCATGTGGGAGAAACTCAAATATGGGTAGCATCACTCTTCCCTTAGGAACGTTATCTGGGATACCAGAGAAGTAAAAAGAAGCAAGGAGCCCAAGAGGGTGCCCGGACGTCATTTCTGTATAAGAAGGGGTAGGCAGCAAGAGGGGTTCACATCTGCTTCTTTCTACATCAGAGACACAATTGTGTTTACCTTGGGTGGGCCGGGTGGGGAGGAAGGGGCAGGGTGGAGGGGGCAAGATTTTAATGGTATGAATTCATGTTGTTGGAGTTTTAATACGGTTAAGGTATTTCCCATTTTAAAAAAAGAAAGGGCTGGGCCCAGTGGCTCATGCCTATAATCCCAGCACTTTCGGAGGCTGAGGCAGGACGATCACTTGAGGTCAGGAGTTCAAGACTAGCCTGGCCAACATGACGAAACCCCATCTCCACTAAAAATACAAAAATTAGCTGGGCGTGGTGATGTGTGCCTGTAATCCCAGCTACTCGGGAGGCAGAGGCAGGAGAATTGCTTGAACCTGGGAGGCGGAGGTTGCAGTGAGATGAGACTCTGCCACTGCACTCCAGCCTGGGTGACAGAGAAAGACTCCATCCCAAAAAAAAAAAGAAAAGAAAAAAAAAAAGAAAAGAGAGAGAAAGAGAAGGAAGGGAGGAAGGAAGGAAAGAAGAAGGAAGGAAGGGATGGAGGGAGGGAGGGTAGGGAAGGAGGGAGGGAGGGAGGGAGGGAAGGAGGGAGAAAGGGAGGGAGGAGGGCAGACAGGGAGGGAGGGAGTGAGGGAAAGGAAAGAACACTCCCTTAGGAAGACGCCTGCATGTGAGTCTGCCCTGCTCTGGCTCCAAACCAGGTGTTTTCCCTGCAGCATTAGAGCAGCTCGTTGAAATGGTGGGCTTTGTTTCAGGCCCACCGTGTATGAAAAATGAATCCCCAACAGCTAAAATCTCACCCAGCATGGCAAGGTACCCACAGGATGAACGGCTTCCAGGATCTGAGGGAACGGAGGCTCCACAGCTCCTGTCTGTCTCCTCCTGGGTGTTTGTTCAACCAAGGGAAATATTGGGCTGGGTTGCCCCTTGTCTTTCTGTTTGCTGCTGAGCACACACTTAAGTTCATGTGGGTTAAACATGCTTATCATGAGCCCTCGCTGTGCGGCGTGGTGTTTTCACACTGGGGCTTTGCAGTGAGGTGGAAAAGTTGTGCTACCTGCCAAGCTGTGTGGCTTCTGGCTAGTCATCTAATCTCTCGGGGTTTCAGTTGCCCTATTTACGAATTAGGGAGAATAATACCTTCTCAGAGTGCCCTTATGAGGATTGTATGAAACAACACATACCTGGCACATAGTAAATGCTACCCACCGTCATCATCACCATGTTGATGAACGGCAGTTACTGGTCTCTCTCTGCCCCAGGTCCTGTAAACTCCCCAGCGGCAAGGGCCAGGCTCCATTCCTTTCTGTGCCTCCCAGAGCTCAGCACAGAGCTGGCTCTATAAGGGTGCCTGGTAGTGATGATTCTACATTCCCGAACCCCGTATCCCAGAATGCAGCCGGTGCCTGTGCTGTTGGTGGGCAGATAGGCCGGTGTCTCCAGATTCTAGGCTGGGGCTCTGGTAATAATGCCCAGCCGTGTGGCTGTGGTGGCACAGGGACACTGGAAGAGCCATGATTAACACTCAGACTCTGAAGCTAGGCTGTATTTAAGTCCCAGCACTGTCATTATTTAGCTGTGTGACCTTGGCTTTTTACTTAACCTCTCTGGGCCTCAATTTTCTCACCCATGAAATGGGGTTGGTGTGAGACTTGACCATCCCCAGCCTCATCTCCTCTCAAACTGGACCTCCCTTGACCTCGCGAGCCGTGCAGTTTCTTGCTGTGTCTTCGCTCGTGTCATTCCCTTGGCCTGGAATGCTTTTCCCTCTCCACGTCGGTGGTTCACTCCTATTCATCCTCTACAACCCAGATCAGGCATCAGCTTCCCAGGAATTCCCTGTGCATCACTCTCTGCCTGAGCTTGCAGAGCTGTCAGTCAAATTGCTGGGTGCTTCCGTTCTGGGACACAGCCTTTCCCCCCACGCCAATGTTTCTGGAACCACTGGGTTCCGCTGCCAAGTCCATTGAGCCTCTTTGTGTTTCCTGTCCCAGATCCTTGAGGCGTATTATAATGAGGTCTCCCAGGAGTGGAGGGGAAGCCACCTGCTTATGTTTGTGACTTCCCTGCCAGGCTGGTGCTCCTTCAGGTCAGAGCCTGGCTGTCATTCATCTCAGCTTTCCCAGTCTCAGCACAGGCCTGGCCCATGTCGGCTCAATAAGGTGCAGGTCCCAGGTCTGAGTCCCTGGGAGACATAGAGACAGGGGCCAGCTGGGATCAGCCCTCCTACTGTGTGTGGTGCTGTTTCTTCAGACTGCCCAGGGCTAGGGCAGAGCTTCCCAATTTCTCAGAGACTGTGGGGGGCCCTGGGTGGGAGAGCTGGGGTGAGAGAGGCAGCTCCGGGGAGGTTGGGGAAATGGGGGTGACTCAGAAGGCATTGCCATCTCCCTGTGTGAGCTGGGGCGGGCACGAGGTGGGGAAGGATTGAATTGTGACTCTGTTACTAACTCTCAGTGACCTTGGACAGGTCCTTTCCCACCCTAGGTCTCAGTGTCCTCACCTGTAAAATGAGAGTGGGACAAGACATTCTCCATGTTCCCCCAACCCTTGCCCCGCCCTGCCCCCAGCACTAACGCACTGAAGACCCCAGGCACTGCTGAGTGCCTCCTGGCTTCCCCTTTCTCCTTTTAAGGAGCGCTCTCACCTGCAGTGATTAATCTACCAATGACGGGGTCATTTACTACCAACCCTCTAACCCTCACCACCACCTGTGAGTTACCCACTACTGCCCACACATTCTACAGACCAACTTACAGCAAACAAAGTCTCAGAGATGTTGAGTGATTTGCCTGAGGCCACACTGCCAGGAGGGGTGGAGTGGGGAGTTGAACACAGGCTTTCACAAGCCCCCTGCCGCTGAGTCTGCCCCACCTACCCCAGAAGTGGCTCCTCCCCTAGGAATCCCCCGCCACCCTGGGGAGGGTTCAGAGGGCCCGAGGAGGGGGCCCAACACTGCCAACCACATCCTGTGACGGTTGCCCTGGGGAGCGCGGCTTTCTCTCCACCTCTGGGACAGGTGAATGGAAAGCAGGCCCCGCCCACCACACAGCCCCACCTCCTTCATGATCCGCCCCTCCCGAGACGGCTCGGAGAAAACCTGAGCCCCAACCCTCACCCCGCAGGCAGAGCTGGGCACTGGCCATGGCAGCAGGGATAAAGTCATAGCCCTGAATGGGCAGAGGACTGGAGGCAATGCCGATTTCTCAGTGCGGATCCGCTCCAGTCCCCTCCAGCGCCACCAGCCTCATCCCCACTTCCTTCTGGGGTGGTGCAATCCTTTTCCAGGCAACTCTAAGCATAAAACTCCCTGGAATTATACTACCTTTGAAGATTTGGGGGCTCAGGCGGGAACTCATTCAGTGCAGTAACCCCTGCCGCTGAGCCCAGGGCTGCTGTGGAGCAGCCCAGGGAGGCAGTGAGGTTGAGTTCTCATAGACCCTGCCTCTCAGTCTGTCAGGTTCTGTTTTCCTATCCCCAGTGTTAAAAAAATGTTTTTGAGATAGAGTCTCACTCTCACCCAGGCTGGAGTGCAGTGATGTGATCATTCATGGCTCACTGCAGCCTCAAATTCCTGGGCTCAAGCGACCTCCCTGCTTCAGCCTCCCAAGTAGCTGGGACTACAGGTGTGCACCACCATACCTGGATGATTTTCAATTTTTTTTTTCGGTAGAGACAGGGTCTCACTATGTTGTCCAGGCTGGTCTTGAACTTCTGGGCTAAAGTGATCCTCCTGCCTTGGCCTCCCAAAATGCTGAGATTACAGGCGTGAGCCACGGTGCCCGGCCTCCCCAGTGTTTTTTATGGTGCTGAGCCACCGTGGGTTTTCCAGTTCCCTAGCATTTCCTCCTAAACAGATAGAGTTGCCCCCACCATTGCCACAACCTGACTTCTCCCTGACACGCACACACACACATGCACACACACACACACACACTCTGAACATGGAGCAGTTGCTGTTGGTGCTTTTCCTGGACCATTCCCATGGAAGATGGTTCCTTATAGCATGTGCCTCTGACCCTCTGCCTGTGGCTTCTCCCGACACAGCGTGTGCCCAGCTCACTCACAGGCCGCTCGGTAGTGCTGGGGCTGGGGGTTAATGTCTCCTCAACCAATGACAGGCAGAGAGGGTGGGTCAATATCCCAGCTCCCTGCCCCCTTGGTGGGACAATTCTGAGGTGTGTCTCCCAGAGGTCCCCAGCACCATTGAGCTCTGGCTGCCCATAATAGCAACCTGTTCATGAACATTGTCTTCCTTCCTTCCCCCTCTTTCTTCCTCATTTTCTTACTGCTGCTCCCTGGGATTACTTCCCAAATAAAAGATTTGAGCTCAACTCTTTGTCTCATTTGTATCCAACATATGCCACACACACACACACACACACATGCACATACATGCCACACACACGTGCACACACACATGCAGCCTGGGTTCTATGAGGTTTAAGAAATTGTCATTCCACGCCCTGGTTTCATTCAGCAATTCAGTTTAATCTCAGGATACTCAGAGCAGGACAACAAAGCCTGGTCTGAGCCCATGGGCCTCTCTCTGGGGGCTGCACGGAGACGTTTGCAGCCCCGGGTGCAACACCACATAGTCACGCATCCCTCCCAGGAGCATCCTCATCAATTCAAGGAGACACATGGGGACTCGGGGCCTAGTGCAGCTTCTGAGCCCCTTCCTGGAAAACATCTCTATGCTCCTTGCCCCCATGGAGACTGGGCCCCTATCTCTGGGATCTGTGGTGGGGCTGGGCTGGGGCCCTCTTTGTAAACCATAGGAAACTCAGAATAAAGACCCATTGTCCAGGGACAGTCACTGCAGAACTGGTCTGTGCCCCTGGCGGACTTGGAGTGTCTCTGGGGCAGGACTGGCCTTGGGCCCCAGCTCCTTGGTTGGGGGTACACAGTCAACCTGTCATTGTCAGCTAGTTGTGCCCAGGAAGGCTATATTCCCTGCCCAAGTGCAGTTACCGCCCGGAGCAAAGCCTGGGACAGCTGGTGTGCTACCCTACCCCCCCAGCGCCCACCGATCAGTGACAACAGCTCAGCAGACCCTAGTATATGGGCCCTCCTGCAGCAGCACTGGCATGGGGGTCCAGTTCTGCCCCTCGCAGGACCTCTGGGCCCTGAAGTGTCAGAAACTCAGGCAATCAAAGCGCCGGACACTTGAGGTTTGGAAGGGGCCTCCAGAGTCATCCAGTCCAGCTCCCCAACTCCCCTCCACCAGCTGTCAAGAGGTAGCCCAGACTCTGCTTGTTCATCCCCGAGACAGAGGGCTCACACCTCTTGGAGGCAGCATCCTCCCTGGGGCTGCTATCTGGGGCCGGGGGAGGGCTGTGGCAGCAGGTTTGGCTTGATGGATGGAGACCGAGGGGTACAAGGTATAACGTTTCCTTCCATCTCTCCAAGGGAGGCCTCTCAGCTCCATGGGGAGGTGAGCTGGGAGGGTGGGAAAGGGGAAAGGGAGTAGGTAGAGCAGGAGGCCAGAGGGTCAGAGCCACCCCAGGAGCCTCGGCTGGCCCCGGCCTAGGCTGCGCTGATGTCATCGTAGTCATCGTTGTCGGTGGAGTCAGGCTGAGGGCTGGGGGACCCTGTGGGCAGAGAGGCCCAGATTAGTGGGAGACCCAGTCATTGCCCTGCTGCCCCACAGGACGGAGCTGAGTGGTTCTGGCTCCACATCACTATCCCCGTGGGATGCTGCATGAAGCCATCTGATCATCTTGCTTCCGGCCATGTCCCTGACTAGAACATCAGCACTGAGGGAATAGCCTCGTCTGTCTGGTTCAGGGCTATGGTCTCCACAATGGCACACTGCACGACACGGTGGACGATTGAATGTTGGAAGCCCCTCTGCTACCACAGTCTCCCCCAAGGAGCCAACCAGCTGCTTCTGCTTGAATGCCTCCACTGACAGGGAGCTCACTTCTTATCAAAGCAACCTGTTTGACTATTTCTCCATCCCGTCCACATCCATTTTCCCCACCTCTTCATATTCTTGTTGTGCTTGTGTTTGTTTTCTTGTAGAAAGAGGGTCTTGCTCTGACCCTGCAGGGGCATGATACACAGTGATACGATCATAGCTCACTGCAGCCTGGATCTCCTGGGCTCACACGATCCTCCCACCTCAGCCTCCTGAGGAGCTGGGACTATAGGCACGTGCTACCCTTGGCTAATATTTAGTTTTTAGTTTTGTAGAGACTGGTCTTGCTATGTTCCCGGGGCTAGTCGTAAATTCCTGGCCTCAAGCAATCCTCCTGCCTTGTGCTGGGATTACAGGCTTGAGCTACCATGCCTGGCCTTGCTTTGTTTTTTAAAAAGTTACTTTCCCTCTCTTCTTTTACCCTTCCTTTCTCCTTTTCCCCTTGAGCGAATGCATCCAATAGTTCCCCACTCATTTACTCCCCAGTCCCTCTCTGTCCCCCTCCCACATCCCTTCCCCAGATATTGGCACCTGGACAGCCAAACTGCTCCTCCGAAGGGGGCTGGGGTGGTGGCTGGAAGTTCTGGTACCACTCCCCGGATGAGGTGCTGGAGCTGTCATCAGCCGGGGGCCCTGCTGGAAACCCCCAGAACCAGTCACCCTCTGCCAGCACACAGCCACTTCTCAAGTTGCCAGAGCTGGGGGGCCCACGTGACTCACGAGAGCCAAGTCCCTAGCTTGGCAAATGACAAAGTGAAGGCCCAGAGATGGGAGATGTGTCCAAGGGCACACAGCGAATGGCTGCGGAACTGGGTAGAATCCTGACCTCAGCCTGACTCAGGGCTCCCAGCTTTATGCCTCCTCCAGCCAGGCTGGCTATGGGATGGGGGTTTGGGGGAGGCACAGCTTACCTGAAAAGGCTGGCTGGGTGCCGGCCAGCTCCAAGTTTGGGGGCTGCTCCAGGAAGGAACTCCTCTCTGAAGAAAACACCTGGGGGTTCCATGGAGGCAGCTTGCTTTTGGGACTATTGCAGTAATCCTCCCCTGAAGAGGTGCTCGACTCACTGTTGCTCCTCGGGTGATACTGAGGGCCCAGGGATGGCGGGTCTGTAATGCAGTGTCCAGGGTTGGCAGTTGGGATGTGGGAGGCATGCAACTCTTCAAGTCCTAAGGCAGGAAAGGGAGAATGGTGACGAAAGAAGCAGTGCAGCAAGAGGGCTTTAAGTCAGACTTCAGAAAGCACTTACTGCCTATAGGATTTGTGAAAGTCAGGAAAGACTCATTGAGGGAGGTTCCTGCTGGAAGGTCTCAAGCTGAGCTGAGCTACTCTCTGGAGGTGGGACTGCCATTCACACCCCTTCCCATCCTGACTCACCTTCCTCCAAGGGTGGCATCTGGAACCTGCTTTGCTGGACCTCCTCATCTGTGACCCGATGCCGCTGGGAATCTGCAAGCAGAGGCGGTGGTGGGGAGGGGTGAAGGCTCAACCTCATCATTTAGGAGCCTGGAGAAGAGGCTGGATTTCCCGGGGCCTGGGTAGGCTGAATAGGGTGGGAGGACAACTCCGGAGGCAGAGAGGGCTTAGCATTTCCCATCAAATTCCAGGTTCATATCCCAATCCAGCAGAGCCTTCGCCTTAATCTAGCCTGGGGACAGAAACTCTAGTGCCCTACAACCCCCCAGCCCCCAGCCCCAGCTGTCCCTCCTGCTACTTAGAGAGGTATCAAGAGTCTTGGTTCTGTCCTTGTGACCTGGCAGCTCTGGGCAGGAGAAGGACAGATGTTTGCTCCTTCAAGAAGCCTTCCTAGAGTGAAACCCAGATGGTCTGGAATCACTGCATCACAGGCTCTGTGGCACCTTCACGTTTCAGAATCAGAGATTTATAGAGTCTTGAGGATATGAGTGTCTGGGATCTTGGAGTCAGCTCTTTTGAACCGGGTACCACTGACTTTTAATTTCAATGTTATAGCACTGTGGACTCTCAGTCTTGCATCTTATATGCCTGGGCTCGGAATCTCAGGTTCGACAGACACTTCATCCCTGTGGCGCCCAAACACTGGTCCACAGGCCAGAAGAAGTGGAATCATCCGTGTCCCACCCCCAGAAGCCCTGGGTTAGCAGGCGGGGCAGGGACGGCTGTCTGTTCCCCAATATCCATTCTGGCTTTTATCTGGACACAGCTGCCCAGGACAGAGCCTTCGTTTCCCTGCCTCTCTTGCAGCTAGTGGGTTTTCGTTCTGGGTGCTGGGTTGTGAGCGGGAATCTGTGGCCATCTCCAGCATCCCATCGTTCCCTTGCCCTTGCCTGGAATGTGGACATGGAGGTGAGCCATTCTGGACCATGTAGATGAAGGCAACATCTTAGGGACTGCACAGCAGCAAGAAAGAAGGGGCCTGGGCCCCTGCCAACCTCTCAAGACACTGTCATTTGGAGCTTTCTGTCACACACAGCCAAATTCTCATCCTGACTGATAACATTAGGTGTGGGGAGGGGCTCAGGAATTTTTGACAAGCTCCCAAGTGATTCCACAATAAGGTGTGGGACGCTCTGGTCTATTCCAACCTCCCAGCATTGCCAGGGAACTGCCTTCAGCGTTATCTTTCCTCTTCCTATCCCCAGAAGGCAATGAAAAGAGCTGGCTATGAGGCACAAGCTGGCAAGAGCGTGGAGGTGAGGAAGTGAGTGGGGCTGATGGGGTCAGACAGGGCAGGATGGGACACGGAGGGATATGGCATGCGAGAACCCCTGCCAACTGTGTCTCTCATCCGCACTCCCCCGCTCTCACACAGAGAGCCATCTTCAGGTGAATGTCAAAGGCCTGGTCTTAAGACCTTACGTGGCCAGAGACAAACATGGGAGAGACAGAGGTCAGAGTGGAGATGTCCTGAGACATCGAGATGACCCCAGGGTCACAAAGCACGGTGCAAACGTCAGTGTAGGACCATTTACAGTCAATCCAGTGGGTAACCAGGGGGATTCTGTCTGCATCATGCAGGGGTTACTAGGTGGGACTACTGACCTGACGGTCCCCTCGGGGCCCCCTCCCAGATTCAGGTAGGTGGGCCCTCGGGAGCCCGGCCAGGCACTCACTGTAGAAGGTGGTCAGGGCCACAGGAGGCTGGGCGCTGAAGTCATAGTGCTCATAGTCTGAGTCCGAGCCAGAGTCTGAGTCCTCAGGGGGCGGGGCCTGGACCTGGATGGGCAGCATGAAAACTGGGGAGAGAACAGAGTCGAGGGCATGGCAAAGTGGTGGGCGGAAAGGTGTAGGGAGGGATGGTAGAGTATGAACGGCAGAGGTGAGAGGCAGAGTAGCAGGGGAGCACCAAGTAGCCCCCTTTTTTTTTCTTTCTTTTCTGGGACAGGGTCTCACTCTGTTGTCCAGGCTGGAGTACAGTGGTGCCATCACAGCTCACTGCAGCATTGACCTCCTGGGCTCAGGCGATCCTCCCACCTCAGCCTCCCGAGTAGCTGGGACCACAGGCATGCACCATCACGCCCAGCTAATTTTTGAATTTTTTGTAGAGACAGGTTTTCACCATGTTGCCCAGGCTGTTCTCAAACTCCTGGGCTCAAGCGATCCATCCCCCTCGGCCTCCCAAAATGCGGGGACTACAGGCATCCACCAGTGTGCCCAACCTGGGTAGCCCATCTTGTACAAGCCACCCAGTCTGAAGTTTCTAGGCTGCCTTCGTTCATTTCCAATATGGAGAACTAAACATTTATTTAGCAAACGCTTAACACAGCACTTACTATATGTGAGGCACTATTCTAACACTTACAAGTATTACCTCATTTAACCCTCATGATAACTCTGTGAAGTGGGTACATTATTATCCCCATTTTGCCTTGGAGGGAACTGAGGCACAGACAGGTTCTTACCTGGCCCAGAGCCGGCAGTCTGGCTCTAAACCTCTAGACTGTGCTATTCAGTGAGCAGCTGCCTTATGCTAAGCCTTATGCTAGATGCTGTATTCACATTCTCTTTTCATATATATGGACTCTCTGTGCAAAGGATATTTATAATATTTGGCTGAGTTTTGTATTGGTTTTTATGTCATTGAACTCTTTCCGATAAAGGTGATTGAATACATTCATAATGCAAGGTGATTAAGCTCAAATTCCTCTGCAAGAGGTATAAATCCATATATCATAAAGGATGAATGACTGAACCTTTTCTTTTTTTTTTTTTTTGAGACAGAGTCTTGCTCTGTCGCCCAGGCTGGAGTGCAGTGGCGTGATCTCGGCTCACTGCAACCTCCGCCTCCCAGGTTCAAGCGATTCTCCTGCCTCAGCTTCCCAAGTAGCTGGGATTACAGGTGCACGCCACCACACCTGTCTAATTTTTGCATTTTTTGTAGAGACAGGGTTTCACCATGTTGGCCAGGCTGGTCTCCAACTCCTGACCTCAAGTGATCTGCCCACCTCAGGTTCCCAAAGTGCTGGGATTACAGGCGTGAGCCACTGTACCCAGCCCCAATTTGTTTTTTTGTTTAGAAAATATGAACTATGAAATAAAACCACATTCTAGGAGAATCTTGATGGGGCTTCGCAAGGCCAATTGGGCAGGACATTGATAGGGATGATGATATCACAAGCCTACTAGCCAACTAGCAGAGCAAAGCAGAACAGAGCTTTCCTCTGAGAACCAAGATCTAAAACGTGCTTTGCCTGTATTTGTCCAGAACTCAAAACTCTATAGAGTCCTAGCATGACTGAACTGGAAGGTCATCTGCCCTTCAATGTCCAGGGACGACTTGAGCCTGCTCAAGGTCCCAGGGCCGGGAGTGGGCTGGCCCAGATCTCATCTCCAGCTGTGTGTACGTCTTGGACCTAAGTGGTGCTGACCTTCCAGAAAGCTCACCCTTCTTGTCCTCCCCAGCCCTCCCACACCCAGGATGGGGGACATCCTACCTTCTTTGGGGATGGTGATGGGGACCGGTTGATAGCTATTGCTCCCTGCCGGGATGGTGGTGGGTAGGTGCTGGTGGTTCACCATTACGGGGAGGGCTGAGGGAGGGGAGGCAGAAATTCTACAAGTCATTTTTTTGCCCTCTCCCAGTCTACCTGGTTCCGTTCTGTTCTCATCGACACACCACCCTCCTCATTCCCCCAACACTTGCAGGCACATGTGCGCGCGCACAAACACACACACAAACACAGGCACACACACACATGCACAGTCTGGTTCTCCCCGCTGGTGCGTCCATGACTGCTGGGCATGCTGGGAAAATCCTTTCCACCTTGGGGATCTCCCCAGGGCCAGGGCCGGGTGGTCATTGCTGGACCACGCCACTGCTGCTGGGGTTCTGCCAAGGCTCACATCCCCCTGGGATGGCCATGGCTCCCAGAACCTTGCACTTACCATATTTTCCTTTAATTCTCAAGAGGATGAAGGCTATGAAGATGAGGGAGCCAAGGAGGAGAATTCCCAGAACGATGGAGGGGATGAGGAGCATTAGCTCCCGAGATTCCTTGTTCTCTATTTTCACTGTCACAGAAGATTCTGGAAACAAGAATTCCAATTCAGGAAGAAAGAGGAATGGGCACTCACCCTTCTTCTTGCCTTTCCATTCTCTGTAAAGCTGACCTGCTTCCCTTTTTATGTTATCTTCCTCCTTGCTTCCTTTTTCCAATTTTCTCATTGCTTTTAAGTGTGTGGTGTATATTAGGCGCTCAATAAATGCATATTGAATGCATGAGCAATTGATTAAATGAATTACTGCCTGAAATAGAACTCTGGCCACCAGGCTGCAGAGATCTATCTGTCTGCTAGCTCTTCAGTATGTAGTCTTTGTTCAATAGACAACTATTGAGTACCCGCTGTGTGCCTGGCCCTAGACCCTGGGGCTACACATAAGACAACAGTATCACAGGCCTTGAGGGGCTTTGTCTAGCGGAGAGATCAATAAGTAACCCAGTCCAGTATGATGAGGCACCCGCTGTGATGGAGGTTTGAACAGCGACACTGGGGGCATGAGGCCCTACAAAAGGCACTTCATTCTCTGTGAGGGAAGACCAACGCTGACTTCCCAGAGACAGTGACTCTGAGCCACCTCTGGCAGTGAACAGACCATCAGAAGAGCTGTGCCTGAGTCCCCCCTCCTTCCCACCAGACATCCCCTCCATGAGGACGGGAGTGGGGTCTGGGATTCAGGGTCTCCCACCTCTGCAGCCCCACTCAGGGGTGACTTCTTGCCCTCCCCCTCCCTCAGCCTCCCCTCTGCTTAAAAGAATGTGAAGCACAAGAATGGATACAGGGGTCAGTGAGGAGGGTTCCTGGAGTGAGCAGACCACAGGGCTAGATGACTAGTAGTGACAGCAACGGGGAGGGAGATGAGATCATCCAGACCTCTTTGCTGGGGGCAGAGTCTGCTTCCCCTGGGAGAGAACCCTCTCCCTGTCTTCATTTTCTCCTCTCCCCGTCTTCATTTTCTCCTCTCCCCTCTCTGTCTGCAAATGGGGAAGTTTGGGCCAGGATGGGAGCTGGATCTGGCAGCAGGAAGCAGATGTGAGAGTGAGGCTGGGTGTTGCGGCCATGGGGAGACCCGTGAATGTGGGTACAGAGGGCCGTGGCCGAGGGAGGGGCTGATGGACCAAGGGCCGGGGTGTGGTCCCTGGATCTCTCTTTGTGCTTCACTCTTTGCCCTTCCAGGATGGCGTGGATCCCCACTCCAACCTCAGGAAGAGAAAGCGTGTGCAGGTTGCCTGCGGGGCCTGGCAGGAGCTTGCCCGGCAGCCTGTGCAGTTGTACATTTCATTTCCTCTCTGTGCTGTCATCTATGGCTAAGGCCTCTGTGCCCTCTCCCCAAACCCCTGTTCACTGCTTCTGGGTGTCTGAGAGAAGATGACAGAGAGCTAGGAGGCAGAGCAAGGGAGTCCTGTGGGTATCCCAGGACTGCAAAGGGGCTCAATGCCTGAACTAAATACTCATAGCAACAGCAGACTTTCGGACAGTTCTTACTGTCTTTGAGGCTCTGTTCTAAGTGCTTTACAAAAATTAATTCACTGGAGCCTCACAGCAATGCTAGGAGAAAGTACTATATGCTTATCACCCCCATTTTATAATTGAGGTGTCTGAGGCTCAGAGAGGTTCCGAGTTGCCCAACAGGGCACAGCTAGCAAGAGGCACAGCTGGGAGTTGAGTCCTGGGAGTCTGCTCTGATGCCAGCCAAGCTACACGCAGCTGGTGGGTAGACCAAGAATGGATCTGGAATTCAGAGCCTTGGTTGTCAGTTCTGGCCAGCAATCTCTAGCTGTGACTTCAGCCTCGGAGCCTCAGCTCCTTTCTTGATGTAAGGGTTATAATAAGACCTCTCCCATTTGGCTACCAAGAGGATTAAAGGGTTGGGAAATAATGGCTATAAAGCCCTAGGCCCAGTGTCTGGCCGGTTATGAACACAGGGCTGTGTGCTGGCATTCCCGCTACCCAGCTGGGCCAAGATCACCCTCCCCCTGCTGCCCCGACCCTGACCCCTGCTTGAGGTGGTATCAGCTCTCTCCAGCTCTTTCCTTCTGCCCTCCAGCAGCTCACAGGAAAGTGGGGGAATGGACTTCTGTCCAGGAAGTATCAGGACTCAGTGATCTATGGGCTGACTTGGCAAGGAGGGGATGTAGAAGGAGCAGAAATGCCACCCAGAGAGCCCCGGGGAGGCAAGTCCATTGGCTGGAGGTGGAGGATGAGGACCAAACCATCCTCCACCCCAACACAGGTGTGCACAGGAACACACACACACACACACACACACACGTCCAAGCTTCTGAGAAACCGCGTAGTACCCAGCAACACTTACCTATAGTGACTGTCTGAACACTTGCAGGGACTTCGGGAGTGGACAGATTGTGCAAACTCCGGGAAGCTGTCAGAAAGCACCGCCCAGTCACTCAATGCATGTTACTGAGCACCTACTGTGTGCCAGGCCTTGGGTTAGAAACTGAATGGGACAGACAAGTGACCCAGAACTAGGGTTGTGCTCCCATCAGGGACACGTGGCTAAGGAAACTTACCTCCCTCCCCTACCCCACCCCCCACAGTAAGGAGGAACTCATGGATTAAATGCTGGGAAGGCTCTTTGGTTAAAATAAAGGGCTAATAGAATTATCCCTTCTTTCTGTGTAAGCTGCTACAGACCACAAATCCGTTTTCCATTCAGTTTCAGTTTGTTCTTAATCAGCCTAGGGAGATGAAGAGCGGACATTATCTTCATTATCATAATCGGCATTCCCGTTGGGCAGGTAGGCTCACAAAGAAATGAGCTTAGAAGTCCCTCAGCAGATACTATCAGGTTTCCCAGCTATCCTGCGAAGTGCCTAGTATCAGCATCCACACATGGAGGTTAAGGGACTGTCGGAAGCCTCCTTGCTCGTAAATGGCAGAGCTGGAATTTGTAATCTGGTGTCTGAATGCCGTAAGAATGCAAATACCATGTTTCTTCAGATCTATCTAACACTCACGTTTTTTCAAACTTTAACACGTCTGAAATTGGGATAATGGCCTCAGTCATTACGTTTGGTGGTTTATTTTGGCAGTGTTCGTTCTTCTTTATGGTACATAAAATAATAATGGTGTGACATAAACAATGCCATCTTAGATTTGGCGAGATATGGTGGAACCCAACTCATAGAGTGGGTATGAGGCTCAGCTGAAATAAGAGCTACTTAGTGCTTAACAATGCCTAGCATATGATCAGGGTTCCAGAAGCTGTCACCGATATTATTACTAGGGCCTGCTAATATTATTTTTACTATCATCACCAGGCCTGGGATGGCAAATTGGTGTCAACTCTTGAGTCAATCCCAGTCAAGAGGAACCATTGCTTAGCATATAATGTCTTCATATATGATTCATCATTCTGGGGCTGAGTGGAGCATCTGAAAATACCTCGATGAATTAGCACTGTCTGCCTGGGCACCGTAAGGACAACAGTCCTTCTTATGCCATATGTGCCATTGCCGATCTGGTGCCTATTGTGGTCCTTGGACTGTAAGTTTTTAGGACATGGATTCAGGTAGAATTCTGGCTCAAATCTGGGGGGGTGGAGTAGGATGGGGTACCTGAGCAGAGGACCCTGGCTGCCAGCGACTGGCTGCAGAGGTTGGAGTTGTTGAACCGCCAGGAGCAGTTGGAGAGGGTGAGCTCCTCCCCATTGCATGAGTAGTACATCCTGCCGGACAAGGAGTGGGGCAGCCCCTTGGGCCTCTCAACCGCAGTTCCACAGCCCAAGGACTGGCAGAGCACCTTGGCCTCCGATGGGTACCACTCACTGTCACACACTGTGTTCCAGACCCCTCGGAAGTGTACCTCCACCTGCCCCTCGCAGCGGTCAGCGCCCCCTGTCAGGCGCCAGGACTGGTGCTCTGCAGGGAAGGGGCAGGGGACAGAGTCAGGTCAGAATCCTTTGGGCAGAAATTCCCGCCAGCCCAGACCCACCAGTGCAGGCACCAATGCAGCCATTTGGTCTCCAGATCTTGTGTCTTCTCCCTCCTGTGTCTGTGTCCCCCTGTCACCTGCCCCATTTGCTCTGGCCAACCCTGCTGTGATAAGTGTGGTCTGTGGAGCAGCAGCATCGGCATTGCCTGGGATCTTGTTAGAAACGCAGACTCTGGAGCTCTGCCTCAGACCTACTGAATCAGAATCTACATTTTAACACCCCCACCTCCCCCATCTCCTGCTTATCAAAGAGAGGCACTGGCTGGTCCAGAACCTTCTGGCCCCACCTGGACAGACCAACAGCCTCCTCAGAGGCCTCCCTCCCTTCAGTCTCCCCTTGCTGCTTGAATGCAGGTGGCCAACTCCCACTCGGGAAGAGTCTCACTTTTAATGTCACCTCTTCCGGGAGGTGGTCAGCCTTAGCCTACAGCTCCGCATGGTCTGCTGCCTCTAGACTCCACCTGACTGCCTTTCTTGGGGGCATTTACCACTTTCTCTCCTGAATTATGTTTGTCTCAGTCTCATCTCCCCTCCTGAACTGTGACATCTCAAGGGCAGGGACCACCTCTCCGGCACTAACTCCAGGCTTGGCGCCCAGTAGGCCTATGGTGAGTGTTGGTAGTGACCGGGCTTCAGTGACTCCGCCCACTGACCTGAGCACACCGCGCCCGCGTCCTCTTTGTGGCCGCAGTAGTGCTGTCCTGGCAGCCCCGGGCAGTCCCACAGGTAAGCTTCGGCCCCCGAGCAGTTCACCTGGTCCCGGTGGATAGGCCCGCGGCCGGGCGTGAAGTGCAAGCCGGGCAGGGCCTGGACTGCCCAGCCGCAGCCCAGTTGCCTGCACACCACGTGGGCGTCCTCCAGGTCCCAAGTGTCATCGCACACTGATCCCCACTCGCCATGCTCCAGCATCTCCACGCGGCCGGCGCAGGCGCCGCCACCGTCCACCAGGCGCAGCGCGCGGTTCTCTAGGGGTGGGAGGGGGTTGTGGATGCTGGGGCACCCGACCAGGAAGGGAGGGTTGGGGTGATGGTTGGACTGGCCGGAGAGTTGTGAGCGTGTTGTGGACCCAGTGAGAGGGCTGTAGCCCGGTAGGCAAGACTGGGAATCCCCCCAGGACTGCAGATGGGTTAGGTAGAGCCGCAGGCTGGTGGGAGGGACCAGAGACCTGGTGGGCGGGGCCTGGAGGGCAGGTTTGGGAGCCTGGGAGCCACAGCGCTTAGGGACCCTGTGAACCTGGCATGTTTATGTATATGGCGAAAGGGGAGGAGAGACCCAGAGCGGGCGGGGACAGGGAAGCGGCGGGCCCAGTAAGTGGGGTTAGAGACCGGGTTAGCTTTGGGAACCCAGGGGTGGGACTAGGAACCAAGTGTGGGGGTGGAGTCTGGAGGCCAGATCCAAGGAAACGCTCAGATCTGGAAATGACTCGAGGTCGTCCTCCGGTGTGGGAACCCGGTGCGTTTGCACTGGTAGGCGGTGGGGGTGGAGGTCTGGAGGGCGAGGCTTGCGTCCAGGGTCTGGAGCCAGGGGCAGTGGCTGAAGGCCTGGGGAGTGGGGCAGGTGGGGGCCCGTGTAGGGGGTGCGCTCGTACCTGCACAGGTGACACGGGCCCGCCTCCCGTCGCTGCGGCACGCGTGCTCCACCACCTCGCAGAGCCGCCACTCGGCGCCGCTGCACAGGAGGGCGGGCGCCCCGGCCAGAGTGGCATTAGCTGCTACGCTGGTGTTCCCGGCTGCAGGCGGGGGCGGCAGCTCAGGGGTCGGCGGGGCGAGCTGAGAGGCGGCCTCCGCCCCGCCGCAGCCCAGTGCTCGGCACACGGCCTCGGCGGCGCGGCTGTCCCAGAGCGCCCCGCACGCGGGCTCCCAGGACGCCTCGAGCCGCACCTCCACCGTCCCGCTGCAGCTGCTGCTCCCGTTTGTCAGACGGACCGGAAGCCGCTCCCCTGGAAGTGTCAGACCAGAGAGCTGAGACCGGTGGGGCCTGGGCAGAGGGTTGCCCAGGCTCTGCCACTGACTCTGTGCGTGAACTTTGACAACGCCCTGCCTGGCTAGGGGTCTCAGCTTTCCAGTCTGCAAAATGGAGCCGGGCTGGCTCATCCCTGAGCCCACCTTGAGGCCTGACCCTGTGGTTCTCCTTAGAGTCAGCCGAAGGTGGGGCTTGGGAGTGACTCTAGAGGTTAAGATGGGTGACAGACAACTAGGGGTCCAGCCCCCTAGAAACCCTCCTCACTTGCTCCTGTCTCCAGGGGCACCCGTTTGTGAAAGAAAGGCAGAGTTGTGAGTTCAGGGGCCCTGGTCCAGTGGGCGCATGCTTCCCCTGAAGGCCCCTCTGCTCCTCTGAGGGTACTGTCCTAGAGGCTGTCACAGTGACTAGGGAACCTTGGAGGATTGTGAAGCGGCTGGCCATGGGGTTGATGATGGGCTGCTTCAGCTGATGGTGGTCCTCACTTCCCCAGAACCCCTTCTATGGGAACCACCTGCCCCTTTTAGCCCAGGATTGTACCCCCAGTGCTAGCATGCATCTTTGCATACAGTAGGTCCTTAATAAACGTCTGCTGAGTAAATCAAGGACCCTGCCTCCCCCACCAAGAACTCTAGCCTGTTCTCAACAAATCCCCTTAAAATGCTCCAGGCATACCTGCCCACCTGTATGTGACTTATCAGTGTCCTCTCAAAAATGGTAGTTCTACGACCTCAAAGTGAATTGATAGTGGAACTTCAGGTGATGGGTCAGGAAGAAGTGTTGTCTGAAGTCAGGGAGCCTCCCTGGTATCCTAAATGTCCATTTCCCTTCTTTATTACCCTGGGGGACCACCTACAGAAAGCTGATCATGGACCCCCAGAGGGAATGTTTGCTCACCTGGCTCCCAGAGCTCACTCTCTGCACTGCTGGTGTTGAGCTGGTCAGGTGGGGCTGGAGATGGATGACCTGAAATGAACCAGCAGCAGCATGGTGGGTGAGTGAGCTCAGGCCTGGAGACCACAGAGACACCCTGATGAGCAGGGGGCACTTCCTGGAGCCTGTGGTGGCTACATGAGGCCTTTGGAAAAGACGTGGTCCTCAACTTTGGGTGCATTGGCCTCCCTTCAAGGTAGGGAAAGTTCTCAAACATTGGCATTTCAGGATCCTCCGCTTTACCTATTCATTGCACACACAGCTTCAGAAATCGGAGTAGAACAGGGAGGAAAGGCAGTGGGCACTGGGGCCAGACACACAAAGTGGCTTCGTGACCATGAATGGGTGACTTAATCTTTCTGTGCCAGTCCCAATTTTTCAGCTATGATTCTTAGGAAAATATTGTGAGACTGAAATGAGACAGCCTATGAAATACTTGACATATAGAAAAAGCTCGAAAGTGGGAGTGATTTAGAAAAAGAAAATTTTGTTTATAGAATTTGTTTGAGAATTTCATATCAGACTTTAGAATAATTGACACATCCTGGACTGGGAACCACTGGATTGCAAAGTGCCTTCAGACACTAAGAAACTAGCATTCATGAAGGACAGGTATTTGCATATTTGCATATATTGTTCCATTTACTTTCTTTCTTTCTTTCTTTTTTTTTTTTTGAGACAGAGTTTCGCTCTTGTTGCCCAGGCTGGAGTGCAATGGCTTGATCTCGGCTCACCGCAACCTCCACCTCCCAGATTCAAGCGATTCTCCTGTCTCAGCCTCCTGAGTAGCTGGGATTACAGGCATGCGCCACCACGCCTGGCTAATTTTGTATTTTTAGTAGAGACGGGGTTTCTCCATGTTGGTCAGGCTGGTCTCGAACTCCTGACCTCAGGTGATCTGCCTGCCTCAGCCTCCCAAAGTGCCGGGATTACAGGCATGAGCCACTACATCCAGCCTATTCCATTTACTTTCAACAATGCAATGAGGCAGGTGTTAGCATTCTTATTTTACAGATTAGGAAAAGGAGGCTCCAAAAGCAAAAATCAGTTGTCCCTGCCAGATAGGGTCCATTTATTCCACCAGAGCTACTATCCATTCTGCCCTGGGAGGCTGATCTGTTTGGATTAACCCCTGTCTTCCTGGGCCTTATGGCTTCTGTCAGATTCAGCCAATGGGGAGCCTTAGCAGAGCTAGGCAGAAGTGAGGAGAGCGAAGATGTGACACTTATTCCTCTGGCCCCCCCTGTGAGGTCCCTCGGGTAGGCTGTGTCCCTCATGTGAAGGACATTGCTTATTCAAGGTGACCTCTCCTTGACTGTCTCCTACTCGGACTCACTGACCACTCCCTGGTTGTGTCTCCTTTGGCCAGAAGTTGCTCTTAGATTCTACTTACTGCATTACCCTTTGTAAATAGTTCTTCTGTAAATAAGTCCCCTTTAAATTCCTATTCTAGGTTTCCTGGTGGGAACCCAACTGATGCGTGGGCCTGAGGCCACCCAGTGAGCAAGCTGCAGAGCCCGGATTTAAACTGTCTCCAAGGACTTGCCTCCCCTCTGGGCTGGGATGTTTGGGCTTGCAAAGCACAAAGGGAGGCTCTGGGGCAGGGACTGTTGTGGTTGCCTATGAACTCCTCTGCATTTCCTGGTTTCTCTTGCACTTAGGTTGGGCTGGTTGAAGCCTAGGCAGAAGACGTCTGCCTGCTTTTGAGCCAAAGCAGGGAAGAGGCAGTGAGCCATTTCCATTTACGTCTTCCCTGTTGAAGGATATTAGAGGCCCTGGGTTGCGGAGGAACTGCAAGAGGGAAGGGGATGTTGACCCAGCTTGGATTTTGTGTGAGTAAGGAGTAAGCCCTTATCATGTTAAACCATGAAGATTTGGGGGTGTCCTTGTTGCTACAGCCTTGCCTAGTCCGGCCTGACCGATACAGAGCCTGAAGACTCGGACATGACCACTACACATTCCTGGAGCTTCACCTGAGCAGATTCCACGGACATACCCCCTGAGCCTGAGCTTGTGCATGTGCGCGTGCACACCCTGGCAGACAGCCCTCTCCAGGAAACCGTGTGGGCCTCTTCATCATCAGGCAGAAAGTCTTCAGCCCTCTAATTGCCGTCCTCGCTAACTCCCTGGCTGGCTGCCCAGCCTGAGCCCCTGGAGGAGAAATGACTCCAAATTCAGAGCATAAACTCTGTGGCTGATGTATTAGAATGTTCAGCGCAAGAATTCAGATGCCCACAAGTTAGGATTTCAGAATCCCGGTTCCCACAGCAACCGTCCCAGTGCTCCTGCGTAGTTTTCAATGTTACTACATGGGGTGGGGGAGGGGGATTGAATGATGGCTGCAGTGTGTATGACTGTGAGGTGTGTGCATATGAGTGTGTGTGAGGGACTGTGTGCATATGTGATTACGACTGTGTGTGTGAATGTGATGTGTGTGGGGCAGGGGGGCTTTAGCTCTGCTCTGTATCATCTCTCTCTCTGGGTCTGGAAAACCACTTTCTCATGCATAAAGACAAAAATGTGTTCTCCTAGATCAGAAAACCCTAGAGGGCAGGGCCCATGGCTGGGTCAGCCCTGTGTCCCCCACAGTGTCCAAGGCAATGTTTGTTGATTGACTGAATGAATGAGCAGCAGCTGCCAGCTCCAAGGCAGCTGGTTGAAAGCGGATAACCTCGAGGGCTTTATTTTTGTGTCAAGCATTCTCCCATCCCCTATCCCAAGAAGGGAACCTGGCTTCTCTGTTCTCTGACTTCTGTGCTACAGGAACAAAAGCAGAAATTACCTGGAACCGTCTTTCCATCCAGGCCTCATTTCACAGAGGGCCGAATGGAAGATCAGCGTTTCTCAGACATCATTATCACCTTTTTTGTTTTGAGACAGTGTCTCGCTCTGTCGCCCAGGCTGGAGTGCAGTGGCACAATCTCGGCTCACTGCAACCTCCACCTCCTGGGTTCAAGCGATTCTCGTGCCTCAGTTTCCCGAGTAGCTAGGACTACAGGCGCTTGCCACGATGCTGGCTAATTTTTGTATATTTTTTGTAGAGACGGGGTTTTCCCATGTTGCCCAGGCTGGTCTCAAATTCCTGAGCTCAAGTGATCTGCCCACCTCAGCCTCCCAAATTGTTGGGATTACAGGCGTGAGCCACCACACCCGGCCCATTGTTACCACTTTTGCCTGGCCCTGTGCCTCACACTTTTCTTTAAATTGGTTCACTTTTTTGCTGCAATAAATTTATTTGAAAAGGAGCCTGCTATGGTTTGAATGTGTTCCAAGGTTCATGTGTTGGAAATTTAATCCCCCAATGACCTGTGTTGAGAAGTTGGATGTTTAAGAATTGATTAGGGCTGGGCGTGGTGGCTCACGCCTGTAAGCCCAACACTTTGGGAGGCCAAGGCGTGTGGATTACCTGAGGTCAGGAGTCCGAGACCAGCCTGGCCAACATGGTGAAACCCTGTCTCTACTACAAATACAAAAATTAGTCGGGTGTGGTGGCACATGCCTGTAATCCCAGCTACTCCGGAGGCTGAGGCAGGAGAATTGCTTGAGCCTGGGAGGTGGAGGTTGCAGTGAGCTGAGATTGCGCCACTGCCCTCCAGCCTGGCCAACAGAGCGAGACTGTGTCTCAAAAAAGAAAAGAAAAGAAAAGAAAAGAGTTGATTAGGTCATGAGGAGTCTGCCTTCATGAACGGATTAATGCTGTTATCACAGGGGTGTGTTGGTTATTGCAGAAGTGGTTTTGTCGTAAAAGTGAGAGTTCCACCGTCCCTCGCTCTGTCTCTCGTGCACTCTCTGGCCATGTGACGCCTTCCATTGTGTTATGATGCAGAGAGAAGGCCCTCATCAGATGTGGCCCCTAGATCTTGGGCTTTCCAGCCTGCAGAACTATAAGAAATAAATTTCTTTTTGTTTTAAATTACTCACTCTGTGGTACTTTGTTATAGCAACACAAAACAGAGTAAGAGCAAACTTTTACCCTTTCCTGTGAATTTGCTTTTTTACATCATTAAAGACACCTGATCATAAAAATGTTCACTGCAGATTTTTTTTTTTGAAACAGTGTCTTGCTCTGTCACCCAGGCTGGAGTGCAGTGGCGTGATCTCGGCTCATTGCAACCTTCACCTCCTGGGTTCAAGCAATTCTCCTGCCTCAGCCTCCCAAGTTGCTGGGATTACAGGCACCCACCACCACACCCTGCTAAATTTTTTTGTATTTTTGGTAGAGATGGGGTTTCTCCATGTTGGCCAGGTTGGGTCTTGAACACCTGACCTCAAGTGATCTGCCTGCCTCAGCCTCCCAAACTGCTGGGCATACAGGTGTGAGCCACCGCACCCAGTCCACTGCAGATTTTTGAATGGCAAAATGTTAGAAACAGAGTGAATGCCCATTCACAGGGGAAACGGCTGAATCAATTACGGTCCATTTACAGCATGGCATCTTATGCAGCCTTTATAAAGAATGAAATAGACCCAGATGGGTTGGCAGGATTTCCAAGCTGTGTTGAGTAGGAAAAGCAAGATGCAGAGAAGAGAATATAATATGATACATTTTTTGTGAAGCAAGGCCAAAAAACCCCCTCTGTGAACTGGTATGATTGCAGGAACATGAAGATAAGTGTGGGAGAACACACAGCAGATAATCAAAATGGAAAAATTAAGAGTGGGCTTCAGGGGAAGGGGCCAAGCAGGGCCAGCTCCACAGGCTGGTGGACTGTGCACAGGGCCCCGTGCTTAGAAGGACCCGGCCTTTGCTTGAATCCTCTGCTGTTGCCATCTTGAAATTCCTCATCATTTGTTGAACCAAAGGCCCTGCATCTCCGTTTTGCACTGGGCCCTGCAAACTATGCAGCTGGTCGTGGGACACAGTCACAGCCATGGAAGATAGGGGGAGGAAAAGCAAGCAATGAAGGTAAAAGGCTGTACTTTAAAAATCATGTATGATATGATTCTATGTATGTAAAATTAGGTATGTATGTTGATATGAAAAAAATAAGAAGATATTAAAACCTAAAGGGACGATTTATATGACTTGCTTAAAATAGAAGGTAATTGTAAAAACAAGCATACTAAAAATAAAGCCATGTTAGAGATGTTAAAAGACACATCATCGGCCAGGCACGGTGGCTCACGCCTGTAATCCCAGCACTTTGGGAGGCCAAGGTGGGTGGATCACAAGGTCCAGAGTTCGAGACCAGCCTGGCCAATATGGTGAAACCCTGTCTCTACTAAAAATACAAAAGTTAGCCAGGCGTGGTGGCAGGTGCCTGTAGTTCCAGCTACTCGGGAGGCTGAGGCAGAGAATCGCTTGAACCCAGGAGGCAGAGGTTGCAGTGAGCTGAGATCACGCCACTACTACGCTCTAGCCTGGGCGACAGAGCAAGACTCCGTCTCAAAAAAAAAAAAAAAAAAAAGACACATCATCATCAGACTATCTGATAGAATCAGAAGGAATGACAAAACATTGAAAAATAATAATTATTTAAACTTTTATTGCCACATGATTCAGTGTTATTTAATGCTAAGTTCATTTACCACCTGAAGTTATACTGTGTGCCCCTGAAAATCATCTCTAGTTGTGTCCCAAATTCTGGAAAGTGATGGAACAAGACAGGGAAGGGATGGAGGGGAGCGGCTGGTTTCAGAATAGGAGAAGAAAGAGGTTGGGAGTGCCGACCCCAGCCCAGGAAGGAGGCGGCTTTTTCAGGCCAGTCCCATGCAGAAGTCCCCGAGTGGGACAGAACCTCCAATGGGGTAGTGGGAAGAAGACTCCAGTGGAACGGGCTGCGGAGGAGACTGTAAGCACAGGAAGAATGAAGGCACGAAAGAGCCTTGTTGCCTGGAATTTGAGAAAACGGAACGGGACACTGATACTCCTGTTGTGTCACCCAGGCTCCTGAGATGTCCCATGGGCATCTGAGAGGTGAGGGACTTGTGGAGAAAGGAGGCATAGACATCGAGGGAAAGCTGAGCCTCCCGCTGGCCAGCCCAGTGTCAGAGCAAGCCTGGTGGGGAAACAAGGCACTCCCCAGAATGCCGCCCTGGCCGTGCCCAGTGACCAGTGTCAGGTCAACACCAGCTACACCTGAGGTTACTTTCTGTCCTCCGGCACTGTCAGAGGTGCTGAGGAAAACACGGTTGCATCCTGAATGCTCGTTGAGTGGATGATGGATGAAGAGATGCTGTACAGAGCCAGAGGCAGGGTGGAAAGGGACGATGGAAACATGGAGGTGGAATCTACAAGTGGTGCAGCCAGGTGCATGTGTCACCTGCTAGAAGTATAGTTAAAAAAAAAAATCAACAGAAAGTGTTTGCAAACACAGATGCCAACAGCCTTAACAACAACAGCAAACCAAGCTCTTTCAATCCAGTAATTCCACATCTGGGAACTTATCCTAAATAAAACTATCTCAAGTACCATACTGCCTGGAGACTAAAGTCCATGCTTTGGAACTAGATGGTTCTAGATTCCCTTTTCCATCCACTGGAGCCCCAGAATGCTGTGATGTGCTGGTTTTTTATATTTATATTTATATTTATTTTTATTTTTATTTTGCCATAGAGTCTCACTCTCCCTCTGTTGCCCAGGCTGGAGTGCAGTGATGCGATCTCGGTTCACTGCCACCTCCACCCTCCTGATTCAAGCGATTCTCCTGCCGCAGCTACTGAGTAGCTGGGGTTACAGGCGCCTGCCACCATGCCTGGCTAATTTTTTTATTTATATTTTTAGTAGAGATGGGGTTTCACTATGTTGGCCATGCTGATCTCGAACGCCTGGCTTCAAGTGATCCGCCCACCTCAGGCTCCCAAAGTGCTGGGATTACAGGCGTGAGCCACAGAACCCGACCCTGTGCTGTTTCTGATAGCATAATAAAAACAAACAAATAAAAACCCACCAAAAAAAAATTCAAACCGGAGACAACTGGATTGTCTAAAAGTGATTGGGGGGTTGGTTAGAAAAATATAGCACATTAAAAATATTTGCCAAAAAAAAATTTACAGGGAGTATTTAATGATGTGGGGATAAGTTTATGCCACAATGTTAAGTGGCAGAAGCAGAATACAGGGTTATGTTATAAGTATGGTTGTACTCTCCCCTTCAGTCCCCGTCCTCACCCCCCGCCATGTTTTAAGCTTCTGAAGGTTTTCCAGGACCCACAGAGAGCCCGAGTACAATCTCCCATTCTGTCCTCTCACTGCATCCTGAGATTTTTTTTCATGTGGGCCCAGCCACATTTAATTACATAGCTATCCTGGTCATGAACTGACAACCATCGGCTCACTAGATTCTAAGCATCACCCCCATATATCCAGGACCTTGCGCAGTGCCTTGCCCAGGAGAGATGCTAAAAGAATATCAGTAAATTAAATTTAATCTCTACTATAGGAAAAGAAAATACATGCCCACATGGTATTAATAAGTTTTCCTTCCTTCCTTCTTGCTCTTTCTTTCTTTCCTTTCTATCTTGCTCTGTCACCCAGGCTGGAGTGCAGTGGTGCCATCTCAACTCACTGCAACCTCCGCCTCCCGAGTTCAAGCAATTCTCCTGCCTCAGCCTCCTGAATAGCTGGGACTACAGGCATGTGCCACCATGCCCGCCTAATTTATATATATTAGTAGAGACTGGGTTTCACGATGTTGGCCAGGCTGGTCTCGAACTCCTGACCTCAGGTGATCCGCCTGCCTTGGCCTCCCAAAATGCTGGGATTACAGGCATAAGCCACTGTGCCTGGCCTGTTTTCCTTTTTTTTTTTTTTTTTTTCTGCCTTGTGTTGTTCTAATTTTTTCAAATGTTCTATATCAAATAAAAATTAAAAGTCCCCAAATAAATACACAGGGCTTTTTTCCTGGGGGGACATGTGGGCTAGCTTGAAGTACTAATACAGTGAGCTTTCATACTGACTACCCAGTCACCCTGCTCCAATGAGCCTGCAGAGAGCACCTGGGCAGACAGTGTGGCCACGCCAGCTAAAGCCATACTCATTCCCAGGGAAGAATTGAAGAGCTCATGTGGCTGGCAGGTCAGGGTGTCTCTTCTCGGCAATGTCAGCATTGTTGGGGGCACAGTGGAGAGGGTCACTGGGTTGGGCGTCAGGAGCTGACAGTTGATTTCTATCATTAACTTGCTACATGACCTTGAATGAGTTCTTTCACTTTCTGGCCCCGTTTTGTCACTTGCATAATGACAGATTGATGAGATTTTGATCTTGTCCAGTCCTTACATTCTTTGATTATAATTAGATAAAATATGTAATGAAAGGCAACATCTCTTGAGCACTTACTGTATGCCCCATAGATGATAGCGGTTATCTGTGTGCATTACATGTACTAGCAAATCCTTACAACCACCCTGTGAGGTGCATACTATTAATATCATCATCCCAGTGTCATCACTGAGAAAACTGGGACATAGAGAGCTTAAGTAAATCACCCAAGGCCACCCAGCTGGTCAGTAATCAAAGCAAAATTTGAACCTGGACAGTCTGGCTCTAGAAATCACCCTTTTAACTACTACAGCATACTGTTTTCAGTATGCTGTCAATATAGATGGGAAATCTGTCCTACACCGTCCATTTATCATCACGGAAGTGGGCCCATGGTACACAAAGCACTCATCTGTATAAACGCAGGGGAGGAGCATACATTTGAAGGGCTTAGAGATCACTCAGCCCCACTCGGAGGGAAAATCATATGGTGCTGTGTTGTCCAGTACAATAGCCACCAGCCACGTGTGGCTACTGAGCACTTGAAATGGGTTCGTGCCAATGAGAAACTCAAAATTTCATTTTATTTAATTCAATTCATTTCTATTTAATTTACAAAATGTTTTCCATTTAATTTTAAAGGCATAATCAATTCAATCATTGGAAAACCTTTTCAAATGGCCAGAGTAAGTGAGATATGTGATTCTCCTTTTTCAATTGTAACTAGTATGAAATCTAAATACAGATTGAATGTTTCTGGTGAAACTTGAGTGTCCAAATTGAGACATGCTTTAAGTGTGAAGTACAGGTTGTGTGTCAAAGACTTGGTAAGAATAAAGAATGTAAAGTATCTTATTAAGAATTTTTTTATTGATGTGTAGAAATGATATTTTGGATATATTCAGTTAAATAACATATATTATTAAAGAAATTTCATCTGTTTCTTTTTACTTTTTTGAAAAAATGCAGCTGCTAAAAATTTATTTATTTATTATTTTTATTTTATTTTATTTTATTTTTTTTTTTTTTGAGACGGAGTCTCGCCCTATCACCCAGGCTGGAGGGCAGTGGTATGATCTTGGGCTCACCGCAACCTCCATCTCCCAGGTTCAAGCGATTCTCCTGCCTCAGCGCCCTGAGTAGCTGGGACTATAGGCACGCACCACCATGCCTGGCTACTTTTTTTATACTTTTAGTAGAGATGGGGTTTCACCACGTTGGCCAGGCTGGTCTTGAACTTCTGACCTCAGGTGATCCACCTGCTTTGGCCTCCCAAAGTGCTGGGATTACAGGCATGAGCCACCATGCCCAGCCAAAAATTTAAAATTATAAATGTGACTCACATATTGACATCAGACAGTGCTGTATGGGGGGAAGGTACCTATGTACCTTACAAGGCCTTGAGTTCAAAGGCTTGGGCTGGAGTCCAGCTCTGTTCCTTATTAGTGGAGTGACCTTTGGCCAGTCACTTTGCCAGTCTGAGCCTTAGACTGTCATCCATGAACTGGAGTTAATAATGCTTCTCTCAGAAGGCTTTTTGTCAGCAAGTATTTTGTCAGAAATATTGCAAAATCTGCGGCCCAAAGGAAGAGTATCCCCAAGGCCCACGGGGAGGTCAGGCTCCCAGTGCAGCGCAGTGATCTCCCGGATAGTCCAGCTGCTGCTCTGGAGCACTGCCAGGACAGGGCAGGGTGTGCCTCTCTGCAAGACTGGCACCAGGCCCTTGTGACTAGTGTCCCCGAACCTTGGGAGAGGCGTGCTCCCTGCTAACCTGCAGACCACCGTGCATCTTGTGTATGAAGACTGGCCTTTTGTCCCGAGCAGTGATGACAAATGCTACGTGAACCCTGGTGGGCCCGCCTCCCGAGGCCCTGGCTCAGACTCCAGGTATTCAAGTGGAGCAGGACTGGTTCAGGGAGCTGTCCGGAAACACTCACCTGCCCCTTGCCCAGTGGCCGGGAAGCTGGACTGGGATTCCTGGTTTGCAGGTTTGGGAAGCAGCCAGATGGACTCCTAGTTTTCTACTCCCAACCCACACTGATGGGAGCAGCTACTTATCTCGGGCATCTGGGGTCCAGAGTGCAGGGGGATAAGGGAAGGATGTTGTGATGCTTCCCACTGCTCTGATAGGGAAAGGGGAGGCCCCAAGGCACGTCGAGCACCCGTCACAAATCTGGCACAGCTCAGCAGTAATGGCTGACATTTATTCAGTATGATTTAATTGTCAAAGCAAGACCACGAGATGGGGAAACTGAGGCACAGAGCGGTTTAGTATCTTGCCTAAGATTACACGGCTAGAAAATGGCCAAGCTGGGAATTGAACCCAGGCTGTCTGCTTGCAGAGGCCACATTCGTAACCACACCACTCCCCCGGGTTGGAATCCAACATCCTGATTTCTGCTTTGGTGATCATGCCAAGGGCGAGAGGCAGGAAGTTTTGACAACCCTGGAGGCTTTCCAAACTCCTTTCTCCTCTGCAAGTGTCAACCAGCACTGAGTTTAGAAATGATAACCCACCCTTCCCCCGCAATGGTGACACAACTCAGAACCCAAGATCCAGGGACTCATTTCCCAAAAGATCCCAGACTCCAAAGATAAGCAACAACTAGGAAACCTTCCTTCTCCGGGGCAGGGGGTCCTGGGTGGCATGTGTCATCCCACAGACCTCACAGCAGGGAAAAGATGAGACTTAATAGTCTCACCTCGCACTGCCCCCACCCCTTCCCCACTTGCTCTCAAATATGGGGCTCACTCCAGCACTGTCTAGGGCCTGAGGATGCATCGGCCAATTGGAAGAGGAGGGCCAATGAATTTAGGGGAGGAAGCTCTGAGTGAGAGGGTGCTGGAACTGTCCTAACTATTTTCTTTTTAGAAATGCCCTTGGTATTGTTAATGGTGAGCAATTAATAAAACAACTAGAAAGAAGGGAACGCCTGTAATTCCATTAAAATTAGAAAGATGCGGGCTGGGCCTGGTGGCTCACATCTGTAATCCCAGCACTTTGAGAGGCTGAGGTGGGTGGACTAGCTGAGGTCGGGAGTTCGAGATCAGCCTGGCCAACATGGCGAAATCCAGCCTCTACTAAAAATACAAAAATTAGCTGGATGTGGTAGTGCATGCCTGTAGTCCCAGCTACTCAGGAGGCTGAGGTAGGAGAATCGCTTGAATCCGGGAGGGGGAGGTTGCAGTGTGCTGAGATTGCAGCACTGCATTCTAGGCTGGGTGACAGAGCAAGACTTCATTTCAAAAAAGAAAAGAAAGAAAGAAAAAGAAAAAAAAAAAGACGCATGCGCTGGCTCATACAAGTAATATAATTCAATTGGGAGGGGATAAATGTGTTCAACCTTTGAGGGGACTTGGACTTGAAGAGCCTGTGACACCCGGTTGGGCTGAGTTTACTTTGTCAAGAAACTGAAGCTGTCACAGGCTCAGTCACACAGTGCTGTCCTAGCCTGCAGAGGTGACTGGCTGCTGTGACTAGACCAGCTTATACCCACTTGGCTCTCCAAGGCCAGGAAGGCTAGAGTGACTTCTCTCCCCTGGCGCCCAGAGGAAAGTCAGCAGTTTGGTGCTTTGGTATTATTTTACATGTACACTTATCTCCCGAATACCTGTCCCAGTTCCTAGCACGTGGAACAAGTTCAGCAAGTGTTAATGAAACGGAACATAGATCGGTAATAAACTCATTTCTCAGCTTTCAGGAGAACTTGGCTCATGTGCTTTCATTTTCTTGAGAGAGAAAGAGAAAGAGAGTGAGTATTATTTGGTATTATGTTACAGGATTTTGGTTTGTTTTCACACTCCCCAGTTATACCACAGCAGGGCTTGGGGACACAAATAAAACAATTTACTCAATTGACAGAGACGGATGGAAGTTAAGGCTCAAAGAGTCCCAGTCCCAGAGGACTGCAGTCACTCAGGTCAAAGAAATTCAGCTTTTTTTTTTTTTTGGCGGGGGTGTTGGGGAGGGGATGAGTCTCACTCTGTTGCCCAGGCTGGACTGCAGTGGCACGATCTCGGCTTACTGCAACCTCCGCCTCCCAGGTTCAAGCAATTCTCCTGCCTCAGCCTCCTGAGTAGCTGGGACTACAGGTGTGTGCCACCACGCCTGGCTAATTTTTTGTATTTTACTAGAGACAGGGTTTCACCGTGTTGCCCAGGCTGGTCGCAAACTCCTAAGCTCAAGCAATCCCCCTGCCTCAGCCTCCCAAAGTGCTGGGATTACAGGCATGAGCCACCGCGCCCGGCCAGAAATTCAGCCTTTTTACCTTTCTTTTGCCCCTATGTCACAGGACAGATGATGTTCACCTGTGTGATACCTTCCATGCATGCCCAGGTTTCATCTCCCCTCCTCTCTGTCACCAAATCCAAGGGGAAGTAAAAGACAACGTTTCCTACTCGCCTCTGTAAAAAACTTAAAAGATAAGATCAACATGACTTAACAGGCTTTGAGGTACGTTCAATTGCTGGGACTCCCCCTCCTCTCCCAAGAAAGTGAGAGGGCGTGAGCCATGTTCTCCTGAAAGCTGAGAAATGAGTCTGTTGCCAGCCTGCATTCAGTTCCATGAACATCTGCTGAACTTGTTGCATATGCTGGGAACTGGGGCAGGTATGATATGAGGGAGATGAGTGTGAGCGGGATGATCGAGGGAGCAGGAGATCCCAGGCACCAATTCATCTGGGAAACAGCCTCCATTCTCGGGAAATTCGTCTTTCATGACTTAGACAGGGACTCTGGGGACAGATAGAACAGTGATCTAAACCCATCTCTGCTGATTACTGGCTGTGTGACCTAGGGAAAGTCACTGAGCCCAGCTAGGTTTCATCTTTAACCTGGCACTGGGCATGATAAATGAGCCAAACAGAAGAAGAGTGCACGGGTGGGTGATCTTCGTAAAACGCTTAGGACGCGGTATATGGTAGCTGTGGTTGTTATTATCCTCCAACCTGAGGCTTTCATCCCTTTTCTCTCGTTTGGCCCTTGGTAGCTATGGGACGGCAGCTGGCTATTGATTCTACATTCCATACCAGGCAGAAAGATGACTCTGACAGCTCCTTAGCCTTCTTTTCTGCAAGGGGGTGATTCTGGTTCTCTGAAGGCTGCATTCTCTCCTCCTCACTCCTCGCCTTTCTTGTGAACCTTATCTGAGCTGCTGCAGACTCTCAACTTGGCTGCACCCTTCCCCGGCTCTGCAAACATCCAGTGTTCCTAGGGAGGAGATGTGGGCTGTAGTTGCTGTGGTAACAGGAGTTCCTCTAAAAGAAAAGTCTCCTGGGGTCCTGGCTCCAAGGCTGGCTCAGGCTCCCGTGCCAGACCGTGCCTTCTTTCCAGCTACCAGGTGGTAAAATGAGAAGGTCCCATGGAGGGTTGCAAGCAGCTCAGTAAAATCCCAAGGGATAAGAGTAGGGATTTGGCTCCAAGAGAGCACAGCAGGCCAGAAACACTGGCATGTCACCAGCCCCATCTTCTTGATCCCCCGCCAGACTTTAGACCACTGAGAGGAGGAGAAGAATATTCAGGTGCTTCTTTTATTTATTTATTTATTTTAATTTTAATTTTTTTATTTTTTTTTATTTTTGGAGACGGAGTCTCACACTGTCGCCGAGGCTGGAGTGTAGTGGCACGATCTTGGTTCACTGCAACCTCTGCCTCCCAAGTTCTAGTGATTCTCCTGCCTCAGTCTCCCTAATAGCTGGGATTACAGGTGCACGCCACCATGCTCGGCTAATTTTTGTATTTTTAGTAGAGACCGGGTTTCACCATGTTGGCCAGGCTGGTCTTGAACTCCTGACCTCAGGTAGTCTGCTCACCTTGGCCTCCCAAAGTGCTGGGATTACAGGTGTGAGCCACAGCGCCCGGCCCTCAGGTCCCTCTTTTAGAATTCCCATTCAGTAGGTCTTGGTTGGGAAAAAACCATCTACCACATCATAGGCATCAGAAAGAACACTGGATTGAAATTAAACATGCCTGGGTTAGAAACCCAGCTTCCTCCTTACTATAGTGTGACCCTGGGCGAATCTCTTCACATGCCCCCCTTGCCTCCCTCACCTCATAGTTATATATAAAAAAAAAAAGCCTCACAAGCTGGGCACAGTGGTTCACACTTGTAATCCCAGCACTTTCAGTGGCTGAGGCAGGAGGATTGCTTGAGGCCAGGAGTTTGAGAACAGCCTGGGCAACACAGTGAGACCCTATCTCTACAAAATAAATTTAAAAATAAAAAAATGAGGCTGGGTGCTGTGGCTCACGCTGTAATCCCAGCACTTTGGGAGGCCAAGGTGGGTGGATTGCTTGAGCGCAGGAATTTGAGACCAGCTTAAGCAACAAGGCAAAACCTTGTCTCTACCAAAATTCAAAAAATTAGCTGGACATGGTGGTGTGCACCTGTGGTCCCAGCTAGTCGAGAGGCTGAGGTTGGATCACTTGGGCCGAGGAGTTTGAGGCTGCAGTGAGCCAAGATGGTGCCACTGCACTCCAGCCTGGGCAACAGAGTGAGATCCTTTGTCTCTCTCTCTATAGATATATATACATATATATATACATATATATAGATATATATGAATAAATAAATAAGTAAATTAGCTGGACACATGCTTGTAATTCTAGCTACTGAGGAGGCTGAGGCAGGAGGATCACTTGAGCCCAGGAGTTCGAGGTTGCAGTAAGCTATGATCATCACTGCACTCCAGCCTGGGCAACAGGGTGAGATTCCACCTCTAAAATGAAAACGAAACAAAAACCTCACAGGGCTAAGGAAAGATTACCATAAAAACCCCCAATACCTGGCCCATGGCAAATGCCCAAGATCTTGTGGAATCAATGACTATACCTGCAAATACGTGAAAGATGAATATGTGTGCATATATGTATCGTAGATGGAAAAAACAGATGAAAAACAACATATTCAGGATGATCATAGCCTTATGGATATTGTGCAGAGAAAAATGGCTGATGAGGCCAAACGCGGGGCTCACGCCTGTAATCACAGCACTTTGGGAGGCTGAGGCGGGTGTATCACCTGAGGTTGGGAGTTCAAGATCAGCCTGACCAACATGGAGAAGCCCTGTCTCTACTAAAAATACAAAACAATTAGCCAGGCATGGTGGCGCATGCCTGCAATCCTAGCTACTCGAGAGGCTGAGGCAGGAGAATCGCTTGAACCCAGGAGGTGGAGGTTGCGGTGAGCCGAGATTTAGCCATTGCACTCCAGCCTGGACAACAAGAGTGAAACTCCGTCTCAAAAAAAAAAAAAAAAAAGAAAGAAAAAGAAAAGAAAAGAAAGAAAGAAAGAAAAGGAAATGGCTGATGATACCTCATAGATTTCAAGAGGCTCATACCTTGATCTGAAAGCTATACCCTTTTGTATAAATTATAGAAAAAATTGTTCACATGCAGATGTGTGCAGGGATACTTTCTGCGGAACTGTTTGTAACAGAAGAAAATTAGAAGTACTCTAACCATCCATCAGCTGGAAATAAACAGACTGTATTGTATCATAGGCTGGATTATTCCATTGCAGGAATGAACTAGATGCATATCTATCCACTTGGTTAGATTTTGAAAACAAGGAGAAAAGTATAATAAGTTTCAGAACAATATGTCCAGTAGGGTACAATTTATATAAAATATAGTACATGTCTCAATACCATCCATTGTGTATGGAGACACTTTTTGTGTAATAGGAGTATAAAAATGTGGGAGAAAAGGGTACACACACCACACTTTGGAGTGTGTGTTCTAGGGAGGAAAGGATAAGAATTATTTCAACAGTATCTGTATGGTTTTCTTTCTTATTAATATAGATCTGAGCAAATACGGCAAAAGTGTAAACATTTTCTAAGTCTGGGTGGTGAGGACGCATTGGGTTCATTAAAACATTCTCAGGCCAGGCGCGGTGGCTCACGCCTGTAATCCCAGCACTTTGGAAGGCCGAGGCAAGTGGATCACTTGAGATCAGGAGTTCAAGACCAGTGTGACCAACATGGTGAAACCCCATCTCTACTGAAATACAAAAATTAGCCGGGTGTGGTGGTGTGTGCCTGTAGTCCCAGCTACTTGGGAGGCTGAGACAGGAGAATCACTTGAACCCAGGAGGCAAAGGTTGCAGTGAGCCGAGATTGCACCACTGCACTCCAGCCTGGGTGACAGTGCGAGACACCATCTCAAAAGCAAATAAACAAATAAACAAATGTCATTCTCAATGCATTTCTGTATGTTTGCAATATTCCTCTCTAACGAAATGTCTGGAAGATTCTACAAGAGGCTAGTAACAACAGTTATCTTTGAAGGTAGCTATTGATAAATTTTTAAATTTTTCTGTTTTTGTATTTTCTAAATTCTGTACTATTTTTACTAAATAAAATTTTAGTAAAATAAAATAAAACAAAATAAAAACAAAAAAATTTTAAAATAAAAGCATATATGAAAAACCTTTGTAAATTGTCCGAGTCATATCAATGCACCCTGCCAACGATTTTTCTGCCCTTCTCTGGGTAAGAAAGCCATGGGTTTTTATAGTTTTAAATTCTTGAATCTCCTTAACAATGCTCAGAAGTAAGCACTGTTATTATCACTATCGTGCAGGCGGGGAAATGTAGGATTCAAGAGACAAGGAACTTTCTGGGACAATAGAGCCCCTAAGAGGCAGAGCAGGGATTTGAACCCAGAAAGAGGGTTTCCTGGGCTCTGATAAACACCTCAGGGTGTGCTGTGAATGCTCAACAAATTCTAGTTACTCTTATTATTAATGGAAGTCCCTAGAACTCACTTCACCTCCCGCAGCATTTCTTGAGCCATGCTGCGCTCTGCCGTGGAAAGTAAAGGTAATAGAGCCCGTGGTCCAGCCTGGAGGCCAGATGTTAAGAGCTGACTCGAATGTTGTCTCTCTGAGGTAGGTGCAGAGGCAGGAGACATGCTTGAGGAACCTGGAGGAGGGACAGGGCTGCTCTGCAAGTGGTGGGGCTGGTGAGTGAGTCCAGGAAGGTATTGCCGGGGAGGTGCCCTTTGGGCCAGGACTTCAAAGTCAAGGAGCATTTCGCTGAGGCAAGGGAAGCAGATCCACATTTCCCGAGGACTTCCTCTGTGCCGAGTGCTTCCTCTGTGCTGAGTGCTTTACAGACGTTGCCTCATGGCTACCTTGTGAGGAGACACTATTATGAAACCCATTTTACAAAGAGGCTCAGGGAAATTAAGTTCCTAGCCCACGGTCACATAGCCTGGCATTGATAGAGCCAGAATTCAAATCCAAATTTGAATTTGTTCCCCAGATTCACTCTTTCTACTCTTCAGGCGCCCTCAACAAGTAGCAAGAGTTAAGAAGGCATTCTAGGGAGAGGGCACAGCTCGAGCAAACACCTGGAGGTGGGACAGAAGCTGGTGGGCCAGGCTAGACACTCAAGGTATTAAATTCAAGAATAGAATTCCCCAGAGCAAGACCCTCTGTGCAAAGGCTGGGCTAGGTTTCTGCAGGCTGGAGGAGGGGAGTGAGGAGGGGAGTGAAGGCTGAAACTGCTGAGCTCTCAGCGATTTTCCAGGGGGCCTGCCCCCACCCACTGGCTCTCAGGAGGGGCCCTGGTTCTAGGTCTCCCAGAGCTGCAGCAGAAGCAGTTTTAGCTTGTGTGTGGGCAAGGGGTGAAAATCCTCCCCGCTCCAAGGGGTGATGCTGAGACCTTTCCAGGGTGGCCTAAAGCCCCCTAAGAGAAGGCCCCCTTGAGATCAGACATCCAGAAGCCATCAGACATCATCAGCATCCATCCTTGGAAGGAAACACAGCCTCTCCAGAGCAGGTGGGAGTGTAGGCTGGGCTGGGACCAGAAAGTCTCCTTGGGGTGTCAGGGACCGGCCCTGGCAGCTACGCTCACCAGACACATGTCCTGTGCCCATCCATGTCCTAACAACAGCCCCCTCCTCACCTACCACTCACCTCCTCTCTTTAAATAAATCCAGATTCAAAGAGAACCTGGGGGAGGCACCAGGGATGTTCAGACTAATGCTTTGTGGCCACCTTGCGTCCTTAACAGCTGGGGGCTGACAGCGGCCAATGGCCATGTGGATCTACGTGGCTCAGAGTGCCAGTGGATTCAGGAATTCAAATTCAGGAAAAAAATATGGGTTCCTTGGAAGGAAGGTAACATCTGAATGCCCACTGTGTGCCCCAGCTTTATGTATACAGCACGCACCGTCTTATTCATCTCCATGAGGAGCCTGTGAAGGCTCAGTGTTCCAGATGAGAAAACTGAGGCTCCGCAGCATGAAATGACTTGCCCAAGGCCACAGTTACTAAGAGGCGGAGCCAGACTTCCAGTCTCTCTAATCTGATCTCACACTCTCAGCTCTCAGCCCACACGGCTGTCCCCTACTCCTCTTCACAAGTCACTTACAGGATGCTTCTGAGGCGGCTCAAAGTCCTTCTGAGTTCCCATCTATCTTAACCCTTGGTCAGGGAGATGCCACTCATTCATTCCATTCTCTCAGCTAGGCTCTGGGCCAGGCCCCATGCCCTGGTGGAGGATACAGATGCACTCGTGGTTGATTACGATCAGTTATAAATGCTATCCTTGGGCTTGGAACTAAGTACTCTGGAAAAAAAACAGAGTTAGGAGGGAATAACTGACTCCAAGAAACAGGGGACAATTGGGAAGGGTTTTAGAGGATGAGTAGGAGTTCTCAGGGGTAAGAAATCGATGGAAAGATACCTCTTTCCAGGCCTTTGCCAAATAACCTGAGATATCTAACTTGCATCTCTCCAGAGGATGAGTGGGCTAGGAGGAGAGATTAAGTAGGGCAGTGACCCACCTCTTTCTCCATACCCCCCCACCATACACACACACCACACACACATACATACATGTACACACACACACCCTACACACACACCCTATACACACTACATACATTGCTACGAGTTGTTGAATTGTTCCCCTCCTCTTAAAACAGTCCTAATTTCCAGTACCCCAGAATGTGAGCTTATTTGGAAATAGGGTCTTTATAGGGGCAATCAAGTTAGCATGAGGCCATCAGGGCAGGCCCCAATTCAATATGACTGTTGTCCTCACAGAAGTGGGAAATTTGGACACAGGCACATGCACATAAGAACACCATTTTAAGATAAGGCGGAGATTGGGGCAATGTTTCTATAAGTCAAGAAATGCCCAAGATTGCCAGCAAGCCACCAGAAGCTCAGAAGAGAACAGCTTCTCAGAAGGAACCAGTCCCACTGACTCTTTGATCTTGGACTTTGAGCCTCCAGAACTGTGAGACAATACATTTCTGGTTTTTTTGTTTTTGTTTTTGTTTTTTTGAGATGGAGTCTCGCACTGTGGTGCCATCTCGGCTCACTGCAACCTCTGCCTCCCAGGTTCAAGCGATTCCCTTGCCTGAGCCTCCTGAGTAGCCGGGATTACAGGCGCGTGCCACCTCACCCAACTAGTTTTTGTATTTTTAGTAGAGACGGGGTTTCACCACGTTGGCCAGGCTGGTCTTGAACTCCTGACCTCAGGTGATCTGCCCGCCTCAGCCTCCCAAAGTGCAGGGATTACAGCTGTGCGCCACGGCGCCAGGGAGAGACAATACATTTCTGTTGCCCTGGCCACTCAGTTTGTTGCAGCAACTCTAGTAAACTAAACCACAGGTGTACCTGCAACAAAAGCTGCCTCCGGGGCAGAAGGTGGGAGCTGAGAAGAGCTTCTAGGGCATTCTGGATTAGGGGCGTTGAGAGCGGGGGAAGGAACCCGTAAGAGGGAGAGATGTGTCCCTCTTTCACTTCCAGATGCCATAGAGTCTACAAACCCACAAGTGTTTCTCGGAACTGAATTTCAACACTATGTTGACATGGTTAGGGCTGAGGCAGCCCCCACAGATGCAGGTGACTAAAAGTTCCATAGAGATCTTCAGGGAAGGCTTTAGCATCTACCTAGAGCGCAAAAGCTGAAGAGTGACATGGCCACACCCATTTTACCTCAGAGAGCTTTGGGAACTTGCCCAAGGTCATGGCGGAAGTGGTGGAGCCTGGAGTCAAGGCTGGTCTCAGAGCCACCTGACAAGTGTGGATCAACACCAGCCCGGCACCCATCAGCCACCCACCTTCCTGCTGGTGAGACTGAAGGCCCATGACGCTCCACAGACTCAAAAACTTCCTCCTTCAAGAACAAACAGCCGGGTTGTGTGAAGGTGCTGGCTGAGACTTCTTTTCTCTCTTTGCATTCCTTCTAATGTGGTTGTTATAACGTTTTTACAATAAGGATGACTAATGTTTACATCACATCTGAATTTTCAGCTAGCATTGGGTGGGAGTGATACCGAGGGTGAGTAGAATGGAGAGCAGCTATTACCAGGACCTTGGGTAAGTCCTTGCCCCGTTCCAAGGCCTCAGTTTCTCCATGGTTAAATGGGTGGGCTGGGCCTGTCAAATCCTTCCACCAGTTAGCAAAATGCTTCTCAAATCAGGTCTGAGTCAGAAAGACAGTTTAACATATAAGATTAAATGGAACTGAATCATGCAGTAAACAAATTATTCCTTTTCCAATTTTTCTGTCCGACTGCATTAAGGAGAAAGTCTCATTGTGCTGCTACTTAGTCTTTAACACCTAACACTTTTTGTTAAATTTTATTTTTGCAGAGATGGGGACATGCAATGTTGCCCAGGATGCTCTTGAACTCCTGGGCTCAAGCAACCTGCCTGTCTTGGCCTCCCAAAGTGCTGGCATGACAGGCATCAGCCACTGTGCCTGGCCACCTAACACTTCTTAATGAATGGAGAGACAGCTCATGCTTGGACGGCAGGCTATTTAATGACACTTTTGGTTTCAGTGTTTTCTTTGTTTATATATATATATTCTATTTACTTAAGTAGTATTGGTTTGAGATACATGATAGTGACAGATTTCTAAGTTCAAATAAACTTAAGTTTATAAAAGGAGAGGGTGGCCGGGTGCGGTGGCTTATACCTGTAATCCCAGCACTCTGGGAGGCTGAGACGGGCAGATCACCTGAGGCCAGGAGTTTGAGACCAGCCTGGCTAACATGGCGAAACCCCGTCTCTACTAAAAATACAAAAATTAGCCAGGCAATGGTGGTGCATGCCTGTAATCCCAGCTACTTGGGAGGCTGAGGCAGGAGAATCACTTGAACCCGGGAGGCAGAGGTTGCAGTGAGCCAAGATGGCACCATTGCACTCCAGCCTGAGCGACAAGAGCGAAACTCAGTCTCAAAAAAAAAAAAAAAAAAAAAAAAAAGGAGTGGGTGCAAGCTTCGGCGGTACATATACGAAAACTGGAACAATACAGAGAAGATTAGAATGACCCCTGTACAGGTATGACACGTGAATTCGTGAAGCGTTCTATATCTTTGTTTAAAAAAAGAAAAAAAGGAGTTGATGTACAAAATTCTTAAGTAATTGTATATGCATGAAGGGCAAATGAAATCACATCCTTCTACACCTAAAACTCTCTGATGAGCTCCCATTTCCCTTGGATTAATTCCAAACCCTATTATCTATGCCCTCAAGCCCTGCCAGCCTCTCCAACTCCATCTCCTTCACTCCTCCATCAGTCTGAAATCAATCTCATTCCTGCCTCAGGGCCTCCGCCCCTGCTCCTCCCCCTGACGGGAATGTCCTCTCCCTGATCTCAGCATTCCCAGCTCATCTCATCACTCAGGTCTATATCCCCTCCGAGGTTCTGCCTGTGTCTCCAGTGCAACCGCTCTCAGTCCCCTTACTTTGCCTGATTTCCCTTGGTGCACATATCCCTCTCTGAAATGATACTATTTTAAAAATGTGTTTATGTTTTTGGTCTATTTTCCCTATTAGAATAGAAGCTTCTTGAAGACCGGGACTTTGTCCCGTATCCTCAGTGGCTGAAAAAAAGTGCCTAACACATACTAGTAGCTCAACAAATGAATGGCAAAACTGTAAAGATGGAGGGAGAACTAGCCCTAAGGTGGAGAGGTGCTGACCCGGACTCCAATATCCGAGGCGGGGCAAGACAGCAGCCACCAGAGGCACAGTGGAAAGGGAGCTCAAACCTTGGCCTCATTAGTACCAGCCTGCCATGCACTGAGCCACCTGCCTCCCTCCCACGGAGGCAGCAAAGAGAGCCGAGTCAGCAACTATTAATGAAGAAGGAATGGTGGAATTATAATATCACCACCAGGTAACCATCCTTATAATAACTGATTCCGGCAAGAATCAACAATAATGTTACAACTAGTGGGCAAAGGTTTGAGGAAGAGTAAGATATTTACATATTCTCAAAGAATCTACCCACAAGATACATGTTAATTACAAAGGAGGAAATTATCTTTACAGCAGAGAAATCTAGCAGACAACACCTTAGCCAAGCAAGTTAGACCACCGGAGAGGGGACATGGAGAGCCCATGTGCCTCCTGATATGATTCACTGGGAAGGACAAAACGTGCTTCTGTGATATTCCTGCCAAACAGGCATGACTTAAATGGAACCATGAAGAACCATCAGACAACCCAGATGAGGGCCATTTTACAGAATAACTGCTCTATGCTTCAAAAAGATCAATGACATGAAAGAGAAAGAAAATCTGAGAAATCATTCCAGATTCAAGGAGAATAGAGAGACGAGAATTAAACGCAGCATACTGAACAAAATTTCTTTTGTCTTAGAAGATATTATTGGAACCATTGGCAAAATCTGAATAAATTCTGTCGATTATCCAATAGAATTGTATCAGCATTAATTATCTGGTTTTGATAAGTACACTGTGGTTATGTAAGAAAATGTCCGTATGTAAAAAAAAAAAACAACAACAAAAACACACGTTGGGGTATTTAGGAGAAAGGGACATTACAACCTTCTCTCAAACAGTTTAGGGGGAAAGCAATAGAAAAACAGACACATTGAGAGGAAATAATAAAGCAAATGTGGAAAATTGTTAGCAGTTGGAGAGTCTGAGGGAAGAGCATGGGGAAATTCTTTGTATTGTTCTTGCAACTTCTCAGTAAGTCTGAAATTAGCCTGAAATTAAAAGTTAAGTGAAAAAACAGGCCAGGTGCAGTGGCTCGCGTCTGTAATCCCAGCACTTTGGGAAGCTGAGGCAGGAGGATCGCTTGAGGTCAGGAGTTAAAGACCAGCCTGACCAACATGGTGAAACCCCGTCTCTACTAAAAATACAAAAACTAGCGTGGTGGTGCGGGACTGTAGTCCCAGCTACTCGGGAGGCTGAGGCACGAGACTCGCTTGAACCTGGGAGGTGGAGGTTGCAGTGAGCCGAGATCACAACACTGCACTCCAACCTGGGCAACAAGAGTGAGACTCCGTCAAAAAAAAAAAAAAAGTGAAGTAAAAAAACAAAGAGGAGGCAGAGCCTGAGGACTGGAGGAGCCGTTGGAGGGGCTGGGCAGAGTAGCTACATGAAGCCAGCATGTCACTGCCCAGGGTCACCTGTGTTCATGTCAGACCATGTCAGGCCACACTGGGCCATAGCAGTCCCCCGCATTCTCTCTAGGGGTGGGGGTGGGGAGTTAGTTAAGCCTGTGCCTGGTTCACACAGGCCCCGCCATGCCCTGCTGGGCAGCGTGGGAAGAGGCCCTGGAAAGAGTCCCTGCAGACTGGGCTTCTCAGCCCTGCTCCAAGACCCTGGGGCATGTCGTTCCCCACTTCGCACCTCGCTTTCCTCCTCTGACAAACAGGAGATGGCTGGCAGCTCGCTGGGGTTTCTTCCAGCTCAGACATTGTCATACTTCTAGAATCCCATCCCGGCAAAGCAACATATTTCTCCAAGGAGCTGAATCCATTTGGCAACTGTGCATCCTTTAGTTTGGTTGAAGGAGGGAGGGAGGCAAAACGAGAGCACACCAAATGGAGTGGGGAACGGGCCTCCTCCAGGCCTGGGGGGCTTCCTCAGCTCTGTCTCCCCGCGCCCGCCTGCTCCCAGGCACCCCTCCTGAAAGAGGTGAACACCCTAGCAAAAAGGGTACTGAAGTGCAGATAAACATCCTCCCTCCAAACCCCAGTGACCAGAAGTGACTCTGCTCCCAGCTCTGTCAGCCACTGGCGGCGTTACTTAAGCTCTTGGGCTTCAGTCTGTCCTTCTGTAAAATGAACAGAGTCACGCTTGGCTTTGCATCTGACTCCGAGGACACAGTGACTTCATTTCTGCCTTCTCCCTGCCACAGGGCTCAGTACATGACTCCAAGTCAGAAGTGAGGTCCTCAGATGGGACCCCCAAGAAGCCCCTAGCCCCAAGGCCCCTCGTCACTCTTACAGCCTGTGTCCCCACATGACCCTGGTCCCCAGCCCCATGCACAGACCGCCCCCCACCCGGGCATCTGCTGTCCCCAGCCCCATGCACAGAACCCCCCCCCCCGCCACCCTGGCATCTGCTGGCACCTCCCGGAGACCTCAGCCCAGCTCAGGGTCCTGATGGAGATTGGGGGTGGCCTGGACACTTATTGGCCGGACTTTTGAGTGTGCCCCCACCCCCTAGCACACGGTGGAGACCCAGGGGCACCCTTCCATACAAGGGAAAACAGGGGACCACATTCCTATGACAGGGCCATCTCCCTATCTCTCAGCATCTCCCAGGGACCAGAGACCCAGCCCCGGAGCTTCCTCCTCAGCCCTGCATCCTGCCTCCTGGCCTCTCTCAGCCGCCATTTTCAGGCAGAAGGCGTTCGGGCTGCAGGAGCCTACAAAATGGAGGGTGGGAACCTGGGCTTCCCTCTGCCTCCGTCTGTTGTCCCTGGGAGCGCCTGCCCGGTCCCAGTCGGAGCAGCAGCTGTGGCCACAGGTCTCTCCTAACACCCTAAGGAGCCTGGCATTTCTCCAAGCATGTCACCGCCAACATCTGGGGAGCCCCACACAGCTCTGAGCTCCCGTTGGCCCTGCTTTACAGCCGGGGAAACGAAGGCTGGGCATGGCCACTCAGCCTGAAGGAGGAGAGCTCAGGCTCCATAAAGTTCCATGACGGCCCAGCTGATGGTGGGTGAGGTGAAAAGTCCCTGGGGGAAGGGCGGACCTTTCCTGCAGGAGTCTTGAGTGGGGAGGGGTCCCCGGCCCAAACCCTACCCAATTCCAGGGCTGGGAAAAAGCAACGGATTTGGAGTCATGAGGTAAAACCAAGTATCTGTCATCTATTAGTGGTGCGATCTAGGAAAAGTCACTTTATCTCTCTGAGCCTGTCACTTACTCAGTAAAATGGAAGTATTAAATAGTAGCGCATACCTCCTTAGGGCTGTGACGAGGAGAAGGCAGGTTTACGTATTTGCAGAGTGCTGCACTGGAGGACGTGATCCTTGTACTGCCTGCCTAACACTTGTAAATGTACATTTTGTGGCGCACCTTCCGTGGGCCAGTCCCTGTGCTTGGCGCTCATTGAATCCTCATGGCACACCAGTCTGGGTCAGGAGGCAGAAAAGAGCCTGGACCTCAGCTCCTTTGGGAATTTCAGTCCTGCCTACCCAACATGACCCAACAGGACCAGCCGGACTGGCTGGTCAGCACCTCCCCTCAGCCGGGCCCTCGTAGGCTGTCCCACCTCCAGGTTTCTGCTCAAATGGGTCTTTCTTTCAATTTAATTAATTAATTAATTATTTTGAAACAGAGTCTCACTCTGTTGCATAGGCTGAAGTGCAGTGGTGCGATCTTGGGTCACTGTAACTTCCGCCTCCCGGTTTCAAGCGATTCTCTTCCCTCAGCCTTGCGGGTAGCTGGGATTACAGGTGCCCCCCATCCCCCGAACCACACCCGGCTAATTTTTGTATTTCTTTACTAGGGACGGGGTTTCGCCATATTGGCCAGGCTGGTCTCGGACTCCTGACCTCAAGTGATCCGCCCTACTTGACCTCCCAAAGTGTTGGGATTACAGGCGTGAGCCACTGCACCCGGCCTTCAAATGGGTCCTTCTTTCTGAAATACTTTTTTTTTTCTTTTTTGAGACAAGGTCTTGCTCCGTTGTCCAGGCTGGAGTGCAGTGGTGAGATCATGGCTCACTGCAGCCTCAACCTCCTGGGCTCAAGTCATTCTCTGCCTCAGCCTCCCGAGTAGCTGGGACTACAGGCATGAATCTCACATCCGGCTAACTTTTTAATTTTTTGTAAACGTGGGGGTCACACTATGTTGCCTATGCTGCTCTGGAACTCTTGGACTTCGGCCTCCCAACGTGCTGAATTACAGGTGTGAGTCACCAGAAAGGGCTGAAATCCTTTTTTCCCCCTTAACTTCTTATTTTCAAACTATGGACTCATAAGAAGTTGCCAAAATAGTGAAGAGAAATCCTGTGTACCCATCAGTCAGCTTCCCCCAGTGGTGACATATCATGACATGGATTTAAATTCAGCATTAGCCACCAACCTGGGACAAAATACATAACTTTCTGAGCCTCAGTTTCTCCACCCATAAAAAAGGGGTGATTGTCCTGGTGTTGTCAGGGTGGAACAGCATATGCATAGCTGGTGCTTGGAGAATATTAAGTCCCTGGTAATGGGTGGTGGTTGCAGCTGTCACTGGATTGTGCCTGTTGCCACACCTATCCCGGGGTGGTGCTGGTGTGTCTTACCACAACACTATAAACTGTTCAAGGGCAAACCTTCATGTCCTATGGCAGTGCCAGCACAGGGCCTGGTACTCAGCAGGTACTGAATGAATATGAAAATATGGAGCCTAGGCCAGGCACAGTGGCTCACACCTGTAATCCCAGCACTTTGGGAGGCTGAGGCGGGCGGGTGGATCACCTGAGGTCAGGAATTCAAGACCAGCCTTGCCAAAATGGTGAAACCCCGTCTCTACTAAAAATACAAAAAAATTAGCTGGGCATGGTGGTGGGTGCCTATGGTCCCCTTACTCGGGAGGCTGAGGCAGGAGAATTGCTTGAACCTGGGAGGCGGAGGTTGCAGTGAGCTGAGATCGCAGCATTGCACTCCAGCTTGGGTAACAGACTGAGACTCCGTCTCAAAAAGAAAAAAAAAAAAAAGAAAACAAAACAAAATATGGAGCCTGCTGCCCAGCAAGCTCTCCCCTGGCTCATGGTGCCTCTTTAATTTTGCCTTCCTGCTGGCCCCAAGGTGCAGGGCAACCCCCAGGCAAACCCCATGAGGGCGTGCCATGATGAGGGAGGCAGCCACACTTGACCCCATCTGTTGCTAAGAAGACTTCCAGGGTCCCTAGGACCTCAGAGGTCCCTCAGGGCTGTTCCTAGATTCAGTGGTGAGGCTGCAAGGCTAGGAGTTTGCATTTAGGGGAGAAACCCTATGCTAGAATAGAGCCCACAGGACAGCTGGCTGGAAACAAGCCAGGCAACTCCCACACAATGGAAAAAGCACCAGCCTGCTGGCTGGGAGACCCAAGCTCAGGTCCTGACAAGTCTCTTAGCCTCGCTAAACCTCAGTTTCCTCATCTATAAAATGAGGTCACCATGTGGGTGATGGAGCTCATTGTGCAAACAGCACTATGTTAACCACCGAGTCCTGTATTCACATAGGCAAGGGATTATCTTTGGTCTTGCTGTAGAGCATTTATAAGCTAACATTTCTGAGCACTGCATTTTGTTCGGCTATTTTCAGATGCATCATCTACATTAACTTGTACACTTTGGTGAGTTGGGGATTTTTATCTCTAGCATGCAGGCAAAGAAACCACCCTGGGGCCATGCAGAGATGCAATTCAGAACCCGCGTCTGCCTGACTCCGGGGTCCATGATTCTATACGACAGGATGCCGGCTGGGGTTGATACAGTGCCCTTCCTAGGGCTAAGTGTCTAGTGGCTGGGTCTCTGCTGCGTACAGCCAGATGCCCTGCTCCATAACCTGTAAAGCCTCAAGGAACATACATAAAGTACAAGCATGTTTAGGCTGGGTCCTTAGTGTTCAATTTACCCAGTTTTCCAGAAAGGAAACTAGGGCCAGAGAAAGGAAGGAACTTGACCAAGATTCCCCAGCAAGTTAGGACCAGAGCTAGTTCTCAAAGTCCACACCCACCTCACCCCTCCTCAAGGTTCCTTCTCCTCCCCAGGCTGCAGGGGCCTAGATTCCCAGAGCGGAATCAAGGGAGGTGAACTCGGGTGCCCCCCAACCTCAGGGCTCACTGGGAAAATCCAGGGACTTCTCAGGGTACTGGGGAGCCCCTGAAATGGGGGTCTCATGTGTAGGACGTAACCCCAGGCTGCAGAGCAGTCAGCGTCCCCAGGCTCAGTCTTGTCAGGGGACACCATGCCCACCCCCTTTGTCCTTTCTCTGGATCAGTGTTTTCAAAGTCTAGGGCACATACACAAAACTATGCAAAATTGATTTAGGTGGTCATTGACTTGGCATTATATACCACTATATTACATGATGAGGAAGTTATGCATACTCTTTATTTCCCTTTCAGCCTTTCTAATTACAGACTTGGAGGAGGAAATCTCCCATGGGGTTAGTCTTTAAAGTCTCTCTGACATCTACAGCCCTCCCTTTTGAGGAAAGGGAAAGCAGCAAATGCATCTGGCTAGAATTTAGTAACATTGTTTTATTTCCATTATGTTTATTTTCACCATTATAATCATGATGGTGATTTATAATGAATGGCTTTCCATTTAAGGGAGTGATATATAAAGTTTCTTCTCAAAATAAATGTATTTGCATTTTAAAACATCAATTAAGAAAGAGTAGCCAGGCATGGTGTCAGGCGCCTGTAATCCCAGCTATTTGGGAGGCTGAGGTGGGAGGATCCCTTGAGCCCAGGAGTTTGAAGCTGCAGTGAGCTGCACCACTGCATTCTAGCCTGGGCGACAGAGCGAGACTCCATCTAAAAAAAAAGAAAAGAAAGAAAGAAAAAGGAGGGAAATTACGTTAAGTAAATTGTCAGGTGGATGACACCTTGGCCAACACTGGGAAGGTGGGCTGGAATAAAGTGCTCCGGGAAGAGCTATGCTGGATAACTTACCATGCTCTGAGTCTGGAGAAGGGCCAGTGCCGAGGACAGGATGGAGGGCCTGGAGGTCTTGCTAGCTGAGGAAGTAGATACAGCCTGGGGATCCCAGCCCTACCAGGGGGCTGCTCAGGGCAGGCCTGAGCACATGGCATGGATGTTAAAGCTCATGGTGTCCCATCTGTGGTCCAGGCAGGGAGAGGATGGCCACGCACCTGGGAGGTCTACACTCCAAGCTCCTGTCCTAAAGGACAGTTGGGGCCACCTGTTTATTCCTCCTTGCCCCAGGGAGAAGTCTGATTCCTTAACTCAGAATCTAACAGCTGGGTACTGAATTTAATTCTTGAGTGTTCTATAAATATAATAAATAAAGCCTTAATAAATGTGGTCTGAATGAGGAGGGCCATGGGCAGCATTTCTCACTCATTCTAGATCCCTCTGTAAAGTTCGAGCTCCAGCACCCTAGGAGCTACCCCGTTCCATGGCCCCAATACGGTGAAGGCCACGCTAACTGTCATCAGTCATTGACCTGTGGCCAGAGAGCCAAGCTAAGCCGGGAGAAAGATGCAGAAGCCTGTCATAAATTATTTATGTATCTATGAGATGAAGTCTTGCCAGGCAGGAAGAATGTGAAAAGAGGTCAGAATAGAAAAGTAAACATGTGTGTTTAATTCAGTCCAATCAAACAATAAGGCCAGATGCACGGCAGATGTAGGGGATTAGGTTTGTATAACTTGGATTCAGAGTTCATAGGTCAAGGAGCCAGCCCAGTTAGAGGGCACGGACTATCAAAAAGGGCACAAGCGCATCCATCAGCAACACAGGGGAACCATATCTTATGTTTTGGCAAAACAACAAAAACACCGACCTCAGCTCAGTCCACTGAGATGGAAAAACTTCAACCTGCTTGGCATAACCCAAGTTACCTGCAATGGCGCCATTGTTTCCTCCTTGGTAAGTGGCTTTTAAACCCAGGAAGATTAGAATTTAGAAAATAGAGATGATTAAATAAACAAACACTCATAGTATATATCCAATGGTGTTAAATGTAAGTTGGGTCAAGCTCCGTGAGTTGCATAAAGTCCTATATTTGTGATATTTAAAAACATTTGGCCATTGAGTTCCTCATGAATGTGAGCAGGTAATTGACTTAGGTTCAATTTTGAAGTAGAAAATTTAAGAGAATTTGACAATATCTGTAAACATTAGAATATTTAAGAGAACTTGATATTCGCTTTAATAACTCAGAAACAGAAAGTCAAACACCACATTCTCACTTATAAGTAGGAGCCAAACAACGTGCACACATGGACATACAGAATGGAGTAACAGACATCAGAGATTCCAAAAGGTGGGAAGATGGGAGGGGAGTGAGGAATGAAAATTACTTATTGGGTACAATGTACAACACTCCAGTGCTGGGTACACTATAATCCCAGACTTCACCACTACGTAATATATCCGTGTAACAAAACTGCACTTCTACCCTCATATCTATAAAAATTTTAAAAATAACTTAATATTCACTTCACTTATGCTAGTTTTTTAGTTCTAAAAGCATTTTCTAAAATTCTTGGGAACATTTTGTTTCATGCTCTATAAAATATGGAATTCATCATATTTATAAATGTGCTTAGAATATCAAAAGCAGTGTTATCCAATATAAATATGATGCAAGTTACGCATGTAATTTTAAATATTCCAGGACAACCCTCCCCCTACTTTTTTATTGAGACAGGGTCTCCTTCATCGCCCAGACTGGAGTGAAGTGGCACAATAATGGCTCATTCATTGCAGCCTCAAACTCCCGGGCTCAAACCATCCTCCTACCTCAGCCTTCCGAGTAGCTGGGACAACAGGCTTGTACCACCACTTCAGGCTAATTTTGTATTTTTTGGAGATACGGGGTTTTGCCATGTTTCCCCAGCTGGTCTTGAACTCCTAGGTTCAAGCGATCTTCCTGCCTTGGCCTCCCAAAGTGCTGGGATTACAGGTGTGAACTACCACACCAGACCAGAAACCCCATTTTTAAAAAGTAAAAAGGAATATGTAAACTTAATTGTGATAATAGAATTCATTTAGCCCATCATATCAAAAATATTATAAGTTCGACATATAAATCACATAAAATTTGTTGAAATATTTTACATTCTTTCTTGAAACTCATCTTCAAAACCTGTTGCATATTTTACACTTTACACATCTCAATTTGGACTATCATCACATTTTAAATGCGTGATTGTAGGGGCTACCCTATGGAATAGCACAGAACCAAGGGAGTTTGATTAGCTACATTTGTAAGGGTATTTATTATTTAAGGATGCTAGGTCTGTTCAACTTCATTTGCTCAAATATTAAAGGCCCATCGAAAGTCATTAATCAAAATTACAGGGCTTATAAAATAAAATATGATTAGTATGTTGAACTCACAAGTTAAGAAAAAACAAATTATTAAAAAATTGTTAATTAAAGAATTACTATTTTTTTCAAAAGTAGCCACAAACAGCCTTTTCATACACAAAGGCAGCCCTCGAGGACCTCGCCAGCCAGAGCACAGCTGGCATTAGAGTCACGGAGCTCAGCACTGCCCTGGCGGGAAAGGCCTGGGGCTTTGTTACTGCGTCATAGTGTCAGATCTGGACAAAAGCTTTCTTATAGATTGTCTGACAGAGCACCCCCCTTCCACTGATGAGAAAACATGGCTGAGAAGAAAAGAAGCACAGTCAATGGTGAATTAGAGACGGGACCAGGGCAGAACCTGGGGTCTCATGATGCCACCCCAGCCTCCCCTGTCAAGGGCTCCTAATTCATTCTCTCTGTTCCTTCATCCTTAGTTGGCTGATCAGGAAACTGAGGCGGAGAACTGGAGGCTTGAATCTCTAAGCAACAGAAATCAGCAACACAAACCAAGCCAGGCCCAGCACCCGGGCCACCTGGGCAGAGGCCCAGGAGATAGGGCCTCGTGCTAGGGTTAGAAAGGGAAGAAGGAGGCTGGGCGCGGTGGCTCACTCCTGTAATCCCAGCACTTTGGGAGGCTGAGGTGGGTGGATCACGAGGTCAGGAGATTGAGACCATCCTGGCCAACGTGGCGAAACCACGTCTCTACTAAAAATACAAAAATTAGCTGGGCGTCGTGGCGCATGCCTGTCATCCCAGCTACTCAAGCCTGGCAACAGAGCGAGACTCTGTCTTAAAAAATAAAAGGGGGAAGAAGGAGAGGGGAGGTCTGCCCGAGCACAGCAAGGTTTCAGCCAGGTCTGCCAGGGCAAAGGAGGGCAGGATTCCACCTGCCTGTGGTCCCAGGGCAGAGCCAGGCAGCCCCACCCTGAAATAGTTCTTGGGGTAAAGGCCTGAAACTTCCACACGCACTTCATTATCCCAGCTCCATTTCCTCCCTCTTTGCCATCATTTTTCTTTCTCCTTCTTTTTCTCCTTGGAGGTCCTAGTCTCCTTTCCCCAATATGGTCGGCCCAACACAAACTCCCCACAAGCAGATGTGGGTCAACCTTGCCCTCTGAGGTCAGGTTCTGCTAGCATTTGGGCCTGCTGAGCTGGACACAGAGGAAGAAAAGCTCAGGGAGGCCTGGAGTGTAGCAGCTCAGTGTCCCTTGCATCAGCCCCGGAGAGGGGCAAGGGGCTGCTTGAAGGTGCAGTCTTCCTCCTGCCTGGAGAGGCCATATTTTTCAGCAGTAGGACATACACCCCTGGCAACCCTCAGGAGAGTTTACAGAAGCCGCGTTTAATGCTCTGAAATCGCAGAGTGAGGAAATTATTCCCTGCCCACGGTGTTTTCAGTCCTTCTGCAAAGTCAAGAAGAAAATACCTGCTAGAGCTAGGAGGCCATCTCCTCTCCCCTCCTCATCACCCCTTTCACAGAGGGGATGAGCTCTGGGTCTTCACGATCTTTTCACTTTTTGCTAAAGCGTAATAGAAATTGGGTTTTGCCACCATTTGTTTTTATGTTTCCCTTTACCTTTCACTTATGGCAAATGATATTGATTTTCCACTTATAATAGTGATGTAAACTTTCCTTTCAAAACTGAGCTTGCATTGATAACAACAAGTGAGTCAAGTAAATATCAACACAGTTTCAAAACCATAAAGTGGATGACAGTACTGGGAAGGAGCAGGTCGGGCAAGAGCTGCCAGGGTGGGACAGACTGAATCGAAGGAACTTGGAGGCTCCAGGACTACTTTGTTTGACCTCCCTGAGCTCTGCCCAGGTCTCTGGGTTCCCACCTCTCCTGTGGGCACCATTCAAAGCCAGTTCTCCTGGCTGGCTGCTGGGCCAGCTGCCAAGGCTCGGACGCCAAGGGCACCAATGCCTAGCTCAGCCCCTGGCCCTCATTCCTGCTGGGAAGCTGAGAAGGAGCTGGTCTGAAGCCCTGGGTTGGGGAAAATCTTTTGGACCCGACTTTACTCCTGAGCCTGTGGCTGGGCTTCATGGGGAAGAGGAAAGGGGGCCACTCTCGGACAGTCTGTTTCAGCTCAGGGGCAGAAGGCAGCTGAAATTCCAGAGCTGCTGCTCCAGAAACTCCTGGTAGAGTTAGCAGGGCAAAGCTACATGCACAGAGCTGAAGGCACACAAACTCCAGTTCCCAGAGCCGAATGGCTTTCCCTGAACCAGTATGAGGCCACAGGCTCGGAACACATGCCTGGAGATCAAGGCAGAGAGGAGAGCACTCCCTGCCCAGAGTCTCGCGACATGTACCCAGTCCTCCAAACCAGCTCGATGCCCCCTCCTGACTGGGTCTTCCTGGGTCTCCTCCATCACAAAATGAAAGCACTTGGCTCTCTGGCTGCAAGGTGGACCCAGACTCCCCTGGCCCGAATTCTGTTTCCATACCAGTCTTCCCAAATCCCAAAATGTGAGAGCTCGATGGGGTCAGGATCTCTTGCATCTCCAGGCCCCTGCCCCGCTCTGGCCAGCTTGGACCCTGCACTCAACAGGGGCCAGCAAGTATCTGGGGAGCACAGTCTAGTGCCCCAAACCTTCTGGCCATCTGATTCCCTGGCCCAGGTGGCCAGGTGCCTTGACACTTGGGGGCAGCTTGAGACGTGGGGGTGGCCTTCATGCTCGCTTATGCCCTAGACTACCCCAGCTGGTTGTGCTGAGGCCATCAGCGCCTGGTTGTCCAGAACTCTCCCTGGCTTCCCTGAGTCCTGTTTCGGGAGGTGCTCTCCTGTGATTGGCCTACGCCTGCTGGACCCCAAGCCTCAGCTTTGGCGTTGAAAGTACCACCATCAGTGGTCCTGCCTCTCTGGAAGGTGAACGGTTCCTTCTTAAGAGTTGGCAAGAAATAGGAAATGGGGGAGTTCCTGAGCTTAAGGATGGGAGAGGCACCTCCCTCCTCACACCCTAGGGACCCATTGGTAAGGCACAAAGCATGCTTCCCACATTCTGTCACTCCAGGAGGCTTCCAGGCACAGCCCCAGCCCCTCGAGGGGCTCCTGTGTCCTCTCCTAGCCCCAGATGCTGGACCTCCCTGGTACCTGAGTGTAGTCTTGGCTAAAAGATCCTAGAAAAGTGACCACAAGGAAACAACCAGAAAGGGGACTGAGAGGGCCGGACCCGGCTCCTCCAGCACCAGTGGCAGGAGATGAGGGAAGGGGGCCTACCTGAGAGGGCTGCCGTCAGCAATCCAGTGATCCCGAAGAAGAGCCACATGTCTGGAGCTGTCTCTGGCTGCTACGCGTGGCTGCCTGTGGGAAGCACCATCTTGGGGCCGGGAGGTGGACACGGCCGTTGTGCGCCCCTGGCGCAGGTCTGCTCTACCCTTTGCTGTTCTTGTTCCTGTGTCTCTCTCTGCTCTCTCCTCTCCGACACGCATGCGATCAAACCCAACCTGTGAGTGTCTCACGCCTGCTTGTTCTGCTTGTGGTTTTGGTCTGCAGGAAGCTGGGCTGCTGTTACAGGGGCTGGTGGGGAGAGCCCCAGCTGCCTGTGCTGGGAGCCCACCCATCCAGGCTGCACCCCAAGAGTCACGGAGCCAGACACACGCATGCACACGCATCCATGCAGACACACTTCCCCGAGGGTCTTCTAAGAAGAAGGGAAGTGGAAGAGCCATGCCTCATTTCTGGTGGCCCAGAAGAAAAAATTGATAATGTAGTAGCTGCTCAATCAGTACATATTGGAAGAGGGAGTGAATGACCCATTGCCTGTCCCGGTCCGTGTAATTTGGCTCTCTTGGATTAAATCCTGAGTTTTATCTTAACCTTAGGTGCAATGGTGGTTGGGAAGGAGGGTGTGGTCTTGATGCACTTTTGGAGATAAGAGCCTAAGTCTCCCCTCAGAGAAATATAAATTGGGAAGGGCCTGAGAGATGGCCATCCCACAAGTCCTTCTACAGGGAAGGGTGCCAAGGCCTTGTGGGAGCCGCCCCGTCAGATGGCACAGTGGGGCCAGCTATCCCATCTCCAGGTACCAGACTGGGCATGCCTCCGTGGGAGTCAGGCATGGGAGCTGGGTCTACAAGGCTGAGCAGGATTTTGACAAACAGCAATCATGGGAGGCCTCTGGGCCAGAAGGAATAGCAGGAGCAAAGGGCTGAAGGAAGGAAGCCCAGGGCTGCCTGAGAAACCCCGAGTTGCCCCATTGCACTGCAGCAGACTGACGCTATAGGAAGAAGGCAGGGGCCAAGCGTGTTTAATTCCCATGGTACTCCCTGTGGAGCATATGGTAGGAGGTGAATAAATGTTTATTGAATGAGAAAAGGAATAGATAATTTGGTTGTCCAAGCAGGGCCCTGGAAGTGGTCAAATCCAGAAGGGGTTTGGTTCCAAATCCTGGCCCTGCCTCAATTGGTCCCATCCCAGGTCCACCTCTCCTGGCCCTCCACTTCCTGCATCCTTGCTTGTCTTCATTTCCCCAACATGTGGAATGAGGAGCGGTCCTCCTCCATTGGGTTCGGTCCTAAATGTGGGTGTATGCATTTGATGCGGCAAGTATTAGAGCCACGGGGAACCAGGCGCCCCCAGAGTGAGACTCCTCCCAGTCCTGCCCCAGCGCCGGCACCTGCTGCCGCTGCCCTCTGGTGGAAGTCACTGGCAGCACAGGTTTGCATGGGTGCCTCGAGCTCCCAGATGCAATTCCATTCATTTACACAGTCTTGGTGTGCAGAACTCTGGACAGGACTCTGTGGAAGTGAAAGAGAGGAAACCATATTCCTGCCCTCAAGGAGGATGAAGTTCACACACACACAAGTGACCAAACCACAGGCCAAGGTAGGACACACATAATGTGAGGTCTCCTGGTCCTAAGAGGAACCCGTTTGAAATGGGCCGGGAAGGATGGCTAGACTCCATTTCTGACAATATGGTAGACAGCAGATGCTGAAGAATTCTCCTAATACAAAACACCACAAAAATATTGTAAACCATCTTTTAAAATGTGTAGCTGAGGTGGTGAGAAATGAAGAAAATCATCAGAGATCAAAAACGACAATAAGCCTGGGCAACATGGTGAAACCCTCTCTCTGCAAAAGGTGCAAAAAATTAGCCAGGTTTGGTGGCACACACCTGCGGTCTCAGCTACTCAGGAGGCTGAGGTGGGAGGATCGCTTGAGCCCAGGAGGTCAAGGCTTTAATAAGCCAAGATTGCACTGCTGTACTCCAGCCTGGGCAACAGAGTGAGACCTTGTATATGTTAATATATAAAGACAACAAAAATCCAAAGAGATCACAGCCAGCAGAGAAGTATCTGTTGATCCAGTTGACCAAGAGCTTCAGTCTTATGAACATGGACAAAAGTTAAAGCTGAGAAACAAAATCGAAGTGAAAAACAAAATCCAAAATTTCTGCCTTAAACAAAGAGCACTGAAATACAACATCCACAGTGGAGAACTCGGAGAGAAAAATTCCTTAAAGCGAGCTGACACAGAGCTTGCCCAACTCAGTATGGACTCTGAGTGGGAGAAAAATAAATGTCAACCCTGAATGCCCCTCACCACAAGTCTACCCACTAATAGGCCTGGAGGTGAAACTCATGGTGACTTTGTGGCAAAAACAACCACACAAAAAACAAACAAACAAAAAGATAAGATAAGAATTTAAAGTAAGGTAAATAATAGCTCCTTAGGCACGTGGCAGAAACAAATGATAAAAATTGTCTCTGGAGTAACTCATCCTATATTCATGACTCAAAGAAATCCCACAGAAAAACTCCCATGGAACATGAGTTCACATGTTTGTAAAACAGAAAAATCATAAAACACAGGACACAAGGTGCTTTAGGTGAGAGGAGCACCAAGCAATAAACTAAAAATGCAGACCTTCGAACACATCTCAGATGTTGGAATTGCAGTATATATAATATAAAATAAGGATGTTTCATATGCTTCAAGAATTAAAAGTTGGTAATTGAAAGTATAGATAAGGAACAAGAGACTATTTAAAGTGACCAGGAAGATTGAGGGAAAAAAAGCAAGCAGTTATGTAAAAACATAATTTTTGAAAATAGAAGCCCAGTGTACAGATTAAACAGTAGATTAAGGCTCAGCACTTTGGGAAGCTAAGGCAGTCTGATGGCTTGAGGCCAGGAGTTCAAGACTAGCCTGGCTAACACAGTGAAACCCTGTCTCTATTAAAAATACAAAAATTAGCCAGGTGAGGTGGCACATGCCTGTAGTCCCAGCTACTCAGGAGGCTGTAGCACAAGAATTGCTTGAACCCAGGAGGCAGAGATTGCAGTGAGTCGAGATTGTGCCACTGCACTCCGGCCTGGGTGAGAGTGAGACTCTGTCTCAAAAATAAATAAATAAATACATACATAAAAATAAACAGCAGATTAATATGGCTGAAGAGACAACTACTGGGGTGAACAATAGATTTGAAGAATTTACCCAGGATGGAGCACAGGAGGACAAAGTGGTGGAAAATATGAAAGAGGCTAAGAGACATAGACAAGGAACAAGGATTTAAATATGTCTAATTAGAGTTCTAGAAGAAAATGGAAAATTTCTAGACTTGATGAAAGACACAATCCTCAGATTCTGGAAGCTCCCCCAACCCAAGCATGATAAATAAAAAGAAATCTACACCAAACATTTTTGGTAGCAAAACTGCTGATCACTAGACAGAAGATGGATGAATGATGAAGTAGATGGGCAGCTAATATGTCAATACCAATAACTAAAGCCAGAAGGCGATGGAACAACATCTCAAAGTACTAATAAAAAAATAACTGTCAACCTTGACTATCTTTCAAGTATAAGGTTTAAAAGACACATTTTCAGATGAAAATTGAGAGCATTTATAGCTAACAGACTCTCACCTAAGGGAATTCTAAAGGATGTTCTTCAAAAACAAGAAAAATAATCTCAGAAAAAAAAGTCTAAGATTCAAGTAAGAATGGTGAGCAAAGAAATATGTAAACACAGAAGTGGATTTAATAAGCACTGATAGCATAAAATAATTACAAAAATGTCCACTTTGTGGAGTTAGAAAAAAATGAAATAGGCTGGACATGGTGGCTCATGCCTGTAATCCCAGCACTTTGGGAGGCTGAGGTGGTTGGATCACTTGAGGTCATGAGTTTGAGAACAGCTTGGCCAAAACGGCTAAACCCCATCTCTACTAAAAATACAAAAATTAGCCAGGCGTGGTGGCTCGCATCTGTAGTCCCAGCTATGCAGGAGGCTGAGGCAGGAGAATCACTTGAAACTGGGAGGTGGAGGTTGCAGCGAGCCAAGACTGCACCACTGCACTCCAGCCTGGGCGACAGAGCGAGACTCTGTCTCAAAAAAAAAAAGAAAAAAAAATTAAAAAAGAAAAAAAAAATGAGATAAAACTAAAGAACCATAAAACAATAACAAATTGGTGAGGAGTGATCAGAGTGGGAAAGGTCTATTATTTGGTGGGAGGGCAAAATATTGACTAGCATTTGACCTTGTTCAATTAAACATGCATGTTAAACTAGTTGAACAATAAAATGGAACTTGTTGGGGAGAGAAGCCTGCTGTAAAGCCAAAGAGGGCAGGAAACGAAAAGAAAGAAATGAAAGGGAGAATAGGACAAACAGAAGCGTTGGTAGGTTTCAGCAGGTAGCTCAGGTGTAGGGTGGCGGGAAGGGTGCTCTTGACAGGGCACAGGGTAAGTAGAGGCAAGACAGCATGATGTGAGTGTTGCTGGGGCTGGATTGACATGATACACCCCAGGCAGCCCATGTTTCACAGACTCGAAGTTTCAAAAATGAAGCTGAAAGGTGCACCCAGCTGGGTGTCCAAATCAATGAGCTCATTTTTATTTAGAACTCTTGGAGCAGGACCTTGTGAACTCAATTTGCAAGGGACACCCAGTGGCTCTGCACCCTGTGGAGAACTCAGGAGTTTTTCATCCAGACTGTATCTCTCTTCTGACCTTCACCCAACAAATTGGAATAAGCAACATTACTGAGGGAAGCCCGACTCTCCCACCAGAAGGAAGAGAGGACCTAGAACTGAAAGGCCGCCACCCTCACCATGTGGCACGTGGGAAAGTTTAATGCTGACGGGTACTTAGTGAGCACTTCCTATTGTGCCAGACACTTTATATGGAACCTTAACCCTCAGTTCTCATTACAACTCAACCAAGTAGAATGTGTCCTTAGCACAGCCTTGCAGATAATGACACTGAAGTTAGAGAGGTAGTTTGCTCAAGATCCCACAACTAAGAAGTAGTAGGGGTAGGCTCTGAACTCAGGTCTGTTTGGATGAAGACCCTGGGCTCTTAACCACAGGGGTGGGTTGTGGTACAAGCATAAAGGCTTTGGCTGAAACATGGCACCACGGGCAGGAAAGGCTCTGGTTCTACGAGACTCTAAATTTTGGACCAGCCCTGCTCCTGGGCCAAGCCAAACCCACTCCTTAGTCTCTTGAATCCCGAAATTTCTCAGTCCTGACCACAGTCTCCAAACCAGCTACAGCCAAACCTTGTGTTTCCTGAGGCCCAGAATTTTCTACCATGTTCTAAATATTTAGCATCTAAATGTACATACATTAGCTCTAATCACTTAGTCACTCATTCAACACAACTTTATCTGTGTTCTAGGTGCTGGGGACACTACACGGACCAAAACAGACAAATATCCCTGTTTTTACAGAGCTTATATTTTAGTGGGAGAGAAACATAATCAACAATAGACATAATAAATAGGTTATATGGAAAAAAAGAAACAGAGCCGTGTAAGAGAGGCTAGGAGTGTGAACAGGGGTTACAATTGTAAATGGGTAGTAGCTTAACTTAGCCTCTTCCCCCTCAAATGGAGCCTGGAACAAGGGCTTGTTTGCGACAGGTTATTTGGGAATGCGATCCGAGGGAACAGGTTGAGGAACAAAGAGAAGAGAAATAGGAAAAGAAGGAAAGTCAATAAAAGGATGCCTCATTGATTTGGCCACACTATGGACAACTAGTACTCGATCTCAGACTTCTGAAATGGTTCTCATAACTATCTGTCCATGTGTGGTCTCCATTCCTACCACCCATTGCACCAGCACTGATGTGGCCAATGGAGAGAAGCTGGCTAATGTCCTCTTGATAGTCGTAGGCCTCCCTGTGGTAGAGCTTCTCTACTGGACATTAACATACATCGTGTCCATCCACATGCCTCTACCCCAGATATCCTTGCCTCTGATTTTCCAGTCTTGTTCCTTCCAGGCCCCTGCCCAGGAGTCCATGTATATCTATACCTCCACTTGTTTCCATATACAGTCCACGAATGACCAAAGGTACTATCCCATCTCTGCCTACTGCCAGTATTTCCCTTTACCATTGTTCTTCAGAGCCACCTCTGAGTGAGGTTATAGTATAGCTTCTGTCCATTTCTGGCTAGTAACAACCGATTGTGCTGCCCCATTTGTGAACCAGGTCTGAAGTTTTCCACTTCTATCAGAAAGAGCTTTCTCAAGGCCATAGATGTGAGTTAAAAGAGAAATATGGGGCCGGCGTGGGGGTTCACACCTGTCATCCCAGCACTTTGGGAGGCCGAGGTGGGTGGATCATGAGGTCAGGAGTTCGAGATCAGCCTCGGCAAGATGGTGAAACCCCGTCTCTACTAAAAATAAAAAAAAAAAAAAAATTAGCCAGGTGTGGTGGCAGGCACCTGTAATCCCAGCTACTTGGGAGGCTGAGGCAGAGAATTGCTTGAACCCGGGAGGCAGAGGTTGCAGTGAGCTGAGATCACACCACTGCACTCCAACTTGGGCAACAGAACGAGACTCAGTCTCAGGAAAAAAGAGAGACAGAGAGAAATATGGATGCAAAAGAGGCAGGTGCCATCTGTCCATGTAACTTACTTGTACCTTCTGGTTCTGTTTGGGTTTGAAGCAATTGTACAGCTGCTGCCCCTCTCCCCAGATCTTATAGCCTGGTGTGTGATGGGGTCTTGTGGTCCCCTAGTTGTTGGTGACCCATCTTCAGGCACAAGTCTCTATCAGGGCCCAGTAGCACCCTAGGATATGATTTTCAAGTGACAAGCATTTCTCTACTGCAGGAGCCATGGCTTTGGTTCAGCACCCTAGAGGTTTGTGCTGCAAAATTCTCTTTTTTGGAGCCTTCCAGAGACTCCATATGGCATCCTTATCCATGTGGCATCTCTGATATGACTGAACACGATTGTCGTAGGGCGTCACAGCAGCTTGCACCATTGCCTGGACCTGCCACAGAGCCTTCTCTCGTGCTGGGCCTCCCTCGGCACTAGCAGCCCCTCAAGTCACATGATAAATGGTCCGACAGAATTCCCCAGGATGCTTTAAAATCCAGAAGTACCCACCCTGTGCTGTGCCTTGTTCTTACTGATGGGGGATGCAAGTTACAAAGGCTTGTTCTTTACCCTAGAGATAATGTCCCAACATGCCCCAGACCTTGGGACCCTTAAAATCTTTCCCAATGTGGCAGCCACCAAAATCTTTTTGGAGCTTATTTCTTACCTTTTAGCATACAGAGGGCAGCAGTTCTCAAATTTTTTGGTCAGAAGACCCCTTTATATTCTTAAAAATTATGGAGGACCCCATAGAACTTTTGTTCATGTGGGTAATATCTACTGATATTTATCGTATTAAAAGTTAAAACTGAGAACTCCGGAAGATGGAGAGTACAATCATGGGTACCAGAGGCTGGGAAGGGTAGTGGGGATGGGGGAGTGGGGATGGTTAATGGGTACAAAAATATATAGAATGAATAAGATTTAGTATTTGATAGCACAACAGGATAATTACAGTCTACAATAATTTATTGTACATTTAAAAACAGCTAAAAGCTTATAATTGGATAGTTTCTAACACAAAGAAAGGATAAATGCTTGAGGTGATGGACACACCATTTACCCTGATGTGATTATTACACATTATATACTTGTATCAAAATATCTCATGTAGGCCGGGGGCAGTGGCTCATGCCTGTAATCCCAGCACTTTGGGAGGCCGAGGCGGGTGGATTGCCCAAGCTCAGGGGTTCAAGACAAGCCTGACCGACATGGTGAAACCCCATCTCTACTAAAAATACAAAAAAAAAATTATCCAGGCGTAATAGTGCGCACCTGTAATTCCAGCTACTCGGGAGGCTGAGGCAGAAGAATCACTTGAACCTGGGAGGTGGAGGTTGCAGTGAGCCGAAATAGTGCCACTGCACTCCAGCCTGGGTGACAGTGAGACTCTGTCTCAAAAAAAACAAAAAAAAACAAAAAAAACTCACATACTCCATAAACGTATGTATACATACACACACCTACTATATACCCATAAAAATTAAAAATTAAAAAAGTTTAAACAAAAAACTGAGACATTTAAAATATTTATTTAATACATTTTAAAATATAAACAGCAAACTCATTACATGTCAATATAAGTAACACTTTCTGTGAAAAATTACTGTATATCCCAAACCCCACAAAATTATTGGGGGCCGGGCATGGTGGCTCACTCCTGTAATCCCAACAATTTGGGAGGTCGAGGGGAGCTGATCACCTGAGGTCAGGAGTTCAAGACCAGCCTGGCCAATATGGTGAAACCCCTTCCCTACTAAAAATACAAAAATTAGCCAGGTGTGGTGGTGGGTGCCTGTAATCCCACCTACTTGGGAGGCTGAGGCAGGAGAATGGCTTGAACCCAGGCTGCAGAAGTTGCGGTGAGCCGAGATGGTGCCAGTGCACTCTAGCCTGGGTGACAGAGCGAGGCTCCGTCTAAAAAAATAAAATAAAATTATTGGGATATTATTGTTTTATATTTTTGCAAATGTCTTGAACATCCAGCTTTGTAGAAGCCACCTGGATTTTCATATCTGCTTCTTCATTTAATTTGTGGAGATATGTTATTTAGATTGAAGTATATGGGAAAAAATCTGGTCTCACAATATGGAGTAGATAAAAGGAGGAGTATTTTAATAGGATTTTAAAAATAATTGTAGATATTCTTTTCTGATATTGAAAAGTTGGCAAGTGATAGTTTCCAAAGGTTAGCTCCAATGTGAAATCTGAAATCATATCAAAGACCTTTTATATATTTTTCAAGTCCATTGTTCTATCTTGTACTTTGAATGGATCTCTTATCCGTGCATGATTTTGTAAAAATATGTCTCAGTCATTGTGGAACATACTGTTCTACAGTCCATTTTTAAAATCCATTGTTCTATCTTGTACTTTGAATGGATCTCTTATCCAGGCATGATTTTGTAATAACATGCCTCAGTTATTGTAGAACATACTGGTTCACAGATGCAGAAGTTATTCAGATCTTCCAAATGTTGACATATTTCGTTACACAGTATCAAAAATCACATTCATTGATATCATCTCTGATCCCATCAGAGAACTTTGAGTATTGGAAAGATGTCAAGATCATGACACGGGTTTTCTAACATTTGAATTTTTACTTAAAAGCTCTGATTTCATCAATGGCAACAAATACTGTCTCTTTCTTTCAAGTGACAGGCTCACTTTATTCATTTTCAAACAATTGTCTGCCAAATTTTTAAGTCTGAATAACCATAGTTTCAAGTAAAAATGGTGTTCCATGGGGGAAAACGTCTAGTTCAGCTGGCAAATCCAAAAATAGCACAAGTGCTTTTTTTCCCAGAGCTACCTTCATACTGTAGTATTCAGCAGGAGTGCTTTTTGCTTACTTCTTATTTGTCACATAGAATAAAGATTGTGCTTTAATAATATTAATAATTTTAACTGCTTCATTGAGGACATTCTTAAATAAAAGAACGCATCCTCTGAATGCATCAGGATGAAAAACTCCAACAGCTACTACTGCAGCTTGATGCCACTGCTATTTTTTTTTTTTTTTTTTTTTTTTTTGGCAAGGTGTCACTCTGTAGCCCAGTCTGGAGTGCAGTGGCGTGATCTTGGCTCACTGAAACCTCCACCTCCCAGGTTTTAATGATTCTCCTGCCTCAGCTTTCTGAGAAGCTGGGATTACAGGCACGTGCAACCATGCCTGGCTAATTTTTGTATATTTAGTAGAGACAGAGTTTAGCCATGTTGGCCAGACTGATCTCAAACTCCTGGCCTCAAATGAACTGCCTGCCACAGCCTCCCAAAGTGTTGGGATTACAGGCGTGAGCCACCGTGCCCAGCCTGGCGCCAAGGCTTTGATTCATGTGAAGGCACAAGTGGTTTTACTCATCATTGCTTTTGCTCCAGGCAAATTATGTCAGTGAAAAAGGCAAATTGTATCTTTATGTTTATATGCAAATAATTTTGAACTCGTGGACCACTGAAAGGGTTTCAGGGATCCTTAGGGGTTCATGAACCTCACTTTGAGAAGGGAGAGAAGAACCATGGTGCTCAGAGCTGAAACTTAGCATCTTGAATATCCGACCTAGTTCTTCTCCTAAGCATTACTTGAGACACGTAAGCTCTCTTCAAGGGGCAGCCCAGCTCTCTGTTCCCCCTTATGTATAGGATTCCAAGGTGCCTGATCAGTTTCCATTGAAGTGTGGTGTCCACTGAACCCAACACTCTATGAAGGAACTAATCAGTCTGGGGTCTAGCAGAGTGAGGTCCCTGATACCAAATTTAACCTTTATTATAACAATCAAAGCCTCCGAACTACATTAGAGGAATTCTGGAAAATTAGGAAAAGAAAAAAAGTCACCTATAGTCACACTACCTTGACAACCACTGTCATGCTGTAGCCTAGGGTGGCCTAAAGGTTGACTCATCCTGAACTTCTTGTTGTTGAAAAAATCCCAGGGCTATTTTTTTGTCTTGATGCTGCTAAGCCACATCATTCTGGCCCTTTCCAGTTGGGTCTTAGGTTCCCAAGAGGGGGACCTGATATTCAGATCTATCCACTTCATTCATATAGAGCTCCCCTGTCAGTGGTCCAGAACCCATTGCCCAATTGGACTAACCCTTCTAGCTTCATGTGATCTGCACATAGAATGCATCCATGTCAATGGCTCTTTCCTAAATTCCCTGTTGAGGCTTAGAAAATGATACCCCAAATAAAGTCCTCCACAGTAGCCTCAGAAGCAACCATTTTTCTCTAACCTTCTGCCCTCAAGTCTCTCAGTCCCATGCTCCCCCAAGATTAGCCATAGAAACTGGAATCCCTCTTCTCCAAGGCAGGTAGAAACAGAACCCTTTTCCCCCAAAGTCAGCCATAAAACCTAATTATATTACTCTACTCTAAGTTTCCCTCCACCTTTCTGTATAAAAACTGGCCATAAAGAAATTTTCTTGGTTTCGGCTTTGTTTGACTCTATGTAGGTTGTAAGACTCCCATTCCAGAGAGAGCCCCGTCCTACCCCCAGAAGGAAGGAATGCAGCACAGAGAGGCCAAAAAGAATCTAGAACCTGGGATACCAAGAAGAATCTAGAACCCAGGATACCTAGAAGAATCTAGCCAGACAGGCCTTGTTTGACTGTATGTAGGTCATAAGACTCCCATTCCAGCGAGAGTCCTGTCCTACACCCAGAAGGAAGGAATGCAGCACAGAGAGGCCAGGAAGAATCTAGACAGACGGGCCTTGCTAGGTTTCCCCACTCAGTCCGTTAGCATTAGATCATACCCTTAGGGAGCCTGGATAGCTCAGTCGGTAGAGCATTAGATCATACGCTTTTTGTTCAATTCTGTATCTACACGGCTGTCCACACTTTGCTGAACCTAAGCATCAAAGTGGACAAGTTCCCTCGTCTCTTTGGGTATTCACTCTGTAGGCTCCCATGTACACACATTAAATACATCTGTATGCTTTTTCTCCTATTTATATGCCTCTTCTCTGAGATTTTTCAGTGAAACTTCAGAGGGCAAAAGGGAAGTTTCCCCTTGGTGCCCCCACACCCCATGGGAATCTTGGATTATAGCTCTTGATGGTGAAACCACCGGCACTGATGATGCATCCCTTCTGTATTAGTTTTCTAGGCTGCTGTAACAAATTACTACAGACACGGTGGTTTAAAACATCAGAAATGTCTTCTCTCACAATTCTGGAGGCTGGAAGTCTAAAATGAAGGTGTTGACAGGGCTGCTTTCCCTCAAGAGTCACTAGGGGAGAATCTGTTCCTGCCCTCTTTTACCTCCTGGTGGCAGTGGGAGTTCCCTGGCATCCCTTGGCTTGTGGCTTCTCTTCTATGAGGGTCTATCCAATCTCACTCTGCCTTTCTCTTGTTCGGGCACTTGATATTTTAATTTTTTCCCAAACCTCTTGTGTCACTTCATAGGGCATTTCTGACAGCTGTTAGGGTCCATCTCAATAGTCAAGAATAAGCTCCCTTCTTCAAGATCTTTAATTTAAGCAAATATTTCACCCTACGAGGTAATATTCACAGGTTTCAGGGATTAGGATGTGGACATATACTTTCATGGGGGAGGCACCATTCAGCAGACATTTATTTGTAGCAGCAGTTTTCAGCGAGGAATAATTTTGCCCCCAGGGGATGTTTGGTAATGTCTAAGACATTTTTCAGTTGTCACAACTGTGGGGGATGGAGTGCAGCAAGCATCTGTGAATAGAGGCCAGGAACGCTGTTGAACACGCTACAGTTCACAGCACAGCTCCCCACAGCAAAGAAGTATCTAGTCCAGAGTGCCAGTGGTGTCGATGTTGAGAAATTCTGACTTACAGTAAATTAGTATTATAGTATACACTATCCGAAAAGCAACTGCTGTCATCCCTGTCTCTAACTCTTTTTCATTATCGCCTTTATTACGTATGACATTAAATCTATTCTATCCCATATTTATTTGCTTGTTGTCTCTTTCCCATCCCAAGGGCAGAGATGTTTGTCTGTTTCATTCACTGTTGTGTCCTCAGCACCTTGAATAGCACTCAGCACATTGTGAGCATTCTCAATATTTACTCAATTTATTAGTTAATAACGGTGCAGATATTTCCTCTCTCTCTCTCTCTCTTTCTCTCTCTCTGTCTGTCTGTCTCCAGGGTCTTGCTGTGTCACCCGGGCTGAAATGCAATGGCACAATCATGGCTCAATGCAGCCTTGACCACCTAGGCTCAAGAGATCCTCCCACCTCAGCCTCCTGCCTGGCTAATTTTTAAATTTTTTATAGAGATGGAGTTTTTATTTTATCTTATTTTTTGAGATGGAGTCTCGTTCTGTCACCCAGGCTGGAGTGCAGTGGCACAATCTCAGCTCACTGCAACCTCCACCTCCTGGATTCAAGCGATTCTCCTGTCTCAGCCTCCCCAGTAGCTGGGATTACAGATACACGCCACCACACCCGGCTAATTTTTGTATTTTTAGTAGAGACAGGGTTTCACCATATTTGTCAGACTGGTCTCGAACTCCTGACCTCAGGTGATCCACCCTCCTCGGCCTCCCAAAGTGCTGGGATTACAGGCGTGAGCTACCGCACCGCACCAGGCCTGAGTTGGAGTGTTGCCAATTTGCCCAGGCCAATCTCGATCTCCTGGGCTCAAGCGATCCTCTCGCCTTCATCTCCCAAAGCTCTGGGGTTATAGGCATGAGCTACCACGCCTGGCAGGTACAGACATTTCTTGAGCCCTTACTCTATGCCAGCCACCATGCTGGGTTATTATCTCTTTTTGATACTCACCAAAACCCCTCTACGTTAAGTATAATTTTTCTCCTCCATTTCTCAGATAAAGAAACTGAAGAGGTTAAGTTATTGCTGAAGATCACACAGCTCTTAAGAGGTCAAACCAGGGCCCTTTCTCTGGTGACCCAACTCCAGAGTATTCCCTTGGAGAGGATGTGACTTCTAGGTACCAGGCATGGTGCCAGGCACTGAAACAGAGAGGAAGAAAACACGAGCCCTGTCTTCAAAAAGTCACTAGTCCAGTGAGAGAAACAGGCAAGTAAGCAGGCTCGTGTGACATGAGTTGCCGCGAGGGATGATGAGGGAGAACTGTTATAGGCTGGATGTTTGTCCCCTCAATCTCATGCTGAAATGTAATCCCTAGTTTTGGAGGTGGGGTCTGACAGGAGGTGATTTGATCGTTGTAGCAGATCCTTATGAATGGCTCATCACCATCCCCATCCCTTATGGTAATAGGGAGTTCTTGCTCTGTTAGTTTATGGGAGATCTGGTTGTTTAAAAGACTCTGGGGTCTCCCCCTTCTCTCTCTTGTTCTCTTTGTCGCCATGTGACATGCTGGCTCCCCTTTGCCTTCCATCATGATTGCAAGCTTCCTGAGGCCTCACCAGAAGCAGATGCTGGCACTATGCTTCTTATGCAGCCTGCAGAACCATGAGCCAATTAAACCTCTTTTCTTTTTCTTCTTCTTCTTCTTTTTTTTTTTTTTTTGAGACAGAGTTTTGCTCTGTCTCCCAGGCTGGAGTGCAGTAGCACAATCTTGGCTCACTGTAACTTCCACCTCCCAGGTTCAAGCAGTTCTCCTGCCTCAGTCTCCTGAGTAGCTGGGATTACAGGTGCCCGCCACCACACCCGGCTAGTTTTTGTATTTTTAGTAGAGATGGGGTTTCACCATGTTGGCCAGGCTGGTTGTGAACTCCTGACCTAGTGATCTACCCGCTTCGGCCTCCCAAAGTGCTGAGATCACAGGCATGAGCCACCACGCCCAGCACCTCTTTTCTTTTCTTTATAATTACTCAGCCTCAAGTATTTCTTTACGGCCATGCAAGAACAGACTAACCCAGGATCCCAGCCTTGAAAAATCAGGGGAGACTACTCAGAAGAGGTTACATCTGGGTCAAGTCCTGAGGGATCAGTATTCATGAGTCATAGAAAGTTCTAGGCTAGAGGAGCAGCATGTGCCAAGTTCCAGATGAAAGGCGGCTGGAAGCTGACCATGGCTGAAGGCAGGGTGGGAGCAGGAGACATGGAGAGAGAGCAGTCAGAGATGAACTTGGGAGTTGGTCCGGAAGGGGTTAATCCTGGAGGGCCTGCAAAGTTGGACAAAGAAGTTGAGACTTTGTCCTAGAGAATCCAGAACCAGAGGGTGCCCTTTCAGGGTTTCAAGCACGCTGGCTTCAGTGCTGAACGTGAACCGAAAGGTCCTACTGCAGTGGTTCAGGAAGGGAATGCTGGCTGCCCAAACAGGGGCAGTGTTGTGGGGGTGAGAGAGAGATGGGTGGACACAAAACAGAATGACCAGGCAACATCAATGGAACTTAGGGGCAGGACCCTTGGGGATATCTGCAACAGGGGGCAGGCATGACTGCAATCCATTTTCTAAAAGGTGGGTGAGAATGAACACTTAATAAAATGATGTAAGAAGAAAAAACTATCTTTGGCAAAATGTTGCCTCCCCCTCCAGATCCCAGTCTGTGGATGGCCTCACTCCTCCTGGGTGCTAAGGGACAGGGAAGACAATATGAGGGTGTATCCTCTACTGTCATCCTCCCCACTGGGGGCCATGGCCTTCCACAAGCCAGTCCACAGTCTATGTCTCATCCTAAGCTGTGGCCCTGGGAATGTGCTGCTGATTCATTCTGGCCCCATCGGCTTGGAAAGGTGTCTGCTCTGTCCTACTCCTTTCAAGGCACCGGGCTGTCCTTGTAGTCATGGGGATGGGGCCAAACATCAGTTCTCAACCTTGTCCTGCCACAAGTAAATGATATTCCACGGGCAGCCACTTGTCTCCATTGGGAATGGGAATGATGTGTGGACAATTCAGCGGTAGGTTACCTGCAATTCCTGGTGCACCTGCTACACACCAGGGCATGCTGGGACTGACCACCCTGGAGTGAGCAGGATGTTAGGATTGGTCACTGCAGCATAAGAAGCTGCTGTGGATGAATGCCTGCATAGCAGTCAAAAAATTCCCCAGACTGTCACTGTCCTTCCCTCTACTTTGCCTCTCCTCAATCTGTGGCTATTATGCTTTTATCCAGGTGGCTCAATTTTTTAATTTTCACCTATTGTCAAGCCCAGGATCACCCTACAGGTGTAGAGAGTGGGTTGGCCAGGTATAAGAGAAATCTAAATTGTTCTGAAGGTGTGAGGCAGGCCTTGGCTAGATCTGGGGGATAACCTTGCCTCAACTGCAGGGGCCACCTCTTGGTCCTGCTTGCACAGTCTTGATGAGGCTGTGTGTATTTGATGCTCACCTGTGAACTATAAAACCTGTGGGCAACACAGCAGGATGGTGCCAGTGCATTACTAAGAAATTGTACCTGGAGAGTGAAAGTTGGATCAAGGTTTCATTGCTTCATTTTTTTCAACCACATAAAGTAATTGTGCTGGGTTTTAAAAGGTAGAGCTGGGGGCCTAAGTGGTTAGTCAAGTCCTACTTTTGAACTTCCTAAAATCTGACGTCTCTCACCCTGCCCTGGCAGAGTGCCATCAGGAGAATCTAGGAGACTCGAGAAGCCACTTCACCTAACATCCTCATTGTGATCTCTCTAAGAAAGCTCGCTGATGACGCAGCCCCTGTGCTTCTCACACTCAACAGTAGCTGTGTTAGATGCACAGGTAAAAAGGCTCATTTTCACCAGCCTCCAACCAAGGCATCTGCAGGGACACTTCAGCATGTCACCGCACCAGACAGTGTTGCTGCCCTTGGCTCTCTGTGAGCATGCAGGCCCAGAGATGCCAGATCCTCTGCAATTTCAGGAGTAGCCAAAAGTCCGGATCTTCATGCTAATACTTCTGATTTTTTTTTTTTTTTTGAGATAGAGTTTCGCTCTTGTCGTCCAGGCTGGAGTGCAATGGTGCGATCTGGGCTCACTGCAACCTCCGCCTCCTGGGTTCAAGCGATTCTCTTGCCTTAGCCTCCTGAGTAGCTGGGATTACAGGCCTGTGCCACCACGCCCGGCTAATTTTGTGTTTTCAGTAGAGATGGGGTTTCTCCATGTTGGTCAGGCTGGTCTCGAATTCCCGACCTCAGGCGATCCACCCACCTCGGCCTCCGAAAGTGCTGGGATTACAGGCGTGAGCCACCGTGCCCGGCCAATACTTCTGAATTTTTAAGGAGATAACTAAAACTTCAAAAATGTTTTAAAATTAAAAAACAATATGGCCGGGCACGGTGGCTCATGCCTATAATCCCAGCACTCTGGGAGGCCGAGGTAGGTGGATCACTTGAGGTCAGGAGTTTGAGGCCAGCCTGGCCACCATGGCGAAACCCCTTCTCTACTAAAAATACAAAAATTAGCTGGGCACGGTGGCGGGCACCTGTAGTCCCAGCTACTCGGGAGGCTGAGGCACGAGAATCTCTTGAACCCAGGATTCGGAGGTTGCAGTGAGCCGAGGTCACCCCACTGCACTCCAGCCTCCAGCCTGGGTGACACAGTGAGACTCCATCTCAAAAAAAAATAAAAATAAAAAAATAAAAAGAGAAACAGTAACAGAAGCTACAACAAAAACTAAACACCATGTAACTAAACACTATCAGAGCCAAACCACATAGACCTGTGGGTCACGGCCATGGCCCACCAGCTCTGGGGCTCCTCAGTTCTAAGATTCTGCTCTCCAGCTCCCTCCCACTGGTCATCAGTGTTGTGACTCGTGCCCTGGGTGACAGTCATGTCCGCTTTTGGAACATTACTTCCCCTATCTGCAAGAGGCAAGTCACCCCTACCTTCTCCCCAGCTAAATGTGTCCCCAGGACTTTCCCCAGTGAACCAGCCCAGCACCTGGCCCCCTGGTACCTTGGAGATGGAGGCTGGGCAGTAAGAAAGACGCTGGGCTGGGTGCGGTAGCTCACACCTGTAATCCCAGCACTTTTGAAGGCCAAGGCAGATGGATTACCTGAGGTCAGGCATTTGAGACCAGCCTGGCTGACATGGTGAAACCCCATCTCCACTAAAAAACACAAAAATTAGCCGGGCGTGGTGGCACACGCCTGTAATCCCAGCTACTCAGGAGGCTGAGGCAGGAGAATTGCTTGAGCCTGGGAGGCAGAGGTTGCAGTGAGCCGAGATCGTGCCACTGCACTCCAGGCTGGCCAACAGAGTGTGACTCTGTCTCAAAAAAAAAAAAAAAAAAAAAAAAAAAGATGCTGCACTCCTCTTTTCTTTGCTACTTTCCTCTCCTGGGTTTTTCTCTGCAGGCCACACTGCTTTTAGAAGCCTTTCCCTTCATCTACCACCCGCTGAACATCACCGATGGCAGGCCAGCACTCTCTCAGCTCTCTGGGTAAGACTCAGCTCTCTGGGCTAAGTCTGAGCTCATCTGCCAGCCTAGTGATCTTGCCAAGAGAGGAAGGAGCTGGATCTGATGTGATCTGAACTTCGTCACCATACCGTCACAGCTGATGACCTAAGCTTCCTCCAAGTCGAGGGATGGTGCAGCTCCATTGAAGTCTCCTCTTCTCTCCTCCAGGCTCTGCCCACCTCACGAGAGCACATGGTCCTGACTGCAGTGACTGCAGGAAGACCTGGGATGGAGGGCTTTGCTTTCTCACCATCCTCTTGGCCTGGCTTCTCTAACATGTTAAAAACTTACAGTGGCCCACAACTGTAATCCCAGGACTTTGGGAGGCCGAAGCAGGTGGATCATGAGGTCAGGAGTTTGAGACTAGCCTGACCAACATGGTGAAATCCCATCTCTACTGAAAATACAAAAATTAGCCAGGCGTGATGGCACGCGCTTGTAATCCCAGCTACTCAGAAGGCTGAGGCAGGAGAATTGCTTGAACTCAGGAAGTGGAGGTTGCAGTGAGCCGAGATTGTGCCACTGCATGGCAGCCTGGGCGACAGAGTGAGACTTCGTCTCAAAACAAACATACAAACAAACAACAACAACAAAAAATCCCTCGCTTTTTTGCTGGTATCTATAGTGCTTTTTTTGCTGGTATCTATAGCTTTTGTGAGACTCAGTTTATTTAGCTTTAGCTTTCCTGATATTATTATTCTTACAAATTTTGCCTTGGGACACTCTTTCCATTCATTGATTCAGGCAATACTTATTGAGCACCTACTATTTGCCAAGCACTGGGAAGCCATTGAGAATAAAACAGTGAAGAGTTAGAAAAGGTCTCTGATCTGATGGAGGGCCTATTCTACTGGTGCTAACTGAACAAGTAATATGTGCTCTGAAGACATTAAAACAAGACAATGTGATGGGGGATGCTGAGAATCCAGTAGGAAACTACTTAGATGGGAAAATCAGGGAAGGTCCCTACAAAGGAGACATATATGCTGAAACCTCAATAAAGAGAAGCAGCCAGCCATGCAAGGATATGGAGGGAGAGCAGTTATGGCAGAGGGGTCAGCAAAGACAAAGGCCCTGAGGCAGGGAGGAGCTTAGCATGGAAGGGGAACCTGGGAGGCCGGCTGGCTGGACTTGAGTGAACATGGGGCTGAGATGAGATCAGAGGAGAGCAGAGGCCAGATCCCCCGGGCTCCTAGGTCAGGGTGGGGCTGGTGCTTAGGAGTTCTGAGGCTGACTCTGATTTAGTCTGAGGTCGGTGTCCCTCTCAATCCCGACTCACTTGTGGTCCTCTATGGCCCGCAGGCTTGTTGAAAGTGCCCCACTTCCTTCCTCACAGCAGCCTCTGTGCAATCCGAATTGCGCTGTGAATTTCCCTGCCACTCAGGAGCCCGGGGCAGGGCTTCACCCCTAGTTCAGTTACCAGGAACCAATCTTTCTCCACCTTCCTGCCCTAGCCCCACTGGGTCTGTCTCTGCATCTGTGAAATGGCTGAGTGTGACCAAATGATGCAGGTAGCCTTTCCACTTCTTTCTACCCGTGGCGCCTCGGGTGGAGGCGTGGAGTTTGATTGGAAGAGGGTAAAGCAAAAGTGGAATCCTGGCGAGAAATGAAACTGAAAGAAAAAATTCCTCCTGGAATTTTTTGGCTCTAAGGAGGCCAGCAGCGGGGGTTTGGGGTAGGAGGCAGAGGTAGAGAAGGAGGGAGGTTTTTAGAAAGCTGACCGGGCAGGAGCCCTGTGACCCAGGCTTTCACTTCTCCTAAACACCCAGTAGCGCCATGTGATGCAGGCAGGGGACTGCGGATAGGGCCTGTGAAAGGGGAAGCGAGGGGAGCCCAGAGTTTCTCAAGAAGCCGAGAGAGGGACAGAGGCTGAGCCTGGGGGGAGGGCTGCAGGGGACTGAGAGGGGAGTGTAGGCAGTGGGGGTGAGGGGGACAGGGAGGAGGTGGAGAAGACGGCAAGGGGCAGCAGGGTGACTGGGGCAGAGGGAGCCCCCACCCCACGCCCAGGGCAGGCCAGGAGTCATAAGGAGAGGGGACAACAGGAAGGGGCGACAAACGGGGAGGGGAAAGGGAGGCGGAGGGGCAGCGAAGTGAAGCAGGGAGGGTCGCAGTGTGAACAAGAGTGCGAGGAAGGGTCAAGGTGGAGGGAGGAGAGGGGAGAGTTAGGGAGAAACAGCTGCAGGAGAGGCGCGGGGAGGAAGCCTTAGGGGTGGGGGAAGGGAGAGGGGAGTTGAGAATTAGGGAGGAGGTGGTAGAGTCCGGGTAGTGAGCGGAGGGACAGGAAGGGTAGGGCAAGAAAGGGAGAGGGGACAGGAGGGAAGGGTGGGCCAAAGCGGTGAGAAAGGAGGGCCAGCCAGTTGGGTGGGGGAGAGGGCCGAGGCCCGGGGGCAGGAGTGCAGGGCTCTGAGGCGGGGAGAGGAGAGGAGAGAAGAGCCGCGGGGGGCCCAGCCCGGAGCCAGGATGCCCGCGCCGCGCGCCCGGGAGCAGCCCCGCGTGCCCGGGGAGCGCCAGCCGCTGCTGCCTCGCGGTGCGCGGGGCCCTCGACGGTGGCGGCGGGCGGCGGGCGCGGCCGTGCTGCTGGTGGAGATGCTGGAGCGCGCCGCCTTCTTCGGCGTCACCGCCAACCTCGTGCTGTACCTCAACAGCACCAACTTCAACTGGACCGGCGAGCAGGCGACGCGCGCCGCGCTGGTATTCCTGGGCGCCTCCTACCTGCTGGCGCCCGTGGGCGGCTGGCTGGCCGACGTGTACCTGGGCCGCTACCGCGCGGTCGCGCTCAGCCTGCTGCTCTACCTGGCCGCCTCGGGCCTGCTGCCCGCCACCGCCTTCCCCGACGGCCGCAGCTCCTTCTGCGGAGAGATGCCCGCGTCGCCGCTGGGACCTGCCTGCCCCTCGGCCGGCTGCCCGCGCTCCTCGCCCAGCCCCTACTGCGCGCCCGTCCTCTACGCGGGCCTGCTGCTACTCGGCCTGGCCGCCAGCTCCGTCCGGAGCAACCTCACCTCCTTCGGTGCCGACCAGGTGAGTGGCAGGAGGCCTGCCCCGGCATACTCCGGCGGGTGTGGAGGGAAGGAGGGCTGGCCCCCAGCGTGACCTGGGACAAACCAGGTCCCCTGCCTGCACTAGTTTCCTGATTTGAAAGAAGAGGGGGGCTAGCCCTTGCAAAACCGATGGCAACCGCAGTGGGAATAACCATGGTTGTTTTTTTGTTTGTTTTATTTTTTGAGACGGAGTTTCACTCTGTCGCCCAGGCTGCAGTGCAATGGCGCGATCTCAGCGCACTGCAACCTCAGCCTCCCGGGTTCAAGCGATTATCCCTCCTTAGCCTCCAGAGTAGCTGGGATTACAGGGGCCTGCCACCACGCCCAACTAATTTTTGTAATTTTTTTTTTTTTTTAAGTAGAGGTGGGGTTTCACCATGTTGGTCTTGAACTCCTGACCTCAGGTGATCCACCTGCCTAGGCCTCCCAAAGTGCTGGGATTACAGGCATGAGCCACCACGCCAGGCAGGTTGGTCTTTTTTGAGCTACTTGCAGGCCCTATGCTAAGCACTTTCACTGTTTAACTGATTTAATACTCTTCACCACCCAGGAAGTAGGAATTATTATGCCCATTTTACAGAGAAAGACACTGAGAGGTTTCATGGCATTAATCAACTTGCCCAAGGTGACATGGAGGGTCGAGGAGCCGAGTAAAGGCAGCTGGACTCCAGGTCCCACCATGAACCTCCTCTCTGTGTGTTATGGGGATGTGCGGGCAGGGCAGGAGCAAGCCAGCTTCTTCCTACCAGCAGTGCTAGAGGCTGTCAGGCCGACTTGCTCAGATCCCAGCTCTGCCTTTCACTAGCTGGAGCCACATGGGCAAGAACTCATTTATATCCTGAATGGGCTGCCTGGTCTTCTCCCTTAGCTCAACCTCTGAGCCTTTCTCCGTTCCCCCTTGAACAGAGCATGGCACGTAGAAGAAATTTAATAAGTATTTGCTAAATGAATGAGTAAATGCCCAACAACACGGCTATATTTTGATAGCTGTTCCCAGTGGGATATTAGACAATAATTTAGACTAAAATGTAATATTATTAAAATAACCACATATGGTGTAAATGAGCAAAAGCAGGAGGCAGGACTGCATACAGATAGGACTGCAGCCATGTGGAAAGACGAGGTGTCAACGAAAGGAAACTGGAAAAAGATTGTCACAGTGGTATGATCAGGCCACTGGACTAATTGCACTTTCTTCTTGTCTCAGTTTATCAAATGTTCTTTGATTGCACATATTATACTCATAAAGGGGACATTTTTCAAAAGGATCGTTTCATCCAATTGGCACCCACAATTCAGCACCTAGCAGTTTCCAGTGTCCTTGACAAGGAGTCACTTGTCCAGCTTGTTTAGGATCCTTTGATGATGACTTCATGCCCCCAGGCCAGCCCTGGCCATCTCTTTTCTTTCTTTCTTTCTTTCTTTCTTTCTTTCTTTCTTTCTTTCTTTCTTTCTTTCTTTCTTTCTTTCCTTCTTTCTTTCTTTCTTCCTTTCTTTCTCTTTCTCTCTCTCTCTTTCTTTCTCTTTCTTTCTTTCTTTCTTTCTTTCCTTCTTTCTTTCTTTCTTCCTTTCTTTCTCTTTCTCTCTCTCTCTTTCTTTCTCTTTCTTTCCTTCTTTCCTTTCTTTCTTCCTTTCTTTTGACGGAGTCTCGCTCTGTTGCCTACGCTGGAGTGCAGAGGTGCGATCTCAGATCACTGCAACCTCCACCTCCCGGGCTCAAGCAATTCTCCCTGCCTCAGCCTCCCAAGTAGCTGGGATTATAGGTGCCCGCTACCACGCTGGCTAGTTTTTGTATTTTTTTAGGAGAGATGTGGTTTCGCCATGTTGGCCAGGCTGGTCTTGACTCCTGACCTCAGGTGATCCACCTGCCTCAGCCTCCCAAAGTGCTGGGATTACAGGCGTGAGCCACTGCGACCGGCCAGCCCTGACCGTTTCTTACTTCTTGTTGACATTCTTTCTGACCTAGAGACCCCCAATATTTGTCAATGGGAATCTCTCATCTTCCTTTAATCCTATTATTTCATTGACATCCCACTAGCACCCCCAACCCAGTACCCTTAACCTGTGTCATTGACCCTATTGACCTCCAGAGAGCCTCACCCATCTAGTACCCCCTGTGGCAAAACTGATCTTCTGGAGGCCAGGCCACTGAGCAGAGCCTCCCGTGGCATCAACAGGGCCAGAAGCTCCTGTACGTTCTCCCCTTGGCTGGGCACGAACTTTGGGTGGAGCAAAGGCAGGCCACAAGGCCTCATGAAGTCGGGACCTGATCCCTAGGACAGTGCAGAAACACCAAAATGATTTGAGGCAGGAATGGACATCACTGGATTTGAGCTCTTCAAAAATGGCTCCGGCTGCAGTGTAGATAGCATATGGGTTAACAAGAGTGGGTACTTCACAACAGGCAGGAAGCGGCTGCAGAATTCAGGGGGGCAGTCAGATGGGGATGTGGGGGTGGGTGGGACTGGCACCATCTGGCAACAGCTATACCCCAGGAGCTGCGTGTTTCACATACTTGCTGATTTCAGAAAGGGCCATCCATCACTCTCGACAAAGCATCTGCTCATTCTAAAAGAACTCATTTATATCCTGAATGGGCTGCCTGGTCTTCCCCCTTAGAGTTACAATAGTCACATTCATTTACTTCCAATTAATAAATGGAAGTGGCTGCTTCTAATGGGACCTATTCAATTTTCTGCTTGAAAGTCTAGAGCGAGAATTATCAGTGAGCTGGTATGCCCCTCCCTCCCCACTTCCAGGAGGACCCCGCAGAATCTCCAATGGAATGCGGGTTTAAGTGCATCTGTGTGGACTATAATTTTACATTTGAAAAAGGAAAAATAAATACTTGTCTTTTCCCCAATGCAACTACAGAAAGTAAAGTTTGACAAAATCGCCCTAGCTAGTGGAAATATAAATCTCTACTTGAAAGGCAGTAATGGATCCTGAGATTTGCAGGGGCATGGAAAGGGTGACTGGTTTAGCAATGTAGAGAAGTATTTATTCTCTCCATTGAAATGGCCCCTAGTCCTCACTGCTTTTTTTTTAAATGCAGATGCCCAGGTCCTGCCCCAGACCTGCTGAGTCAGAATCTGGGACCTGGGCCTGGGAGATTTGGAAGCAGCTAGTGCAGCTGACTGGAGCCAACAGACCAGAAGGGGCCTGGGGCCTGGCTGTTGCTGATTGATCCAAATTCTGGGTAAAGATTTTCAGCCCATCTGCCCTTGCTGGGAGGCCTGAAAAAAAACGTTTTTTTCACCAGGCCAGAACTCACTCTTGGGGCTGTGCCTGGGACCACCTCTGCTGTATATCAGAGGGACAAAAGTGGGGTGAAAGGATGGGTCACAGTAGGCTTCTCTGCTTGCCTCTCCGAACTGCAGAGGAAATTCTCGCTCAGACTTCTGTTCTTTCGGTAACATGCATACAACATTTTTAATAATGTGCAATAAAACTGAGATCTTATTGGCTTTTTTCTGATTATAAAAGTAATGAATAGGCCGGGCGCGATGGCTCACGCCTGTAATCCCAGAACTTTGGGAGGCCGAGGCGAGCGGATCACGAGGTCAGGAGATCGAGACCATCCTGGCTAACAAGGTGAAACCCCGTCTCTACTAAAAATACAAAAAATTAGCCAGGTGTGGTGGCAGGTGCCTGTAGTCCCAGCTACTCAGGAGGCTGAGGCAGGAGAATGGCATGAACCCGGAAGGTGGAGCTTGCAGTGAGCCGAGATTGTGCCACTGCACTCCAGCCTGGGCAACAGAGCAAGACTGTCTCAAAAAAAAAAAAATAATGAATAGTGTAGGTTGCTCAGTGAAAAACAAAGGGATAAATCAACCAGAAATGAACAAGTCCATCTGAGACATCTGTTGTATGTGTTCCTCTGCGACAATAAAAAAGCAGTGTGTGTCATGGGTATGCAAAAGCAGCTGGGCCAAATGTCCTGATCTTTAGCAAGTGACTCCCAAGAGAAGGATTCATTCATTCACTCAGCAAATATTTACTGAGCATCTGTTTGTGATCAGAGACTGGGAAAGTGTCGGAACGCCCACCACCCACTGACCCAAGAAGTGTCTCTGTAGGAGGGAGGGGTATGGGTACAGAGAGTGCCCCGGACCCCTTTGGCCCTCACTGTCACCCCTTCCTGAATGGCAGGTGATGGATCTCGGCCGCGACGCCACCCGCCGCTTCTTCAACTGGTTTTACTGGAGCATCAACCTGGGTGCTGTGCTGTCGCTGCTGGTGGTGGCGTTTATTCAGCAGAACATCAGCTTCCTGCTGGGCTACAGCATCCCTGTGGGCTGTGTGGGCCTGGCATTTTTCATCTTCCTCTTTGCCACCCCCGTCTTCATCACCAAGCCCCCGATGGGCAGCCAAGTGTCCTCTATGCTTAAGCTCGCTCTCCAAAACTGCTGCCCCCAGCTGTGGCAACGACACTCGGCCAGGTAAGGAGGGGCTCTGGGTGCAGGGAGCCTCCAAGCCTGGAGAAGCGCTGGATCGCTCCCGGGGAGGCATGGTCCAGGTTGCAGACATTCTGGTTCAGCTACAGTGATAGCTTTTTATGATGATCTGCTCTCCAGTGGGCCAGAGCTGCCCGCTGTGACTGAGGATGGAGGTCAAGGTAGTGGTGGTAGTGGTGGTGGTATTATTGGTTGCCATCTACGTACAGAATGTGTGAGGATGGGGCTGGGGGCGGTGGCTATCCCTCTAATTCCAGCACTTTGGGAGGCTGAAGCTGGTGGCTTGCTTGAGCCTGGGAGTTCGAGACCAGCCTGGGCAACATGGTGAAACCTCATCTCTACAAAAAAATACAAAAATTAGTGGGGTGTGGTGGCCTGTGCCTGTGGTCTCAGCTACTTGGGAGGCTGACATAGAAGGATCAATCGAGTCCAGGAGGTTGAGGCTGGAGTGAGCCATGATGGTGCCACTGCACTCCAGCCTGGGTGACAGAACAGGAAAAAAATAAAAAAAGAAAAATGAAAAAAAAGGAAGTGTGAGGATGATCAGGGTCTTGACAGTGAAGATGGTAGTAAGGATAAGGATGATGGTGTTGGTATCTACACTGAAGACACAAACATTGGCAATGCGGATGACAGTGGCATTAAAGGAGAGGATGATGGGGATGATGTTTCCAATGAAGGCTGTTAGGATACAATGTAAATAATTCCACATTACCCTGTTACTAACCATCACAGCGTCTTAGGAAATCGGCCAAACTCGCTCCCTCCTCATTAGCTGACATCCAAAGGAGGAAGGTTCTGAATGACCTTGCATAGGTCCCATGGCTTCCTTTTGCCCCTCGCCTTCCTAAATTAACTGTCTACTTATGCCAAGCAAATCTGTCTCCAGACCTTGCAGCCAGTTACAGCTCCTGTCAATAGGATCTAAATGAAAAAGGTGAAGAACATGCTTTCCCCAGTCTGGCATATTGCTAGAGGTTTGTAAGTTGTCAGGAGCCGAGAAGTGTGGTGGTTTTCATTACCTATCGCTGCCTAACAAACCACACCAGAGCTTAGTGATTTAAATGACCTTTTTATCTCCTCTCCCAGTTCTGAGTGACTGGGCTCAGTCGGGCCGTTCTGCTTCTCGTGATGGCACTGGGGTTGCAGTCATTTGGGACCTGGAAAGGGCTAGAACTTCTGAGTCTGCTCACTTACATGGCTGGCAGTCAATGTGGGCTGTTGGCTGTGAGCTCAGATGGGACTGTGTGGACCAGAGCACCTTGGTTCCCATTCGTGTGGTCTTACCATGTGGCTTGAACTTCTCACAGCGTCGTGTGAGGGTTCCAAGAGGAGGGAGCTTTCCAAGAATGAATGTTCCGGGGAGGAAGAAAGCAGAAGTTATGGGTCTTCTTAAGGTCCTTAAGAGGCGTTGAAGTCCCAGACCACCACTTCTGCTTCATTCTAACAGGTCAAAGCTGTCACAAGGCCAGCAGGGAAACAATGGCAGTGAAAGTAAACTCCACCTGTTGGTGGCAAAATGGCAGCACACGCTGGGAAGGGTGGAGTTGACAGTGGCTGTCTTTGGAGATGACTACACTAATATTGTCCCTTTTGGAATCTCAAAGGACAGTGCAAGGCTCTTGGACAAAAAGAGGTCAGAAAGCTCTCAGGACAAAGGGCAAAGGGCAAAGGGTAAAGGCTGCAGCAGTGATTGATCAATCTTGTCGCCTACTGATATTCCCTCTACCCCCACCTCTCCACTCTCTATGCCTTGTCATGGAGGGAGAGGGTTGCCATGTTGACTGTTGAGGAGGATGGACTTGAGACAGCAAGGGGGGGGAATTTTGGTGTATCAAATCTGTGACAGCGTCTCTCTCTGAGTCAGGCTTGGACTGGGACTCCCCTGGTTCCCGTGGCAAATTGATGCTACGAGCCAAAAAATCCCTTCAGACTGTTTTCCACAGTCTCTGGTCTTACTTCCCTCAGGACTCAGAGGGGCCACAGCTCTAGAGCGGAATGAGTCTTGGCTAGGCACTTTTGCAGCAAAAGAGAGGATAGAATAATATTGGCAGTAGTGGTGCCAACATTGAAAAAGAGTGATGGTGATGTGAATGGAAACCCCGTGGAGAGGACGATTTTGCTGACAGCAGTCACCTTACTAAAGGTGATGATAGTAAGGATGCTGGCCTTGGCGATGGTGGTGATGATGGCGAAGGTGGTGCTAACAGCGGGGTGGAGGAGATGAGGGTACTGATTTCAGAGACGTGCTGATACTGGGAGGAGGATTAAATTAGGGGGTGATGGTAGAAGTGAAAACGTTGGCTGAGGTGGTGGGGAAGATTATGGCTGCTGCGTTTGTTTGTTTGCTTGTTTTTTGAGAGGGAGTCTGGCTCTGTTGCCCAGGCTGAAGTGCAGTGGCACAGTCTTGGCTCACTGCAACATCCGTCTCCCAGGTTCAAGCAATTCTCCTGTCTCAGCCTCCCAAATAACTGGGACTACAGGTGCACGCCAAAACAGCCTGGCTAATTTTTGTATTTTTAGTAGGGACGGAGTTTCATCATCTTGGCCAGGCTGGTCTTGAACTCCTGACCTCAGGTGATCCACCCGCCTCAGCCTCCCAAAGTGCTGGGATTACAGGCATAAGCCACCAAGCCCAGCCTTGACTGTTGTTTTATCTGCTGCCTCTGGGGTCTCACAGAGACCGTCAATGTGCCCGCGTGCTGGCCGACGAGAGGTCTCCCCAGCCAGGGGCTTCCCCGCAAGAGGACATCGCCAACTTCCAGGTGCTGGTGAAGATCTTGCCCGTCATGGTGACCCTGGTGCCCTACTGGATGGTCTACTTCCAGGTGAGCATACCTGCCCTTTTTCTCTGGGGGCCTGGCTCCCCACTCACCATCTGAATGGCCTCATTTCTCATCACAGAGGCCCAGGGCATGTGGAAAGGGGGAAAGTCTGGGAATAAAGTGAGGTGCTGCCCCGTACCAGCTAGCATGGGGCCTGGCACAAAGCCGTCTCAGCAATCCAACTCCCTCGGTGGTACGGCAAGAGGAACTCTGGAGACAGCTTCCTCCTGCTATACCTCCTGCGGGAGTTGAATTACTGGGATGGCTTTGTGCCAGGCTAGGTCCTTGAATAAGTCACCTCATCTCTCTGGGCCTGTTTCCTCATGTGTACAATGGGTGGCTTAAACGAGAGGCTTTTCCAGCTCTGCTGCATTCAGATTGTCCGACTTGGTAGCTGAGGCCTAGAGAGGGTGTGTCAGTTGCCCAAGGCCCCACGGCAGGCAGGTCAGGGGCAAGCTCACAAAAGTGAGTACTTTGCAACAGTGGTTCCCCAGCCTGGCTGTGCTTCAGAATCACCGGCAGAGCTTTTAAAAATATGCTGTTTTAAAAACAGATTCCAAGTCCAACCACAGGCTATTGAATCAGAATTGCTGGGGAAGTTTCTAGTTTAAGAAACTTTTCAGATGATACAGATACTCAGAGTTGAGAACTATTGTCTTCCACTCACCATATTACTCCTCAGTGGGGAGGTTAGTGATGTGTTTGTGTGTGTGTGTGTGTGTGTGTGTGTGTGTGTGTGTGTGTGTGTGTGTGATAGGAGGGTGGGCAGCAGCTTAATGCTAGCCCCCAGGCCATAAGGTCATTGCCTTCCATACCCCCTTCACAGGAACATTTGTTGGAGCTCCCAGCCTGCTACTTAGGGGCACACAGTATTTCTATGATGAGATGGCGGCATGTGGTGGGAGGGTGTCCATGGCTGATTCTCAGTCATACCAATCAGATACTGACTTCCTTCCATACCAGTTGGTAAATGGCTGCTGCCCTGAGCAGTCCACATGCTCTCCCCTGCCCCAGCCCTTCCTGTGGGAGTCTCCTGGATCCTACTCCATTATATAGCAACTAAAGGGGCAGTGCGTGGTATTGGAGGTGGCCCCTGGGCCCTGCTCCTGCAGCTGTGTCCAGAGCCATTCTGGCAAGTCCATGTCTATGCAGTGCTTGTGTCAACCTGTGGACTCAGCTTGGCTTCAGTGTCAGATGAGAACTCCCTGTGGGGGCAGCCATTATCTTTCCCATTTCAGCAAACATTTATCCATGCTTACCCTGTGCTGGGCCCTGGGGACACAAATACTAGTCAGACCAGCTGTGCCTGGGCTCTGGGATAAGGCTGCACGCACTGCCTACAGGCCTGAGAGCAGAGCACAGGAAGCTCCCTGCCCAGCCCAGCTACCTAGGAGAAAGGAGGGTGGGAAGGTGACTATCTCCCTGAGACTGGGAGAGGGGACAGCTGCCCAGCTGTCCTGTGGTACGGCGCTGAGGAATGCCACCTAGGAGTTGGGAGGGGGCATGGCCGTTTCTGTTCCAGCCTCACCCCTGTCTCTCTTGGCAGATGCAGTCCACCTATGTCCTGCAGGGTCTTCACCTCCACATCCCAAACATTTTCCCAGCCAACCCGGCCAACATCTCTGTGGCCCTGAGAGCCCAGGGCAGCAGCTACACGGTGAGAGATAAAGCATGTGTTCGGCACCCAGTTCAGCCAGGTAGCGGCTTCCTCTGAGAAGAGGAGGAAATGAAACTGCCTTCACACTCCCCTTTCCTGCCTGCAAGGCAACCTCAGGATACAGGAAAAGCACCTGGAGGGTGGGAGGACTTGTGTCACAGCGCAGGGATCCTGCCAAGATGCTCAACTGCTTGAAGGAATTCAGGCCAGCTGCACACCCCCATGCTGCTGCTCTGAAGCAGGTCTCGCTGCCTAATTTGCACCCTCAGATCAAGCATACTTAGGTCCCTTTTCAACTCTTCCTTGTCCCCTCTTTCTCTGGGACCCTTAGATACCTAGATCTCTGCCTTTCCCAGAACTTTCTAAACCAGTTCCTTGGCATTTCAGACTCATGAAATGAATGATCTGCAGAGCTGGCAGATATATGAGAAATTTGCCATTGTAGTCCATTTCCTTGCCCATGGCAGACATCACTAGTCAATCATGACTTTTTTTATGCTGAGCCCATAAATGTTCCATAATCAGCCACTACCAATTGATAAAAGTTAGAATACAAGAGGAACCTATTTGCCATCTCTACATAATCCCACTCCCTGGTTACACAGCTGAGGAGCATGAACTCCAGAGAGGGAAAGGAGCTGGACCCCAGGGTCACCCAGGGCCAGTCTAGAGTCCAGGTCTCCTGACTGCAGCCAGGCTCCTTGCACTCTGCTAGCCTGCCTCTCCTGACTTCCTCCTGCCCAGATCCCGGAAGCCTGGCTCCTCCTGGCCAATGTTGTGGTGGTGCTGATTCTGGTCCCTCTGAAGGACCGCTTGATCGACCCTTTACTGCTGCGGTGCAAGCTGCTTCCCTCTGCTCTGCAGAAGATGGCGCTGGGGATGTTCTTTGGTTTTACCTCCGTCATTGTGGCAGGTGTGCAGAGGGGTGTGGGGCAGGGGGCTGAACTTTGGGCTTGGGGAAGTCTGCTTCCACCATGGGCTGATGCTGAAGTGGTAGCCTGGACCAAGTTCAGCCTCTCCCAGTGGGCGTCAGTGTTGGCTTCCCAGAGGTGCAAGCTGAAAGAGACCCTCCTATCTAATCCAGCTGCCCCTCATTTTGACAGAAGAAGAAACTCAGGCCGAGAGAGGAACAAATATTTTCCCCCAGTGAATTATCAGCTCCTTGAAGGCAGAGATAGTTTTTCTTTTTTTATTCACTGCTATGAACATGCACGTGGGCCCTCCATAAATGTGTTGAATGAATTTTCCACTTAGTGGCAAATGAAGACTTAAAAAAAAATTATCTTCCTTCTTCCATTTCAAAAGGATCTGAAGCCATTTGTTACAAAGTGGGGGTTGGTGGGGGCAGTGGGGGGGATCAGCTAAAGAAGTCTTTCACACTGTTGCACAAACCTGAACCCTTTTTACTTAGTAACTTTATGACCCTGAAGTTCCTTAGAGTCTCTGAGCTATGTCTTTAAAATGGGGACAGGTGTCATTCGGACCCTGAGCAGGGCTCTGCCCTTGTGGAACTCAGTCTGATGGGGGGTGTTGTGAGGATTACAGCAGATGAAGTCTGTAAAGCACTCAGTAGTGTGCCTGGATCACAAGTATGAGCTGGAGAAATGAAAGCTCCATAAACGGTATTGTGTTGAAAGTGTGAAAACCCAACTAGATTTTATTCCAGCTATATCCTTAAAGCAGTTTGTCCTATTTTATCCTCACAATAATCCTGGGAATGTTATTCCTGCTTCTTGAGTAAGGGAACTGAGTCTAGAGAGGTTAAGTGATTTGCCCAAGGTCACACAGCTAGCCAGGCTGGGAACCCAGGTCCCCCAACTCCATGTCCAATGTTCATTCCACTAGAGCACAGCTATCTCCCAAGCAACACAGGAGAAGGAGATAACATAGTTAAACTTGAAAGCCAGGTTAGAAACACTACAGCAATACTTGACGTTGCAGTAGAGAAGTCATGTGATATCATGGAAAGTAGGCCAGCTTTGAAACCAGACATACCAGAGCTCAAATCCAGCCCTGACTACTTATCAGCTGTGTGACTGTGGGCTAGTTGCTTAACTTTCTAGTTAAGCACTTGAAAGTGCTAGTTATTTCACTTTCTTCCGCAGCAAGGATGCATGGTAAATGCCTAGCACATAACAGGTTCTCCATTAATGAGAGTTGTTAGTGTTATTGAGTGCAAAACTCAGCTTGGAGCTTCTAGCAGCCAAGACCAAAAGGGAGGAGTTGGTCACATCTTGGCCCCCTCCTCCACCCCCCAGTCCAGCATTCTTTTCCTTGCCTGCTGCTCAATCTTTGGCTGCTTCATGAGTACCCCATCCCCACCATGTACAAGCTCTTCTGTGGGCTAAGCTGCCTGGGGTGGGCCTGACTATAATCCCCCTCTGCTCCTCCACCAGGAGTCCTGGAGATGGAGCGCTTACACTACATCCACCACAACGAGACCGTGTCCCAGCAGATTGGGGAGGTCCTGTACAACGCGGCACCACTGTCCATCTGGTGGCAGATCCCTCAGTACCTGCTCATTGGGATCAGTGAGATCTTTGCCAGCATCCCAGGTACCCTGGATCCCCTCCCCTGCTCCTGCACCAGTGATGGGCTCTGCCCGGTGGCACCTCAAAGTCAGGTACCCCAGGGATGCAGCCCCCAGGGCCCATCTGCATGGAGGAAGGCAGTGTTTTCTGACCAGGGCTCATTCACCCAACGGGGGTCTATAATTAGCACCTGGTTCAAGTCAGCCCCTATGTGACAGGCACTGGGGATTTGGAGGCGAGCAAGAAACTTCCCACACCAGCTCTCCACGTATTCCCCTGGTGCCAGGTTCTCCACCCTCTGTGTCTTTGAAGTTGCTGTTCCCTCTACCTTAGACTGAAGGTGAACTCCAATATCCCCTTCAATTCTGAGCCTAAATACCAAGGTCCTTGGGCAGAAGGGGTCCTCCCTTCCCGCCCCGTGTTCATCTCTCTATCATAGCACACAGTACTCTGGGTCATAGTAATGGATTTCTATGTCCTTCGCTCCCCACCCTCCCAACCCCCTTCCCCGGGCTGGGAGCTAGAGCTGCAAGGCTGGGGCAGGCCCTTCAGTCAGCAAAAAAGCAAGGGCTTCCTCAGCTGCGGGCCCAGGGCTAGGCTGGGTCAGACATAAAGAAAAGACTGACCCTGGGAGCTCACTCAGATGGGGAGAGAGTCAGGCAAACAGTGAGCCAGTGGAGTGCTGTGGAAGTCAGGGCAGAGTGCAGTGGGAGCCCTTAAGCATGGAGAGGAGGCGGGCAGGTGAGTGGGTAGGAGGAGCGGTCTTACAGGCAGAGGGAACAGCATAAGCAAAGGCCCAAGCCTTTGGGAAGCGTGGGGGATAGGGCTGGAGAGGCATGGGAGGTGCAGGGAGCCGAAGTGTCGAAGGGCTTTGTGCGCTGAGCCTGCACCTTGGGATTTCTCCTGAAGGCAACAGCGCCCCTCCTCTCCAGGGGGTTTTGGCCGGGAAAGGACCCCATCCGAGGTCCTTTAGACTGATGCTCCTGGCTGTGTGAGGAGGACAGGAGTCAGGGGAGTTTAAGAGGCATTTGCAGAAAGTGACCAGGGCTGGGGTTGGACCCAGGGCAGAGGGAATAGAGAGAAGGACATATATTTAGAATAGATTTCAGAGGCTGTATCAAAACAATTTGACGATGACGTTGAAGGTGGGCAGAGAGGGTGGGGAGAGAGAGGAGGTAAAGATGGTGCTGTCACTGAAATGATAGACCTGGCAGGAAGGGGAGGAGGGGAGACAGAGCTATTGGGGCAGCGCATGGAGTACCCCGGTGCAGGGGTTCAGCCAGGAGGCAGGTGAGCAGGGCAGAGGGGAAGGCGGCATTGATGCATGGGTGCTGTCATTGCCACTGAGTGGACAGGCATCCAGGGGAAGCCTGGAGGGTGGCTTGGTGGGGGCAGGGTCAGGGGCAGCAAGCAGGGGCCTGGGCCTGTTCTCTGCGCCTGCACCAGCCCCTGAGATCGTCTCTGCTCCCCCTCTGCAGGCCTGGAGTTTGCCTACTCAGAGGCCCCGCGCTCCATGCAGGGCGCCATCATGGGCATCTTCTTCTGCCTGTCGGGGGTGGGCTCACTGTTGGGCTCCAGCCTAGTGGCACTGCTGTCCTTGCCCGGGGGCTGGCTGCACTGCCCCAAGGACTTTGGTGAGTATGGGGCCTCCCCAGGAGTGGGACATGGATGGAGGGAGGCTTGGAAAGGAGGTGGCAACTGCTAAAGTGCTTTGACTCTGGGGAGAAGCAAGTAGAGGGCTAGACTTGGGAGAATGGGGTTCTAGCCCGGGCTTGGCCAGTCACCCACAGCGTGGCCTCCCTCCTTGGGCCTTTCTTTCCCCAAGTGTTGAACTTAGTGGACCTCCAAGGCTCCTTTCTGCTTCTGGAACTCTGCCATCTCTGGCTGAAGGGTTACCTTTCTCATGGTGTTTATATTTCACGCCCCCTTCTGAATAGCTGAAGAGGAATTGTAGACACCCCTGGAGATCTTCAGGAAGTCAAACATTAGTGGGTATCTGTCCAGTGTCTTCAGATCCCACCACTGCCCACATGGCCTCAGTTGCCAGCCCCAGGGCTAGGACACGGCAGGCACAGGGCGCAAGACAGAGGATCCCTGTCCTGACCCAAATCTAACCCCTCCTTTCCCCAGGGAACATCAACAATTGCCGGATGGACCTCTACTTCTTCCTGCTGGCTGGCATTCAGGCCGTCACGGCTCTCCTATTTGTCTGGATCGCTGGACGCTATGAGAGGGCGTCCCAGGGCCCAGCCTCCCACAGCCGTTTCAGCAGGGACAGGGGCTGAACAGGCCCTATTCCAGCCCCCTTGCTTCACTCTACCGGACAGACGGCAGCAGTCCCAGCTCTGGTTTCCTTCTCGGTTTATTCTGTTAGAATGAAATGGTTCCCATAAATAAGGGGCATGAGCCCTTCCTCACGACCATGGTCCATGACAAGGGGCAGGGCAGAGGGGGCCTGGATGGGAGTCCTTGTGGGGGACCAGGCAGGGGACTTGGATCAACAAGCACCAGACGAGTGGCGGGGGCAGGCGAGAGGCTCAGTGGGACCTCCACCCTCGTTGCCCCAGCTGGTGGCTGACCAGGTGGCTGTGGAGGGTCAGGAGCTGCCCCGGATCCTCTCCATGTAGTTGCGAAGCTCCTCAGGGTCCTTCAGCCCCATGTCCTCACACACCCAGCGGATGTCCTCCTCGCCTGCCACAAGGATGGACTGCACAGCAGGGGCCCCTACAGGCTCCTCAGGTGACTGGGCTGGAGGGGCTGGCGCAAATGTCACAAACTCTACTCGCTTCCGCCGCCCCCCAGCCTCCTTTCGGGCCAGGGTGCTTGAGGAGCTGGTGGTGCCCCCAGGAGGGCCAGGGGCCAGGGTAGGGGCCTCCCCTCCTCCCCCACTCTCACAGGGGCAGCTCCCCTCCCCCTTGGGCGGGCCAGGGGACTGCCGGTCCAGCTGGCGGCTCAGTTCCTCCTGGTCAGTGCCCAGCCAGACCCAGTTGTGGGGCTGGGGGGAGGTGGGGTCAGTGGCACTGTCGGGAGGTTCTTTGCGCTGATAGCGCAGGACGAAGACCACACCATTGACCAAGAAGATGAAGATGGCCACGCAGAAGACTCCCAGCAGGGCGTACATGCCCAGCTCTAGCTCAGTGACATGCTGAGGGGCAGGGACCATCTCCTCCTCCTCTTCCTCCTCCTCCTCCCTGGCTTCGGTCTCCTCCTTCCTGGCCTCCTCCTCTGCCCGCTCAAACTTGCCCCTCACACCTGTGTTGCCCCCGACACTGCCTGCCACCTGCCGTTTACCACCCATGGTGGCTTCTGTGGCTGGTGGGCTCCAAGCAGGGCTGGATGGGAGAGCAGGGGCTGGAGTGGAGGCAGGGGGCAGCCCCAGCCAGGCGGTGCCAGAGGCCAGAGGCACACGGTGGCGGCCCCGGCGGCAGGGCTCGGGCGGGTGCAGAGCCACATGCAGCGGCAGCCCCTCGGCGCCTGCCCCACTCACCACCACCCCGAGCTGGGCACCCTGCTCCTCAGCTGGCAGGATGGCACCAGGCTCCTCGGCTGAGACGGACAGTCCCAGGTCACGGCGGTCGTAGAGCTCAGCTGGGGCCACAGTGTGATCAGAGAAGGACAGCCATAGGGAGAGGGCCACCTCCTGTGGGGCACACAGACACAGGCAGAGACATGCGAGGGCACGCACGCATGCACAGAGAAACCACTCCCACAGAGATAGGCCACATGGAGGAGAGACCAGAGAGAAAACAGAGACACAGGCAGATAGACAAAACACAGGGAGAGAGGGGACGCGTGTCAATCACCTGTCTGCCACTCAGCCCTAGGGTCTGAGTTATTGGGAGGGTCCTCAGTTAGAGCCATCTAACCAACCTCCCACTGCCATACTCCAGCCACTGCTTGATCACCTCCAGCTGCAGAGAGCTCACTACCTCACAGAGTCAGTCCTCACTCTGAAAACCCTAAGGGGTCGAGGTACCAGGGTCCCTTCCTCCCATTCCCCTCTACCATGAGCCCCCATCTGGAGATGTTGACCTCATCCCCCTGACCCCCCAACTGTCACCTGCTTTGGGGCGGGAAGGGCTGACTGTGCCCAGCACGTAGCTGTGACCTCCCCGGGGTGGGCAGTGCCCCGGCTCAAGGTCAGCGAGATGCCCATCACTGGCTGCACCCTCAGCTCCAGCACTGAGACCTTGTCGTCCGTCACAGCCAGCGCCTGCTCCCCCAGGATGGAGTCAGACAGTGGGGAACGCACCTGAGGGTGGAAAGGAGCTGGAGGTGGGGGGCCTTCCATACAGACAGCCCCCACCCAGAGGGAACCGGGTGCTCCCAGCACCCTCACGGGCTGCCCTCCGGAGGTGGGGGAGGTCTTCGCCACGGACAGCCCCCACCCAGAGGGAACCGGGTACTCCCAGCAGGCTCATGGGCTACTATCCCTCTACTCTTTGCACCCCGGTGCATACCTGGACCCCAATCCCACACCTAGGGGGCAGTTCCCTTTTCCCTCAAGACCCGGTCCCCACACTACCCACACCTCAGCCCTTCATAGCTAGAGGGCTTCCCCCCTTATGCGGCCACCCCATTCTGAGCCTATCCCCAATCCCACTGCACTCAGACCTAGACCGCACAACTCCCCCACACACTCTGGGCTCCTGGCACACTCTTCACTCCCACCCACGAACATTTTGGGGGCCCCTCCACCCTTCTCAGGGGGTCTACTCTCCTGGTCCCCAGCTGCTTACCTCAATGGAGGTGACACCGGGCTCCCGGCCCACCACGACACGGCCACCCTCCAGAGAGGCTACACGCGAGTCCAGCACGCGGGCGTGTGGCGCCACGAGGTGGGACACGTCTAGCAGCCAGTCGGGGCCAAGCAGGTGCGTGAGGCGGCGGCCGCCGTCCAGCGGGTGGGCCGCGAAGGGGGCGAGGAAGCGCACACCGGCCCGCTGGTACTGCAGGTGGCAGCCACGGGCGCGCCGCTCGGCCTCATCCGACGCCTCTGCAGCGGGTTCCGCAGGCCTGCAGGGCGGGGAGGCCGGGACTGGCCGTCAGCGCTGAGCGGCCCCAGCCTGCCCAGGGCCCAGCTGCTGGAGACCCGCAGCTCGTCCCCGGCGGCTCCTAATCACCAGCAGCTCCTGTTTCTCAAACGCAGACATCCGCCCCTCTTGGGGTCAGGCCCTTCCACCTGCAGGCGAGCCGCCCCAGCCCACTCCCGACTGGCGCTGTGCCTCGATCACCGCTCTTGCTCCCAAGTGGACCGCAGGGGAGACGCTCTCTTACGGGGACCCTGGGGGCGCTCACTCTCTGAAGGGCCTGGAAGCTAGATTCCAGAGGCGTGGGCCACCTCTCCCTGGGTTTTGGGGAGCCCCCTCCGAGGGTGTTCATTTCCTGAGCTCTGTGTCATCTTAGGCTCTGAGGGTACGACCAGCATAGACAGACCGCAGCTTCAAGGGGCTGACATTCTCGGGGGAGGAGCGTGGAAAGGATGGACAGGCAACATTAACCAGTACTGACGTAGATTAGGAAGTGGAGGGTGCTACGGGAGAAGTGAGGCAGGGAAGGAGGAGAGGGATGCGGAAGTCAGCAATTTCACAGAAAGCGATCATTGGCTGGGCGGCCCAGGGTGGAGGTGGGCAGAAGGAACTGCAAGCAACAGGGCAGTTTTTCTGACCCCGACTTGGGCCCATGGCTGTGTCCCCTGCGCCCTCTCCGTCCCAGTGTGACTCGCCAAGGCCTGCCAGCTTCCTCAGGCCTCCACTCACCCTTCAGCAGGGCCAGGTACCCTCCAGCCGCGGACCTGCTCGAGGGTGGTGTCGGTGAGCTCGATACGCAGCGGTAGCAGGGGGGCCCACACGGTCAGCCGCAGCGAGGCGCGGAGCCGGCGCCACCAGAAGTCCACTCGCACCCCCCGGGCGCCCCGGCTCTCCTTGCCAGCCACGAACACGGCATCACAGGCCTCAGACACCTATGGAAGGGCAGAGGGCAGGTGGGCGGGCTAAGCCACTAAAGACAGGTGTGAGGCTGGGCCGGGTGGGTGGCTCATGCCTGTAGTCCCAGCACTCTGAGAGGCCGAGGTGGGTGGATCGCTTGAGTCCAGGAGTTTGAGACCAGCCTGGGCAACATGGCAAAACTCCCTCTCTACAAAAAATACAATAAATCAGCCGGGTGTGGTGGCACATGCCTGTAGTCCTAGCTACTGGGGAGGCTGAGGTGGGAGGATCCCTTGAGCCTGGGTAGCTGAGACTGCAGTGAGCCGGACTGTACCATTGCACTCCAGCCTGGGGACAGAGTGAGACTCTGTTTCAAAATAAATAGATTAAAAAAAAAAAAAAGGCATGGGCCAGAAGAGAGCAGCCCTGACCTCAGGCCGTAGGACGGGCTCCCACTGAGTTCAGCTCTGTGTGTCACTGGAATGCATGTTGCAGCAGGATTGTTGGTTAAGCCCCTGTTCTTTGTTTAAGATTTTACTGTAGGGGCCATTCCTTGAGGTTCCCTGGGGCTCAGTCAGGGGAACTGGCCATTGCATACCAGTCTTCCTCCTGGCAGAGCAGGGGTGTGAACCCAAAACTTTGGCTCCTTATTCATGCTGGCCTTTGACATTGCTCTTGGAGCCACCTGGCAACCAGCTACAGCCAGGTAGGCAGAGGTGGGACAAAGCAGATCTCCCACCAAGGCCCTCCAGCAGGAACCACACACATTTGAGCAAAGGACCACAAGTGGGGAAAGGCACCTTCCCCCTTCAGGTGGCTGGGATTTGCATACATGCAGACTCCATGCTTCCCCTCTTAGAACTTCAAGATAGAGGAAGTTGCTCTACCACCCTCCCTTTTATTTCACTTCACAATCACCGGTAATAATAATAATAATAATTTTTACCATTGTATAATTATTACATCATATTATAACAGCAATAACTGCCATTGTTTCAGCCCCTGCTATCTGCTAAATACTGTCTTAAAGTGCTTTTAATTCTTACAACAACCCGAAGATATGTTCTCATTTTAAAGTTTAGGTAACGAGGCTCAGAGAGGTTAAGAGACCAGCCCATGATCACAAAGCTGGTTGACAACAAAGATGTGTTTCAAACTAAAACTTTCTGATCCCAGAGTATGTGCTCTCGACTCTCTCAGGCCAGCGCACTTGCCAGTGCAATAATGAGCGTGAAAGTGTCTAAGGTCGGGGGGCTGTTAGGGTTACTTGACTCGGGAGAGAGGTGGCTGGAACAAAAGAAGTTGAAGCTGTGGTTCCTCCCATGAGGTTTCTCGTCTCAAGAAGAAGCTGTTCTCTTGGGGACCCACATGAGGAAGGAGGAAAGGTGTGTGTGCGTAACTGTGCCCACACAAATGCAGACTCACATGAGCTGGGCACCTGCCACTCACCTGCAGGACCTGTGTGTTGGCAGACTCGCAGCCGACATGCTCTGTCACCTCCACCAAGGCCCCCCCGCCGTCCACAGTGACAAGGCGCACGGGGACATGCTGGGGCACTCCAGTCAGTGGTGCTGTATTCACCAGCTCCTCAGCCTGGGGGTGGAGGAGGGGCTCAGCCCCAGGCCCCTCAGCTCATGGGGCTCCTGGGACTTGGCCTCCAGCCTTCCCAGGCAGAGATGGAGGTCTCCTTACCTTGGCCAGTGGGATAAGGGCTCTGATGTCCCGCTCAGACACCAGGATTTCCCACACCATTTTGTCCTTCTCTGCTTCAGGGGCCTGGCCTGGGTACTCCAGCTGCCACGTGACGGGGCGAGTGACCGCTACGCCCCCACCAGTGCTATTCTCCACCACAAAGTCCACCCATAGGAACTCAGACAGTTCAAGGGGACTGCTGGCCAAAGGAGACAGAGAAGCCAAATGCTTGCTAGCTGCCAGGCATGGCCTCAGCACTTCCTGCATTCATGATTATCCCCATTTTACACAGGAGGAAACTGAGGCACAGAGGTTACATAGCTCACTTAAGACCACACAGCAAAAAGTAGCGGGGCTGGGATCTAAACCCAAGCATCCTCGCTCTAGACCCCAAACTCTGACCCACTCTTGGCCTCTCTAAGATCCATGAAGCCATTTAACCACCTCCCACCTGGCAAGGTGGCTCACTCCCCTGCCTGCCCGGGCCCGCTTCCCCCAGACTTCCGCTTTCCACAGCCACTGAGGTGGCATGCGGGAGATTCACTTCCAGGTCCCAGGACCAGACACTTGACCCTCTGAATGATAAGCTTCCTTTGATCAAACAAAAACCTATGTGCTGGGAACCGTCCTGGGTGCCTGATATGTAGCACTGTATTTTATTTTCAAAAATGCTAAGGGATGCATTATTATTCCTATTTCACAAGTGAAGAAACTGAGGCTTGGGTAGGGGAATGTTAACTGGCTTGCCCAAGGTTTTGCCCATCCCAAAAGCATCAGAACCAGAATTCGAACTGGGGCTACTGAGTCCATGGCCTTGACCCAGGCTCAGGGCATGAATAAGAAGAGTTCACAACCGCAGAACTGCAGCTGGGCTTTTTGGGGGAATGTGAACGGCCCAGAGAAAGGATCATTTGGTGGAAGCAGGGGGATGGAGTAGTGGCTATGAGGGCTCTACCTGGGGCACAGGATTGGTTGGCATCTCTTAGAATAAGACTCACAGACACTTGCTATGCCTGGCACATGGCTGGGGCTGGGAAGATAGTGGCCGAATGAATGAATGAAGGAATGGATTATGCCTGCTTTGTGCTGCTTCCTTGAAAAAATCTGTCCTTGGGTCTGCTCACCTGGGGATCTAGAGGCAGCATGGCAGCCTCCAAATCTGCTCAACTGCACTCTATAACCAGCCCTCCCTCCTTTGCCCCCTGGGTGGAGGGAAACTGCCCACCTGGAATCTGGCTCTGTGAGCCCAGCACGGTGGCAGGTGATGAGGGTGGTGTGGTGCCTGGAGCCCTTGAAGCGGTCCAGCTTGGCAGTCCAGAGTGTGGGCTGGGCTGGGCGGGCGGCTGTCACATGCAGCCCCTTCTTCACCTTGATCCTGGGGAAGAGAGTATAGGCTCAGTTTGGCAAGGTGCATGCTGAACTGTGGGCTGGATTGAAGGGGAAAGACAAGGAGCCAAAGCCATCTGACCTCCCTGGCTCCAGTCTGAATCTCCTCTTCACCATCCTCCAACCCAGAAGGACCCCGCCTCAGTGCAGCTCACACCTTACAGCTCTCCCCCACCCAAAGACCACTTACGCCTCCCCACTGCCCATAAGGTCAAAGCTTAGCCGGGCATTTGGGGGCCCTCCAGGGTCTGGTCCAGCCTTAACTTCGGTTGTGACATCTCTCCATGCACTCTCTGCTTCAGCTACACACAAGTTTCCCACACACACGGCACCCATTCGTGACTCCAAGCCTTTGCCCAGTCTGTGCCTTCAGCCTGCTCTGCCCTTTCTTACTTTACCTGCTGATGCTTTAAGCCTCCAACAACTCACAGACCATTTCCTTTAGAAAGCTTTTCCAGTGGTGGGATGAATTTCCCCCTTACTGCACCCACTCACCTGAGCTCCCACCGCACTTTGAACCTCCCTCAGTGCTTACACACCCACATGCCTTCTAATCCAATTCATGCCCATCCAGCTCCCTTCCCTACCACTGGGGCCCCTTTCTGCCAGATAGGGACTGGCCCTTGCTCGTGTTTGGATCTGCAGAGTGAAGACACAGGGCTTGGCAGGCTGTAAGTGTCTAGGAAAGATCTGCTTAATAAGAGTGAGCATAGGAGGGCGTAGGAGATGGGGAGACACAGAGACGGGACATGCACAAACCCAGGCAGGGCTTGAAACTAGGTCTAGGTTTCAAAGCATGTCCACAGACCGCTCTTCGATCCTCAGGAAAGATATCATTACAAAGTGAGCAAGTCCCAGTGCCTCACCCTAACCAAGCCCAGGACTATCCTGCCTAGAACTCAGGCTTCTCAGAATCTTAAAGCCTAAGAGATGCCTCTCCCATGGATTCCTGCGCTGGACTCCAGAAGCAAGTCATACTCTGCAAGCCCTTGCCGGGTGAACTGGGTAGGTGGGTGGGGGCTGCTTTGGGGGAACTTATTACGGAAAAGGACACAAAGAATCAGGGCCTTCCTATGGGGAAGAGCAAGCTCTGTCCAAAGGCTAGACTCCTACGGCGAGGGTGGCAAGGAGGGACAGCATGTAGGTGAACGTGATTGGGGCAAATATCCCTCTCTGGAGCACTGGAGCAAGAGCTCACACTTAGGTACTGCAGTCTCTAAGCCCTTTGCGGGTTCCCCTCCCTGGAGACTTGCAGCTGCCCTGAAGGTGGACCGTTAGCCCCATTGGACAAAGGAATCTCAGGGAGGTGCCAGGGGAAGGGGCAGCTTCCTACTTCTGACTCTAATTCCAGGGCTGTGCCCATGGTGGGCTCCTACCAGCACAGTCATGGCTTTTTACCTGGAAGGAGTTTAGTTTGGTGGACACATGTTTTGCAGAGGTCAAGGATTCCAGCAAGGACCCCAGGAGGAGCAGGTACCTGTCCCTAGTCTTCCCACAGAGGTTCCCACCCTCACCCATCCCCGTGGCCTGGTGCTCACCGCAGGGTCAGGAGGCTGGCTGTGAAGTTGTGCCGAAGCAGGAGGGTAGCACTAAAGAGCTGGCCGGGCCGCACTGGCATGTCAGGCACCCGCAGAGTCACAGCCTCGTCCAGAGGTACCTCCTGGTACTGCGGGGGGTCTGCTGGGCGCAGCTCCACACCCCCCACTGGGAGGGCCTGCTCCCCAGGGTCGTTCTCCTCGCCGGAGCCACAGCCCCCAGGGCCCTCAGCTGCAGGCTCAAGCGTGTAGGCCAGCTCGGCCCGTGTGGTGGAGGCCTGTGAGAACCAGTGCGAGGGAAGCTCCAGCTCCACCACGCAGGCGCCCAGGGATGGCTGTGAAGACACGACAGCAGTAATTGGCATGGGGGTGGGTGCAGGGCGAGGAACAGGATTCTCAGCACCCATGGCAGGAAACCCAGAGCTGGAGGGGCTCATGAAAGGGAGGCCCAGCATGGGCCGGAGACACAGCCTGAGTGACACAGCAAACCAGCAACCTGGCTGGGGCTTCAAACCAGGTCTAGGTTTCAGAGCATGTCCGCAGACCACTCTTCAGCCCTTGGGATAGGTCTCATTACAAAGTAAGCCAATCCCAGGGCCTTACCCTAACCAAGCCCAGGACTATCCTGCCTAGAATCCAGTCTTCTTCTCAGAATCCTAAAGCTCAAGAGACGCCTCTCCCATGGATTCCTGTGCTAGACTCCAAAATAGTGGAAATAGCAATTATAAAAGTAACACTACTAATAATGCAAACACACTGGCTGATTGATTACTCTGCCGTAAGCTATCCTTACATTCATCTCACTTGTTCCTTACTCCAACTCCAGATGGGGTAGGAATTCTTAACACCCCATTCTTCAGATGAGGAAACTGAATCTCAGAGAGATTAAGTTACTTACTCAAAGTCACACACCAAGGACTGAACTCCCTCTGGGGCCCTAAATAACCTTTTCACAGCACTGAAAGCTAGTGGGGGCAGAAATGGAGTCGGGTGGTCCACAACCCCCGCGCTTCCCAGGAGTGGGGGTTTCCTCTCTGCCGCGGGCCCACCACCTGGCTGATGCAGCTGCAGCAGGACCAGCCTAGGTGGGGCCTGTCTACTCACCTGGAAGCGGCAGGCTTGGTGAGCAGTGCCGGCAGGGTGTGTGGCATGGAGCCGGGCACAGGGCAGGCTGCCAGACCCTGGTGGCCAATCCTGCCCTTTGAGGTGGAAGAGAACCCGGGCGTAGGGCTCTGCTGGAGTCACAGCCGCTTCCACTGAAACGGCCCGCACGTCCCATGGGACTGGCCGTTGGTGGGGCTCAGTGACTCGAGGGGGGACCACCTGGAGGGAGAATGAGAGGGCTTAACAAAAGAGGAGCTTGGGAGGGGAAGATCTAGGAAGATGGGATCCCAGCTTGGCAGAAGAGAACCTTTATGGGCCTCAGTTTCCCCCTCTGGAATATGGGGAGCACAGCCGGGGCTGGGGAAGGCTCCCAATTTGTACCCAGCAGACCTCAGGCCCTGAGTCCTGTTAGCCTGAGAGTCCCCGGTGCCCCCTCCTTACCTGCTGAGTGGCAAAAGGTGGGTAGGAGGCCCGGAGAAGTGGCTGGGCCCTGGGCCAGGGCTGTAGGAGCAGAAAGGTCTCAGATCGGGAGCTCAGAGAGGAGTTGGCAGGTGGGTAGTGGCCCACCTGCTGCACACGGAAGTGTTCAGGGGCGTCTAGGAGCTCCAGGGCTGCCGGCAGGTAGACAGGGTCCAGGGGAGCCTGGCCACAGTCCACTGAAGAGGCATAAGAGGGAGAGATGATGACAGCTCCAGAGCTGGCAGGGGCTGACCCGGGTGCCATGCTGGGGCACAGTAGTTGTGGGCAAGGGAGGGAGAAAAGGGCTGTAAATGTCCCTTCCCCTCTCACCACCATTTCACAGATGAGGTCACTGAGGCTTAAAGAGCCTCACACAGGTAGTATGTAGCAAAGCCAGGATTCGAATCTGAGTCCAGGACTGGATGCTTCCCAGCTATTCCTTCTACTTTCCACAGACCTTGGCCTTCTTCTCGCCAACAGCCTTCTCAATGTCTCCTTTTCCCCAACTCCTGCCCTCCATCTACTCGCCTCTGATACCAAGGCACTTCTGGGGTGCAACCGTCGGCAGACTGGGCCAGTGTAGTAAAATATGGTAATGAAGTGAGCTTTCTCTGCCCTGAATCCTTGGCCAGGCTCTGCTGGGCATCCACCCCTCCTCCCCCATCATTGCCATGGCAACCTGCACCATCTTTCCAAGCTTGCTCCCTTCTTCCCTGAACCGACTGGTATCGAGTGCAAGTGTGGGATGGGCGGGCGCGGAAGGTGCTGAAGAGGTCTGTGAAGGCACTTGCTTGCCCTGGGGGTGGGGTGGGGACCAGGAGCCTGGGGAAGACAGTCAAAATAGTCAATCATCAGAAGGACAAAGGAGCACTAAGCCATATTGGTTTGCTCTAACTATGAGCACTAATAATAATAATTAGCATTTTGTGAATGCTATATGCAGGTGAGAATTTAAATACTGTATGTATATGAACTCTTTGAGTCTTTGTAATAATTCTGTGAACCAGGTTCTATTATGATGAATCCCATTTTGTGGATGTAGAAAATGAGGCCGAGAGGTTAAGGTATTTGCCTGTGGTTCCACAGCTGGAGAGTGAAGGAGCTGGGGGTTGATCCCAGGTATTAGCCACTAGACCATCCGGCGTCTCCACCTGCCACTTCTCTCTCCACTCTCCACTGCCACGGTGCACCCTGCAGGCTTCATGCCCTGGAGCGCACCTCCTCTCCTCTGCTCTGCCCGGTGGCACCTCCCTCCTCATTCAGGGCCATGAGTGAATACTGCCTCCTTCTGAAGGAAGCCCTCCTTGGTTACTCACCTTCCCACCAGTCTCCTGTCTTTTGCAACCCTGGGTGCCTCCTCTGAATTAGTAATCTTCCTATAAACAAGGGACCCTGTCTTGCTCATCCTGGAATTCCCCCAAACTAGGAAGCGCTCCCTAGAGAGGATTTCCTGGGAGCCTGGAGACCTGAATTTAAATTGATGAAACTTGGGTCAGGCATTAACATTTTGAAGCCTGTTTCCTCACTTGTAAAAGGGGCAGGAGCATTAGGTGGCACTGTGGACAGGACAGGGCTGTGTAAACTGTGGAGTGCTGTCTGGAGGGAGCAGGCATTATTGCTGCTGCATAATGGATTTGACAAGGTTTTCCTCCTCTCTCTATTAGGACTCCCATGGCGTCCCTCGGGATGGGGAGCAGGTGGCTGAAAGCAACCCCACAGCTAGCTCCCTCTCAGCCCCACAGCTGGACTGTGGGTGGGGGTGGGGGAATTGGTTTCAACCTCCTTCCTGGCCCTCCCCACCAAGGAGCATATGACTGACAGGCTCTCCCTGCCCCCTGCCCCAAGCGTAACAAGTGACCACTGCTCTCTGGGGGCAGCCACTGGCTTCAGGTTCGCCTCCTACTCCATTGCCTCCATAATTACAAGATGCTCTTAGCCTGACTCCCACGGACTCCCATCACCCAGCGCTCGGCTCTCTCGGTGGGGAGGGCAGAGAATGTTTCACTGTCCCTCTGTCTTCTGTGGCATCCTTTGCCTTGCAGCCACAGCCCAGCTAGCCCAGGCCAAGGGAGTCCGACCCCCACCCCGAAGCACAGGGAAGTTGCTGCCCTTTCCCGCAGTGACAGGAATCCTCTCAAAGGTTCTGGAAGGCAAGGATGCGGCCATCCCTGGAGACGCCAAGGTCAGGGAGCCCTGGGGGAAGGGGGAGGGAGGGCTTGCGTCTGTTGCAGGTCCCAGGCAAAGGGGCTGCTTTCCACTCCCGAGGGGGGTGGGTTGGTGGCGGCGGAAGGAGGCTAGGAGGGTGCAGCGCTACAGACCACAGTGAGGGAGTGGGGATGACGCTAGTGCGCCCGGGACCGGGGCCGCCGGGTTCGATGCCCGGGCTGAGGGGTCCCTCGCAGAAGGTGCGGGACGGGGAAGCCCCTGCGCCGGGCTGCCCCGGGTCAGGAAGGAGTTGCCGGGTCGTGCAAGGTGAAGGAAGCCTTAGGGGCGAGTGGCTGGGGGCAGGTTCCCGAGGGCAAGAACTCTCCGACCTTCAGGGCGCTGCGGGGCGACCCCGCTCAGGGTTCAGTCCGAGAACCCAAAGGTTGGTGGCTCCCGGGCATCACTCGCTCCCACTCGGCCGGGCCCGGCCGCCCCTCGCCCCGGCCCTCCCCTCCCGCTGACCTCTCACGACGTCCAGGGCGAGGGCCACCAGGAGGCAGAGCCAGGGGCCGTAGGGCCCCCGAGGGGCCGCTGTTGTGCGACCGGCCATCCGCGCGCACATCCTTCCCACAGAAGGCGGGGACGAGGCGGGCGGCTCAGGTGGCCCCAGTCCCGCACGGCATCTCCCGCACCCGCTCCGCGCCGTCCCCACCTGGCCCGCTGGGTCCCGGCCGCCGCCGCCGCCGCCGCCGCCCGCCCCGCGGCTGCAATTCCCAGACAATGGAGCGGGAGCAGTGGGGTGGGAGGGAGCGAATCGCAGCACATGGGCTGCCCCCTCCGCCCCGCCGGGTCCTAGTGCCCTACGGATCCCCAATCCCTGCGCGCTCAGGCGACCGAGGTCGGGAAGAGGGCCACGTCCCTGGAAGCAACAGAGGACGGCCGCCTCTGCCAGGAGGGACTCGGTGAGTTCTGTGTGGCTCCCTCACGGAAGCTTCTGATCAGGGAAGAAAAAGCCACTTTCTCTGCCTCACCCACCCCCACAAGCAGCTCACTTGTGAAGGCATCTGACACCTGAGTCAGAACCAGAATTCAGGGACACATGGGACGGGAGCTGCAGGGACAGGAAAGGAGGGAGGGGGTCAAACGGGGCCAGATGCCAACCACCTGAGCCTGCCCTGACAGAGCTAGGCCACCGCCGTGGAGGAAGGGCTCTAGGTGCAGGCAGCTCTAGTCTCTTGACCAGCTCCACCTGGGCAGCGTCCTGCAGCGCTTAGGAGGGTTGAGGGTTGCCCAACACTCCCGAGGGAAGGCCAGCCTCAAGGGTCCTGACCCAGTGTTGCCTACCAGGCAGTTTGGGGAGAGGCCCAGAGCAGGGGCCCCAGCTGCACACTCTCATGCCCTGGGCAGCTTACAAAGAAAAAATTATGTCTGAGGCCCTCCGCAAAATTGGTCCAGCCTGTGGGCCGACTGGAAACCTTGGCACAGGAAAGTCCTCAGGTGGGTGGTGAAGGGGAGGGCAGGCAAGTCTTCTCCAGGCTGCCCACCCACCTCAGCACACTGCAGGGAAGGGGTGACCCCTCTGCCCAGCAAGCACACGCATTTCCAGCAGTGCCAGTCGTTCCTACGTTTTGTAATGGGGGCATGCTTTCCTAATTCCTTGTGCTCCTGGAGGGAAGGGTACCTGGTACCAGCCTGCCTTTTCAGCTCTCCCCTCTGCCAGCTTCACACTGCCCCCACAGGGAGAAATTGGGAGGCGGAGCTGCACTACAGAAATGGGTTTAGCAGTAGAGGAGACATGGAAGCAATCCAGACTTGGAGTAAATACATTTTATTCAGAACAAGATAATAAAATAGCGTGCACTTTATTTAAAACCAACCAAGCACTGATAAAAAATATATATCACTGCAGCTGTGATTCCACATCAAACCTGAACAGTAAGAATTGGGCATTTATTCTTCACATCATGTGCCAAGCCTGGCAGAGAAGGACATCCACCTCCACTAGAGCCTCAAAGGAAAAGTGGCCCCTAACCACCAAGACAGGGTACCCTGGTGGAGAGGGGCAGCTGGCAGCTCACCCTGCTCTCTGCAGACCACGTGAAGGGAAAGGAGCTGCCTGTGTTCCTCCCGGGCTGCCGGGGTGGGCACTGGTCAGCAACTCCTTCTCGGTTTCAGGTTGTGGAGCGATGGGGAGAGAAGTGCATGCAGTTGTGCAGACAAGGAGGCGGGTCCTCCCTCCTCTTTCAGGGTCTCTGAAACCCCCACAGGGCATATAATGCCCAGCAAGGTCCCACTTGCAGGCACATGCCTACAAAGCAGCAGCCATCTTTTGCTTTGGCTGATGGGGAATCAAGATTCTGAGAGTGACTGCTCTTTTCTTGACACAAAGCAGCCACAGAACACTTTCCTACATACAGTATGGCAGCAGGCAAGCAGAAGGCCCTGCTGGCTCGGATTAAGGCACTTGAAAGAGACACAAGGTACATCCTCCTCCCCTGCAGCCCCCACAGGCCTCAGGGGACCCTGTTTCCCCACCCTTTATCCTCAGGTCCCCTTACCCCTGCCCCTCCCTACTGCTGGGCAATGAGGAGGACAGGAGCGTGCCTTAAAGGACCATGGTTTGGTGGGAGTACAGGGTAGGAGGATGAGGAAAACAAGAAGGGAGCTGGAGATTTGGCCAAGGAGCAACTTCAGAAGGACAGGAGAGCACGAGCATTAGGAGGAAGCCAAGGCAGCAGCAGAGGGAAGCCAGTTAAGTCATGAGAGACCAACGGCAGTGATGTTTGCTGGCGCAGATGCAGAAGCCAGAGGGAGGCCCCTCCAACCTTCCCTGGTGAGGCAGGCTGGGAGCAGAGAAAGGGTTAAGAGAGCCAACCCCAGACAGAGAACCTCAGAAGACAGGGCCGCAAGGACAGGCAGGGGGAATGGTCTTTCTCTGTTTCTCTTGGCTAGTGGGGCTGCGGCAAGGATCAATGTTCTGAAGGTTCAGAGACAGGGCAAGAAAAGGGCAGGGGGCTGGCAGGAGGGCTGCATGGCCCCGAAGCAGCTCAGCTCTTTGGTATGACACTGGCGGTGTGTGGGGCATCCGGCTCACTCCTCCTCCACACTGCGGGCCCCCTTGGCCGCTCGCCTCTGGCGCCAGCGCAGCTCCTCCACCTGGCGTTCCAGCCCTCGCACCTTGGCCTCGAGTTGGGCCCCAGAGGCTCGGGAGCCAGTGAGCCGGCTCAGCAGGGCGTAGAGGATCAGCAAGGCCAGGAGTAGCAGGGCCCGGGTGGAAGGGTCAGGCACCGACCTCATCAGGGCCACGAAGCCGGCCAGGAAGATGACAAGCTTCAGGCCCCACAGGATCCGCCCCAGCAAGGCCAAGACCAAGCCGAGGAGCAGAGACAGCAGCCAGTAGACGACCAGGGCCCCTGCTCCCCACAGCAGGAAGGTCTGGACCTGGCCAGGGCTGAGCTTCAGGCCCTGGGCGAGGTAATCACCTGGAAGCCAAGAGAGTCACAGAGTCAGCCAACCTGGAGAAGTGGTGAGGGGAGAGCGGGGCAAGAGCTAAAAGGGTGGGAGGTGCTAGGCACATTGCAAAGGAATAAGCCGTTCTCGCAGACTCAGAGTGATATGGGTTGGAATCTCAGCTCTGTTTCTTGCTGGCTGTGAGGCCTGGAGTAGATTACTTGCTTCTGTTGAGCTGCAGTTTCATTTACTAAACGGGAACAATTCTACTGCCTCCCTGTACTGTGGCTGGCAATTAAATGAGATACTACAGCTCAGCACGATGCCTGATAGGAAGTGAACAACTGGCACGTGGTGGCGGAAGTTCTTTTTTAGGGGGTCTGGGTGGGACAGGGTTTTGCTCCATCGCCGAGGCTGGAGTGCAGTGACGTGATCCCGGCTCACTGCAACCTCTACCTCCTGGGCTCAAGCGATCCTCCCACCTCAGCTCCCAAGTAGCTGGGACAACAGACACACGCCACCATGCTTGGCTAATTTTTTATAGAGACGAGGTCTCATTATATTGCCCAGGCTGGTCTCAAACTTCTGGCCTCAAGTGACCCTCCTGCCTTGACCTCCCAAAGTGCTGGGATTACAGGCGGGAGCCACCACACCTGGCCATGGTAGTTCTTGGCTTGCTCTTTGGCCATGTCTCTGCAGAATCCTGGGAAGGGTTAAGCAGCTTGGGGAAAAGGCTAGACCCTGACAAAGATGAACTCCCACAAGTAGGAAAGTACAGGCAAAGCTCTGGCTGACTACCCAGCACTCGAACACTCACCAGCTAGTCCCAAGGCATTCAGCAGCTGTGCGGCGATCCCAGACAGAGCAAAGAAGGCCACAGAAATGGCTGATGAGATGGCCCACAACACTTGGGACGAAGACTGTGGAAAGAGCACGGAGCGAGATGAGTTCATAATGAACAACGGTCCTCGCCTTCACGCCTGATCACCACTGTCCAGGCAAGAACTGCAGGAATGTCTCAGACCTGTTTCTCACCCAGTGGTGACAGGCCTGGGTCAGAGGGTAGGGGCCTTGGGCCTGGCTGAGGGGTCCCTTCCACATCCACCTTCTAGTCTACAGGGATGGCCAACAGGCTGTCTCTCCTTCCTGAACTGGAAACTAGGGCATCTGGGACATAATTTAACTGCTTTGCTGGGATACTTTGGAGGGAGTAGTAGGTGTACTTGTGTGTGAATGACGGAGACAATCAAATACTTTTAGTAGTCACCCTATAAAACTGGAGGCCTGCTAGCTGTCCAGGGAGTCATGAAGGTGCGTGGAGAACATCTGTAAAGGGATAGGATGTTCCAGTGAAAAAGGAGTCTATCAGCTATACTATATTATGGATTTAATAAATGATTGTCTCAGCCCTTCAGTCCAGCCTATCAAAAGTATGTGATACCATGCTTGGGATGCCACCAGGTAAAAAAAGATAACCCTGCCTTAGGCTCCCAATAAGCTCAACCCACTTCTGCAGGTGAAGGAATGGATTCAGGACTTGATATTTTGCCATTTCGAGATTCTAGGTCAGATTTAGACCAAAGTGAGACTCTACAGTCACCCAGTAACATGGGCTTATAAAGATGGCTCATTTCCCAGCCTTTCTGGCAAGGAAAGGGCAGGAGCCAGGAAAGGATAGGGGTGGAGCTAAAAGGCCCTAGGACAGCAATCAAATAACGAGGAATTCAAAGACAAGTGCTGTGTGGCTTCTTTTTGTGGAATTTGGGGCTCTCTGCACCAGAGAGGATGTGGAACTAAGATGAGGTGGCCATTACCAACCTTTCTTCTTTTATTTTTCCTTAATGTGTGTAGTCACACAGGGACTACCTTCCTTACCTCTGACACCAGGTGCATGGTCTCTGGCCCAATCCAGGCATCCAGTGTCCCTCGCACAGATCGACCTATCTGGGTCAAGACATCAACTGGGGCTTCTCTCTTCTGTTGGCCTGGTGGTGCAAAGTCTCGACGGGACTGGGCCAATGCTGAGTGGAGGAGGATAAGGGCCACTAGGACCATCAGAATGGCTTTGAACACATGCTTTCCCCATGGTGAACTGATGCTGGAGGCTGCCATGACTGGGTCTGCCAGGAGAGAAGCACAGTGAGCTGAGTGCCATGGTAGACACACTCACCCTCTCAGCTCTGATTATCCCAACATCCTTCTCCACCCCTACCCCAAGCAAGCACCAAACTAACCCTGGAAAGAAAGTGCTGTTAGCTGGGAGAGGAAGGACTGGGACTTCCAACTGAAGCTGGGCACAACCATCTGACTCACAGGTTCCTCTTTCACATTCTTTACCACTTGCATATTAATTAACCAGCAAGTATTATTCAACACTTTAGAGTTGGCGAGAAGATCTCTCTAAGGTTTGTGCCAGTTCTAAAAATCTGAAGGCCTGTCCCTGTATCTTAGGTGCTATAGGCATAAAAGTATTATAAGACTCTATAAAGGCTCTGTCCCAAGGAGCTTATAATCTACTTAAGATACAGCTGGTATAAAAAACAACTTAAAAATAGCACACAAGTAGGATTACTGCCATATAATGGTATAAAGAAAAGTGCTCAGTTATGTGCTCAAACAAGAATAACTGCACATATGTCATCTTCTCTGCAGGACCATCATGTGAGGTGGCTTTTATCCTCCTCGCCCCTACTGGTACAGACGAGAAGAAACTGTGACTCAGAAGTTAAGCATTTTCCCATGGTCACTGGGCTACACAGAAAGGCCAGGATTTGAACCCAAGCTTCTGCTTCCACCCATCTTCATTAGGAGTCAAGTTATACTGTGGGTCTCAACCATGGCTGCTCACTGGAATCACCTGGAAGCTTCCCAAGTACTGATGTCTGTGTCCCCAGCCCAGAGGTTCTGATATCATTGTCTGGGTGTGGCCTAGCCTTGGATCTGCAAAAGCTCCCTAGGCAGTTCCACTGCATGAAGTTGAGAACCACTGATACAGAGTGACCTCACCTCCCCACCCCCAATGGAGGTGCTATGGTTTGAAGAGCAAAACTCATGTTGAAATTTAACTGTTCTTGCACCTCCTGCAGAGCCTGGGAGCTCCCAGTCCAGCCAAGGATGTTGGATCTCATGGTCCTAAGTACTTCTTTGACACCCCATTCCCCTCAGTAAAATAGTTTGACCCCTTCTCCACCAAAAAAAAAAAAAAAAGAAAGAAATTTAATTGCCATGATGATGGTATTAAAAGGTGGGACCTTTAAGAGGTGATTAGGTTATGAGGGTTCAGCCCTCATGAATGGATTAATGCCGTTATCTTGGGAGTGGATTAGTTATCCCAGGAATGCAGCTCCTGATAAAAAGGATGACTTTGGCCTGATTTCCTGTCTCTGTCTCATGTGCTGGGTTCTGCCTTCTGCCATAGGATGACCCTTGCCAGATGCCAGCGCCATGCCCTTAGACTTCCCAGCCTCTGGAACTGTGACCCTAATGAATTTCTGTTCATTATAAACTACGCAGGCAGTGGCATTCTGTTATAGGAAGCAGAAAATGGACGAGGACAGTGAGCAAGGGTATAATGAACAACCTTTAAAGAAATACTATTAATAAAAAGCTAACATTCAGCTAGGTCTTGCCATGCACCACCGCGCTCATTTAACTGTCACAACAGCCCATCGGGTAGGTGTTGCTATTATCCCCCATTTTACTGAAGTAATTGAGGCAGGTTAAGTATTAACTGGGGAAATCAGCATTTGAATGTAGGTACTTCTGACATTGGACCCCTCATACACAACAACTCTGCTGTATTGTCTCCAACTAAGTCTCAGAAGTGATTTAGAAAGTCATACAGGCCAGGCACAGTGGCTCATTCCTGTAATCCCAACACTTTGGGAGGCTGAGGTGGGAGGATTGCTTGAGCCCAGGAGTTTGGGAGCAGCCTGGGCAACATAGGAGACCCTGTCTCTACAAAATAAATATAAATAAATAAATTAGTCAGGTGTGGTGGTGCGTGCCTGTACTCCCAGCTATTTGGGAGGCTGAGGGGGGAGGATCACTTGAGCCCAGGAGGTCACGGCTGCAGTGAGCTATGATCATGCCACTGTATCCCATCCTGGGCAAGAGAGCAAGACGCTTAAAAAAAAAAGTCACACAACAGATTATTCATGAGTTAAAATAAACTTGGCATCTACCAATCATCTCAGTGAATTACTGGTGAAAATTACCTAACAACTTTGTGCTTTGTGCTCTGGTCTTGTAACACAATGCCACAGACAAGTTAAGACCCAACAAGTGCCAACTCATTGAAGCAGGTAAGGATCAGCCAAGAAAAAGTACACAAGTTCAACTTCTACTTGCCACTGTGCTTGAGAAATGTCAGACAGCGCCAGCAAATTCCCTGTTCCCCTCCAGGTTCAGAAATGAACCTGTAGCTCCAGGAGTTTTCATGATTCAGACCTGATGATCAGAGGCTAAGCCATGCCCCTGAGGTAGGAGCAGTCAGGTTTTTGAACTTTTTGCAGTTACACAGGCACTCAGGGAGTTGACAATAAATCCAGAGCCATGAGGGATGGAGAAGGAAGAGAATGATGTCCTAGTCTTGCTTAGGGGGAAGGAGGAGAGTCTAGGAAAGGGTTCTAAAAATACTACATTTAGGGTACTTTTTGGTCCAGAAACAGCTGCTCTAAGCCCTTCCAGAAGCCTGGAGGGTCAAGCAAGGCTGAAAAACATGCAATTCATGTAGAAGGCCCTCAGGCTGGGAAAGCCTTCTACTGTCTTTGGCACAAATCAAGAACCAGATGGTTCCTGCCTGCCAGTGGTCGCAGATGAGGAAAGCACAGGTGAGTTCCTGAGCTATCTGGGTCATAACCATGTTGGGGACTTAAAAGAGCAGGGTTGCTATCTTGGGTTGGATCCTTTATCCAAGGACCTCCACCAGGAGGGATCAAATATCGTTTCCTCAGCCCTAGGAGGTCAGGGTGCCATAAGCTGCTCCTCCCACAGCAGCCTGCCTTGTTCTGTGCCAGCCCCAACTCTCCAGTGGCTGTCTGCCCCAGTTAAGGGGAGCTAGGAGACCTTGAAATAAGCCCTCTGCAGTGAGGCTGGCATCGTTATGCAGACTGATGTTCTGAAGTGCACCAGATACCAAACCTAACAGGATTGTGTAGTGTATCCTTTGGAGATAATGAGTGCAGAGATTGGCTGGCTGGTCTGCTTTTTCAAATTGTTTTCTTTAATAGGATTCCTTCTCATTTTTTTCCAGGTGAATCTCAGGCAGTATGGACTCACTGCTATTAGGCCTCCTCACTTTGGCCTAATCAAATAGTTTTACTAAAGGCATGGAAACAGTCTCAGCCTCTGAGAGGAGGAAGCATGTCTTAAAACTTCTTCACCTTCTGCAATGCCTGGCCTCAGACAAATAATAGGCACTCAATTAACAACTCATAATAATACAAATGTTATACATATCTATACATATACATATGTTATAATAATTTTTGTGTGGTGCTTTATAATTCACAGAGTGCTTATTGTTTCATCACTTCATTTAACTCTAACAACAATCTTTTAAGGTATTATTACCCTCTTCATCTTACTCAGAAAAGTATGGCTTAGAGAGGTTGAGTGACTTATCCAAGATCACACAGCAGAGCTGGGACTTGACTCCAGTACCCAGGATCTCAATCTTGCCTTTTTGCTTGTCCCATACCCGCATGCTGCCTTGATAGTGGACATAGTCCCTGCCCTCATGGAGCTGAAGTTCACCAACAAGCTCAAAGTGGAAGGACATCCAGACTCCTCCGAGGGAACACATACCAGGAGACCATCTGCCTTCTGGGCTTACAGGCCATGGTTTTGTACCAAGAGGTATGAGAGGACAGCAAAAGGTGGGAGACAAAACCTGCCACTTCTGTTCGGCAGCTGCAATATGGCTCAGGTGGGTCTGGAGAGCCCAGCCTGGCTGGGGAAACAGCTTTACTTATTGTGTTAGTGAGAAGGCGCCACTGCTTATGTTTAGCTGTGGTTTGCTACAAGGGTAGGATGGGGCATTTCGCGCCCCCCCCTCCCAATCAAGGCTCCTTCCTCCTCTTCTCTTTCCTTTTGTTAGTTTCATTTCATGCTATGAATCACCAGGTGGCAGGAGGGGCGGCAAAAAGTGCCCTCTACCGGCTCTGACTGTCCCGCCGCTGCTCATAGCTGCCCCTAAGGAGCGGCGGTTCTCAACTTTGGCTGCCCATCGGAACTGCCTGTGCAGCCTGTTAAACAAGGACGTCTGCCCCACCCAGGGCTACTCACTCAGACTCTTCCAGAGAGGGACTCAGCCCTTTGTTTTGCAAAGCTCCTCAGGAATTTCGGATGCATAGCCAGCAGCTCAGGGAAAAGTCTAAGCAAAGCTTCAAAAGTGCAGCAGTGTACAAAGGACCCCTGACTTCCGTCCCAGGCTCAAGTGTGCCACGGACTAGAAGCTACTACCTTACGCCTGTTACTTAACCTGCCTGAGTTGCAGTCTCCTCAAACGTAAAAGGGAGTGAACCCAGGTGAAGAGTTGCTGTAAGGAGTTAAGATATTTCTGCAGCAAGCGCTTTGTAAACTAAACATCTATAGAAATGTTGCAGCACACACATTACCACTGACTATATATCGTAGCATAATTTAGCAGTTTATCAACCTGCCTTCCCCAGTAGACCGAGCGACTCCCGGTTAGACTTGACATGTTGGAATCCCCAGCGCCTAGTAGGAAAGATGACTAATAAATGTTTATTAAATGAATATTAGCAACCTGCCAAGAAACCGTGAGGGTCGAACGAGAAAGCCATGGAGAGGTGAGGAGGGAGGTTATTTTAATAGTAGATCCAAATATACAGCAGCCACACGAGAAGCACAGCTGAGTCTAAAGGAAGGTCCTAAACAAGGCGAAGCCGCCACTGCAGAGAATGAAGTCAGCGCCCTGGCAGGTTGGGGGCAGCTCCCACTAAACCCCTGACAGCTGCTGCCCAGCAACTGTTTGGGGGCAGGGCGACGGCAAAGGGGCAGCTTCCCTGCCGCTCCGCGCCCTAACCGGGGCGCAGCCTCCCGGAGACAGGGTGTCAGTGGCATGTGCTATTTCGAACGGCGCGTCCCCTGCCAAGCGCTGAGGGGTAGCGTCGCTGGCAAGGAACGTGGCGCGACCCATGAGTTTGGGGCCCCCCGAAGGGCTCGAGCCGAGGCTGCAGGAGGCTGGGCCGTGGGTCGGGGTTCGGGGGCTCGGGCTTGGCGCTGGCCTGGTCCCCACGCCCGGGAGCCGCTCCACCTCTGCCGGACCTCGGAACCTCGCCGCAACCCTCTTCTCCCCGGAAACGTGCGCCTCCCGGGTTGCCTGGAAACGACGCCCCCGGTTGCATAGCAACGGGGATCCGGGTCCCCGGTTTGTTTCGCACGCTGGGCGCGCGGACCCCTCCCCACTCGGACTCTCCAGGCCTCGCGGCTCCGCCTGGTGCCGCCTGCAGCGGCTGCTGTCTCCCCTTCCCGTGCGCTGCCCCACATTCCGACCTCGGCCCGCTCTCACCTTTCTCAGGCCACTGCTATCCTTCACGTGCGACTTCGCTGAAACGCGCCACCAAACCCGCGCCTCAACTCGGGGCGCTGGTTTACCTTCTCCGCATGCGCAAGGCGGGATGAGCTCGGAGACTAGCCGGCCTTCCTCACAATCGAAGCCTGTGCCGGGAGCGCATGCGCCCCGCTTTATCTATTGCGTTTCTTTTTCCCCCCACAAGCATTCCCACCGAGAGAAGAATGGGATCGGAAGTTCCAGCAGGGAACGGAAGTCTCTGGCTGGAAAGGGGAAATAAGTGACTATATCTGGGCTGTAGAGTGGGTAAACTGGATCTTTGAAATCGGAGTGGAAGCTAATCCTCCTCTTGCCACCACTCGGCATTTTGGGTCATGTAGTTCTAGAGCTACAAATGTTCCCTGGGGCATTGTGGGCAATGTAGTTCTAACCGAGCCGCTAACGAGCACCTAGTCTTCCCATACACTTTTCGCGCTAAAAAGGCACAAAAGAGAAAGATATTAAAGGAGCAATTAAAAGCACACTGCTCTAGGAAAACGAATGCGCTCCCCCAGAGAGAAAATTCATACCTGAATACTGTAGACGGCTCCCAAATGTTAGCTCAGAATTTCAGAGAAAGAGAGGAACCAACTCTCACTCTCCTTTTTCTGCCACAAAGGCAGTGCATAGGGACAGGAGGCAGATAAATGCTAGGTAGAAAAGAGCGGGTCCCTGGTGAAACCCCACCCTCAAGCCAAAAAGCCTGAAACCATGGCCCAAAGTGAGAACTTCTATCCATGTTTTTCCAGTTGAATGTTGCCTTTTCCTAAGCCACCCATGGCTCTGCCCTGCCTCATCCTGTGCCTAGAAAGACCCCAGACTCATCTGGCAGAGAGGAGAAGCAGCTGGATGAGGGGACGACCATGGCTGGATGTCAGAGAGAAGCAGCTTGTCTTCAGAGGGACAGCTTAAGGCGTAACTTCTGAGACGAATCTGGCTGGAGATAGCTGGACTTCAAGGGAAGACTACATACCGGCCTGTCCCACCCCCCTCTTTTCAGCTCACCTTCCCTCTGAAATCCACTTTGATCAGCAATAAAATCCCAGGCATTTGTCCTTTAATTTGTTCGTGCAGCTTTATTTTTCTTGGACGCTGGACAAGAGCTCGGGAGCCACGAGTGCGGATACAAAAGCTGTCACGCTGGCCCTCTGCCCTTGCTGGTGGAGGGCAACCGCGGGCCCACGGAGCTGTTAACACTTAAGCTGTCCACGGACGACAGAGCCAAAAGAACACTGTAACATGCCCTCTGGGGCTTCAGGAGCCTCAGGCACTCTGCCTGGACACTGCCCCGGGGCCTGCACGGAGTTCGCTCCTGCCGGTGTCCAAAAGCGCACGCTCTGGCTCCTGCACCCACTCACCTGCACGCTCCCTCCTATGAGGGGTGGAACGCGGTGAATCTTGAGTGAGTGGAGTGTGATCCCACTGGTGCTGAAAAACGGCTGGCTTGTTCCAGCGCTTGTGCACTCCAGTTCCCGCCTTGTTCACTTGCGTACTCCCTCCCATGAGGAGTTGAGAGCAGCGGGCTGAGTAAACGGGGCACCCCTGTTGTGAGTCCTGTGAAAGGTCAGGGCAATATCCTGCTTCAGCAGCACCGTGAAGGAGAATGAACAGGGCTTCAGAATGAGGTGATCTCTTGCCTGTCGTGTGATCCTGAGCACACAGCTTCATTTCTCTGAGCCTTCATTGCTTGACGTTCAAGAACTATAAAGGACCTAAAAATACCACTTCACAGTAGGTGTGAAGTTTCAAGGAAGCAACAAGCATGAACATTAAAAAAAAAAAAAAAAATCCAGGTTGCTGACTGAATGTTTTTATCACCATCAAGAGCTGTCATAGGAGAGCTTCCTTTTGATGTTAAAACTTGTTTCTCAAACTCAACCCTCTAAAACGTAACTCTTCCCTCCCACCCCCAACCATTCAGCCTTCCAGTTCTGCCTTCCTCCTAGAGTACACACTCTGTAGGCTCCCAATCTGTCACCTCACCCAGTTGTTTCTTTCCATCAGATGTTCCTCAGACACATCCATCTTCATCTGAGCTCTTGTCACTTCCTGCCCCTCAGCTAAGAGTCCTTCTTCCAGGACAGGCTCTGGTAGCATCCTAAACCTCACCTTCCAGCTTTTCTAACAGTTTCAATTTTACATTTGCTTGTGCGATCCTTTCTGATGTCTAAGATTAACAATCTCAGGTCACAGACTTTCCTGGGAAAGAAATTTAACCTTTTTTTTTTTCTATGACAAATTAATTTCTTTTCAACTCTCTTTTCCATGTGGGTAGTAGAAACAGTCTCAGACAGTTCAGGGTTCTTCCCATCCTTGATTTTCAGGTCGTAGACACCTTTTGGAAAATGAATATAGGGCCAAAGTTGGGGGAGAAAATGTATCTAATCCTGGCCGGGGGCAATGGCTCACACCTGTAATCCCAGCACTTTGGGAGACTGAGGCAGAGGGATCACTTGAGGTGAAAGAGTTCAAGTCCAGCCTAGCCAAAATGATGAAACCCTGTCTCTCTAAAAATACCAAACAAAACTAGCCAGGTGTGGTGGTGTGTGCTGTAATCCCTACTCAGGAGGCTGAGGCAGGAGAATCACTTAAATCCAGAAGGCAGAGGTTGCAGTGAGCCAAGATCACGCCACTGCTCTCCAGCTGGGTGACAGTGAGTGAGACTCCATGTAAAAAAAAAGAAAAAAAGAAAATTCATCTAATTATCAGTGTCAGTTGTTTAAGCTGGCAACTTCTCCCTGACTAATCTTCTGTCACTTATCCACACAGATTGCTACTGAAGATACCTGGGAAATTAAGCTTCTTTTGGGTCTTTGGCCAATGTGTCCCCATGCTCCCCAGGCAGCAACAGCAGCTTTGGTCTGGGAGGAACAAGGCATAGAGTTCCTTCCTCAGGGACCCACCAGCACCAATGCATATATCTCTTTTCCCTTAACTCTCCCTGTTTCTCTGAAACCAAGTGCCCTGAATTTTTTCTATTCCCTGTGGGCTGGCTTATGAAACGGAAAAGCCTTGACAGGACTTCCTTTTTCCTGCATCCTGCTATCATAGCCATAAACTCCCCAGTAGAGGGACACCTCTGGTTTTGCTCATTGTGATACTACCAACACCTAGTATCGTGCCGGGCTGACACGCTATGGGTACTCAATAAAGATTGGTTCAACAATTAATTACTGAGTCTCCCTCCTTCTAGTCTGTCCCACTCCAACCCATCCAGTAAGTGTCTTCCAGAGGAAACTTCTGAAAGTATGGTTATCACTCCATAGCTCAAATGCAAACACATGCTGTTGTGCTGCCAGCCCAATCACCACCCAAGTTTTACCACCTTGGGTTCAAGGCCTCTCCTAAACGGATCCATTTTATTTCCAACCACACATCCAAGTACAGTAGTTGAGATGACTGGCCTGTCAGGCAACCTGTCTTCCAACCAACAATCATCATAAAGTTCCTGCTATGTGCCAGGCACAATGTGGCACTCTTACACTCTTGAGAGCAAGAGTAACCAGAACAATTATGGTTCCTGCCATCATGAAGTTTACAGTCTAGTGAAGAACCCAGACATCAGATACTTATAAATAGATAATTAAATGATTACAGTTCTTTGAAGTGGTTTGGAGGACAATCACAGTTTGCTGTATGGACTAAATTTAAACCAGGGACCATGAAAAGGGCTCCAGAGGAAGTGACATTTAAGGTGAGACTGAAGTTTACATTGGAGGGTTTGAGACAGGAGGGGGAAGAGGGAGGGGGGAGAGGACAGTGATCCAGGCAGAAGTTCTGAAACCAGCCAGCGCGGGTATGTTTGAGGAACTGAAAGGCCAATGTGGCTGGAAAGAAGATAAAGTGAGACTGTGATGGTCAGCATGGGCCAGATGGTGCAAGACTTACGGGCAAGTTTCCTCAGCCAGAAACTCTCTCCCTCATTCATGGCCTCAGGAATGACCCCTGGTTGGGGCTCAGAGAATGATACCCCAAAGTATGGTGCTTTAGTATTGTTTCTGAGCAAATAGGCTCACTGCCTGATGCACATAGAAGCCAATACTATGGTACCAGCTTTTGAGAACAGAAAGGCTTTATTGCAGGGCCACCCAGCAAGGAGACTGGAGGCATGGCTCACATCTGTCTCCTAATTTGGGGTCTGGGGCAAGATTTAAGGGGTCAGAGGGTGATATGGTTTGGCTGTGTCCCCACCCAAATCTCATCTTGAATTCTCACATGTTGTGGGAGGGACCCAGTGGGAGATAATTGAATCATAGGGGCAGGTCTTTCTTGTGCTGTTCTTGTGATAGTGAATAAGTCTCATGAGGTCTGATGGTTTTGAGAAACAGGAGTTTCCCTGTACAAGCTCTTTGTTTTTGCCTGCTGCCATCCATGTAAGATGTGACTTGCTCCTCCTTGCCTTCTGCCATGATTGTGAGGTTTCCCCAGCCACGTGGAACTGTAAGTCCAATTAAACCTCTTTTGTAAATTGTCCAGTCTCAGGTATGTCTTTGTCAGCAGCGTGAAAACAGACTAATACAGATGGCAAGGAAACGTATTAGGAATTTTGGCTTGGCAGGGTCTGATTGGAGGGTGTCAAATTTGACTACACGGGTATGTTGAGGTGGATTTTACCCCTGGATCTTTCTGGTCAACAGACCCTTTGCTCCTGAAAGAGTTCCAGCATTTAGGTTCCGATCATGTCTAGGTCTTCTTGGTACCACAGGGAGGAATCATTGGTTCTGGGTGTTGTTAGATGTCAAAGCATTTTCTATTGGGCATGCCCTACTGACATGACTTGGAGTTTTGGCTCTGTCATACCTACAAGAGAACATGACATTCTGTTATCAAAAGAGTAGGCCCAGTTTGGATTGGTCCTGAGGTTACAGCATGCTGAGCACTTTTGAATGAAAAGAAATGGGAAGGTCTTAGAAGCTGCCTTAGAACCAAGGACTTTCTAACCTTCTCTTGCCCCCTGACCCCCACCCTAAGTACAGGGAGAAGCTCTCTCTAGAAGTTCCCTTATCTGACTGAGAAAATTTCTTTCAGAAGAAATGCAATTGTCTCAAATCTCCCTCCACAGGAAACTCATCAAATAACCAGGAAAGATTAACCACTGGAGAAGAATAAAAACTAAAAGTCACCAACTCACCACTACACCTAGAGAGACTTTTAATCTATTCTTCTGATGGGAGCTCTAACAGATTACCTGAGAGACCTTATGTGCATAATAAGACAACCTTTGTTCACAATGGAGTTCTGCCCCTCACCTTCCCACAATTTGTTGCCACCTCCTCCAGAGCTCATAAGAACTTTGTCCCAAGGCATTGTTTGTTCTTGGGGCTCATTCATTTCCCCTAAAAATTATTTGCTAGCCCTCCCTAAAAATTATTTGCTAGCCCTCAAAATTGCCTACATTTCCCCCATCTCCGTCTTTCCTGGGTGCCATTTAAGTAAGCATCAGCCACCTGTTCCTTCTTTGAGCCTCATATTTTGTATTACTCCTGTGCACACTCACACACTAATACACTTGTATGCCTTTTCTCCTGTTATTCTGTCGATTGTCAGTTAATTTCAGCAAATCTTTAGAGGGCAGAGGGGAAACTTTTTTGCTCCATACCCTCATTCAGTTCTCAGCAAAAAAATCAGCTCCTCAGTGATGCACTCTCTAAGTGCCCTGCCTCAAGTAGCCGTTCCTCCAATCCCCAGCACCTCTGTCTACCTTGCTCTGATTTGTTGTATTCATAGCACTTACTACTCTGGAATTTTCTTCTTAAGTGTTGATTGTCTCTGTGCTCCCACCACCCACAGTAGAGTGTAAGCTCCAAGACAGCAGAAACTGTGTCTTTCTTGTTGACCTTTTCTATCTCCAGTTTTTACAATAGGGCTTGGCACATAGGAAGCACCCAATCAATATTTGTTGGATGAATGAAATGCCTGGGGAATAACATGAATAGATATTTCGTTCAAAGTGGATCACTGTCTGCTCTGTGGAAAGTAGATTAGGAGGAGGAGGCCAGGCTGGAAGCAAGGAACAAGTGGGAAGTTACTTTGTTGGTGCAAGACAGAGATGAGATGCCCTTTTGCATATTAACTCTTCATAAGAGTTCAGTGAGTTAGTTCTACCCTTGTCATCACTCCCTCTGTTTTACAGATGAGGAAACTAAGGCATAGAGAAGTTCATACTGCCAATCACCTGAGTGGTGCTAGGATTTGAGCACACAGTCTGACTTCAGAGTCCATGCTCTTGGCCACTATGCCATATTGCCTTTTGTACCTGTAACTTTTATTTTTCTCTCCAAGCTTTTGCTTACGTTGTTTCTTCTTCCGGAATGCCTTTCGTTCTCCTTCTCCTCTGAATACTGCCCACCTGTCAAAGTCCCTCTCACTCACATCCTGTTCATCCTGCCCTTTTGTCTTGATACCTTACAGTCCACACCACGTCTTTTGCATGATTCCTGAGAGTATCTTATCTTACAGATATCCACAAAGAATCATACACTATCTGAGCTGGAAGAGAAATAGAAAATACAAAATCCAAAATACAAAATAAAGAAATTTATAGGAGGCCATTGGTTTGGACTGAGCTCTTCTGCTAGGCCTAACAGACCAAGCTAAAAAGAGTTAGTCCTGCTGAAGCTCCACGCCAATAAGCTGAAACGAAGATCTTTACGACCTTCTGAGTGTGTATGTGTGTGTGTGTGTGTGTGTGTGTGTGTGTGTGTGTAGGGGGGAGCTAAATTCCCAAACAGGCAAGTTTTAGGTGGCATGATAAGTCCCCTCCACTTTAACCTTTACAAGAAAAGTAATTTTGAAATTACCAAATGACCAATCCGCTTTTTGTTCTCTGTTCCTGTTTTCCTCAGTCCTTTTCTGTCTATAAAACCAAGTTCTCCTGTTCAGCTCATTGGAACAACCATTATATTTTATAGTATGAGGCACTGCCCAATTCTATAGAATCGCACCTTAAGTCCCAGCTACTCCGGAGGCTGAGGCAGAAGGATCACTTGAGGCCAGGAGTTCCAGGATGCACCTGTGATAGCCATGATTGCTATGACCGCACCTGTGAATAGCCACTGCCTTCCAGCCTGGGCAACATTGCCAGAGTCCGTCTCTTAAGAAAAAAAAAATCTTTGAACTAAGTTTGTTGTGATTTTGTCTTTTGACAAAGAAGAAAGGGCAATGTGAATTGCCCCAAATCACAGAGCGAAATGGTAGTAGTCAGGACCAAAACACTTTCTTAGCCGTTTTCTTAGTTCTTGTACCCATCTGTTTCTGTATTTTCTTCACCAGGCCATCCAGCAGTGTCTCTTAAAGGGTAGCCCGAGAAACAACTGACTTAGAAAAGCGTGGGGCACAGTCTGTCTACGCAGACCCGAGGAATCTGCATTTTAACAAACTCACTGGGAAATTCTCGCGCACGCCAAGGTTTCAAAGACCAGGGTCCCGTGGCACAGTGCCGCACAGTTGTCAAAACAAGTGCTGTCCAATTGTTTTGGTTTTAAATTCTCACTGCGTCATGGGAAATGTAGTTTCGAGCCTCCTCTCTCCCGACGCCCCAGCCAATCCTCCGGCGCTTTACGGAACGAGCCGAGTCAATCCGGAAATAACCGAGTGTTCGTGGCGGGCCCTTTCCTGCCCGGCTGCATTCTGGGAAAGGGCAATTTCCGTTAGGTGCTGAAGGCTGTGGCGCGCGGCTGTCCCCATTCCCACGTGAAGCGCTACGCTAGCATCGCTCGGCTGGCGGCTCCCAGCTCGCCGCGGAGCAGTCCCGGCAGCAGCGGGGGACCGGAAGTGGCTCGCGGAGGCTCAGAAGCTAGTCCCGGAGCCCGGCGTGTGGCGCCTCGGAGCACGGTGACGGCGCCATGTCCCTAATCTGCTCCAGTGAGTGTTGGCTGCGGCCAAGCGCGGGTCTCAGGAGGCCAGAGAGCGGCGCGGGAGCGTGTGCGGTCCGCTGCGGCGCCCGGGCCGGGGTGGAGGCGGGAATGGGGCGCTCCGGAGGCCGAGCGGCGGCCTGTCAGCACCGGAGCCCCCCCCGTCGGAGCGGGGTGCATTTGCGCAGTGCCCCGCAGTTTACATAGTGCCTGAGGTTTATTGTCGCAGACATTACTGAGGCCGGTCGCCTCATTCTACAGAGTGGAAACAGGTCTGGACAGAGAGAGCTGGTGCAAGGGAAGCAGCCTTAATGTAGGAGTCAGAAAACTCGAGGTCTTGTCCAGGGTCCGCCTCCCATTGGCTTTATGAATTGGCTCAAGGCTCTGGGCCTCGGTTTCCCCATCTGCAAAATCGAGAGCATTGCAGTGGATGTTTTGCGAGGCCTCGCTCGGATAGTCGGAGCTTTTGCAATTTGCAAAGGTCACATGATGAGTTAGAGGTAGAGGCAAGGCTGGCAGCCAGGTATCTGGCTCCCAGCCTTACACTGTATGACTAATAAAAACAGCGCACATTTATAAGCCCTTATTGGTTTACAACGCGCTTCCAAGTCTATGATCTCATTTTATCCTCACAAGAATTCCCTAAAGGAGAAATAAAGATCCTGGTTTTGCAGATGAGGATGCAAGGCGCAGGAAGAGCGGGGCTTATCTAAGGATGCGTAGCTAGTCAGTGGCAGAGCTGGGTGACGTAGTTAGGTGACACGGATCTTGGACCCTGAATCCATGCTTTTTTCATACCTTCCACTATCTTTCCCTTTGATATTTTATCATGACGTACAGACATTTTCCTTTCCCTTTTCGTTGTTTCATCAGATTACTCGTTTCCCCTCCCTTTTGCTATTCACTTCCTTCTCTTCTCAGAACCTGTACATTGATCCAAAGAGGGGGAAGAAGGAAGGGAAATGATGGAAAAGGAATCCCTCACTTTGAAGAAATTACAGCTCGCAAAGTACCTTCACATTTATTGTTTCCTTCCAATCTTCGGGAAGCTCTCTTTTACGTTCCCCAGCACCATCCTTCCTGGCATGGTTCACTCATTTGTTAGATGTTTACCGAGTGCCCTGGGGGCATCTGCATTGTACTGGAAGTGAGAGACCAGCTGTAATCCTTATCCTCAAGGGGTGCACAGTCTACGCAGGCAAGAGTGTAAATGATACCTCTATTGCGGGTTGTTGTGAAGATGAATTACTGTACTGTATGCCTAGAATTGTGCTTGGCACATAGAAATGTGCCATGCAAATGTGCCATGTAAATATTTTTAAATATTTTTATTGTAGCGATTGCCACTTTGCTCCTTGGAATCTTCCAGGTGATAAGTGTCTGTACGCTAATCAGTTGACTGGTAGCTGGTAGACTCAATAGCTTCAGGATGGGGACTGGTCACCTAGGAAGACTAAAGGGTATTAGAAGGTTGGGATTTTCAGTCCTACCCCCCATTTACCTGGGGAAATGAGAGGAACTGAAGTCGTCACTAGTGACCAGTGATTTATTGAATCATGCCTTTGTAATGAAGTTTTCATAAAAATACAAAAGGACAGGATTCAAAGAGCTTCTGTATAGCAGAACATGTGGGGGTTCCTGGAGGGTGGGGTGCCCAGGGAAGGCATGGGAAGCTCTGTACTTCTCCCATACCTCATCCTATGCTCCTCTTCATCTGTATCCTTTGTAATATCCTTTACAATAAACTGGTAAACATAAGTGTTTCCCACAATTGTTTGAGTCACTGTTGCAAATTAATTGAACCCAAAAAGGAGGTCATGGGAACCCTGATTTACAGCTGGTAGATCAGAAGAACAGGTCAAACAACCTGGGGCTTGCGATTGGCATCTGAAGGGGCGGGGAGTCTGGTGGGACTGAGACCTCAACCTGTATGATCTGACACTATCTCCAGGTACCTGGTGTCAGAATTGAATTGGAGGACACCCAGATGGTCACATCTGAGGTCACAGAAGTATTTTGTTTTGTCAGAGAATAGGAGAAACTGAGTTTGTTATTCCTGTATTCTCAGACTTTATAATTTCTTTGATAATCTGTCTGGAGCTATAGACTAAGATGGATGGCAGGGATTTGAATGGCTTCATGTGTATCTCCATGTCATGGAGTAAACTGTATTCATAGAGTACACAATCATTGTTCAGATATGAGGTGGTGATAATGGACTGCTATTCTCTAGGTGCTTGGCACATAGTAGTTGTTAATAATTATTTGTTGACTATATGATTGTCAGATAGTCAGGAGACTATCTCCTCAGTCAGGAGACTAAAGGAAAAGGTAGTTCCATAGCTGGAAAGCATTCTGGGGCCAGTACAGAACTGGCTTAGGGTCAAATGTCTTGCTTTCTGCTAGTTGAGTGTGAGGATGCCTAGTCTTGTTGGGGCTAATAGCAGATGAGGAATCCTCTAGGCCCAAGATTGCCTTCACTCCAAGCTCACTACCAGCCTTTTCTCTACAGTCTCTAACGAAGTGCCGGAGCACCCATGTGTATCCCCTGTCTCTAATCATGTTTATGAGCGGCGGCTCATCGAGAAGTACATTGCGGAGAATGGTACCGACCCCATCAACAACCAGCCTCTCTCCGAGGAGCAGCTCATCGACATCAAAGGTGCCTATTGGCTGCCTTAGTCTAGGGCCATCTTAGCTCAGAGCCTGAGAGGATGGGAGGTGGTGCCAGTGCACTGGAGGAAGAGATGGTGGGCTGTTTATGGCTAAAAGGAAAAGATGTGATGGCGGGGGAGGCCCCTGGGTTATGTTCTTCATACCTGCTTTCCCTTTCGGCAGTTGCTCACCCAATCCGGCCCAAGCCTCCCTCAGCCACCAGCATCCCGGCCATTCTGAAAGCTTTGCAGGATGAGTGGGTGAGTTCCTGCAAGAGAATCAGCATCTTCCCCACTTGAAGAGAATGCATTGCTGGGTTAGGACTTGGGGGTAGGAAGGATGGAGCATTATTTAGAGGGTAAACTTTGTGACATCAGGGATTTGTTTTATTCTTCGTTGTATCCCCAGCACTGAGAGCAGCACCTGGTACATAGTAGGTGCTCTAGAGTTATGAATTGAATGATTGAATACATCCTGCAGGACTGTCTGGCACAGTGCCTGACACAACGAGGGCGATCAATAAATAGCAGCAGCAGCAGTGTTGTTATTCTCTTTTAGAGAGGGGACGGCATGACAGCTGGGATTTGCCAGTAAGTTAGGGAAGGTGGGGATGGGAAAGAGCTGGCTCCCACTCCTGTCTGTGTGCCCAGTGGTTCGCTTGGGGTAGGAGCTCAAGAGTGTCTGCCGGCACATTCGTGTTTGCTCGGATATTGTTTGGGTCACTGATACTGGTCTAGGCTCTGGGATAGGAGGCAGCATCCCCTCCCCAAGGGCTGACTCCACTGGGTACTCCCTGCACCCCCCACCTCACCTTACAATGATATTTGCTTCTCCCAGGATGCAGTCATGCTGCACAGCTTCACTCTGCGCCAGCAGCTGCAGACAACCCGCCAAGAGCTGTCACACGCTCTGTACCAGCACGATGCCGCCTGCCGTGTCATTGCCCGTCTCACCAAGGAAGTCACTGCTGCCCGAGAAGGTGCAGCCTCTCCCCTGCCATCCCCCACCCTGGGCTGGTTCTGCATTGTAATATCCCATTTCTAACATCGTCTTTTCTCTCAGCTCTGGCTACCCTGAAACCACAGGCTGGCCTCATTGTGCCCCAGGCTGTGCCAAGTTCCCAACCAAGTGTTGTGGTAAGTGTCCCCCTTCCCTTACCAGCAGCCCATTTGTGTACAGTGGCCCACAGAACTGTCCTTATGCAGGTGTCTTTGGTGCTCTGTGCCTCTCACCCTCACCTTTCTTCTCTTCAGGGTGCGGGTGAGCCAATGGATTTGGGTGAGCTGGTGGGAATGACCCCAGAGATTATTCAGAAGGTAAGTCCTGCTCTCACCTGGTGGGAGTGCTGATGGGCCCTTACTTTTCACCATCTGTCTGGAGTCCATCGTGACTAAAATCACTGTGCTTTTGGGAGTTGAGTGGTGCAGAGCATGGACCCTGGGACCAGATTGCCTGGGTTTGTATTTTGATGCCACTACTTGTAAGCTTTATGACCTTGGCTTACTTAGCCAACCCTTACGTGTCTCATTTCCCTAGCTTCTAAACTGAGAATATGATCATATCCACTGTATAGGCAGGCTGTGGGAATTTAAAAGATTTCATTACTGATAAGTGCACCTTTTAGCTCTTATTGTTATTGAGATTCTTTGCAGATAGTAAACTACTTTTATATATTTTCTTGTTTTTTTTCTATGAGGGCAATAGGATAGGAATTATAATCCTTATTTTGCAGATGAAAGACACATCTGAGAGGCAGAGCTGGGCTTCCTGATTGCAAGTCCAGTGGGATTCTCATTTGCAGGGCTTCTTAGTGTCTTTCTGAGCAGTTCAAATTGTCAGCATGTGTCTGAGCCCTTGGCTTAGTGGCGTGTAGACCTATGGGAGCTCTACAGTCCTAGCTTCTATTCTTGCTCTGCTGTTTATCACCTCTGCGACCTTGGGCAATTGACTTCACTTCTCTGAGGCTCAGTTTCCTCAGCTGTAAAATAAGGTCATCAACACCCCCCTCATAAAGCTGGGATGGAAGTAAGAAGAGAGAATGCCTTTAAGCCTGTAACGTAGAAGTTGGCAGATAGCAAGTTCTTGGTGCTGCTTTTGAAAGCACAGGTGTGACCAGCATCTAATGTACTTTTCTCCTTGCAAGATGATTTGTCTCACATTGAGCCTGTTCTTCCCCAGCTTCAAGACAAAGCCACTGTGCTAACCACGGAGCGCAAGAAGGTGAGTTCTCTTTCTGAAGCCTGGAGAAAGAGCTGGCCTGGTGGGAGGCGGTTGACTCCTTAGGAGAGAGAGGGCGGCTGAATCTTGGATTCATTGCTGCTCTTCTTTGGGGGCTTTTCATTTTCTCAGAGAGGGAAGACTGTGCCTGAGGAGCTGGTGAAGCCAGAAGAGCTCAGCAAATACCGGCAGGTGGCATCCCACGTGGTGAGTGTCTGGGTCTCCACTGTCTTGGAGACAGCCCTCCCGTTTTGTTTCTGGGGTGGGCGGGCCAGCATGGGGAGTGCTGAGTGCAGAGCTGTCCCAGGTTCCTGGCGCTGTTCCTGGTGCTGTTTCTCGCCTGGGCTGCTGAGTTGTCAGGGCTCCTCTTTCTGCCCAGCTGTGGGTTTCCTAGTGATGCAGTGAGGGAGTTACCGTACCAGGCAGATAGCCAAGAGGTATGGATAAGGAATAGAAGTAACTCTTGCTCCCCTGAGAACATGGGTGACTGGAGATGGCAGTAGGGGAGGTCTGTGGCTTTGTGGCCTGCTGTGATTTGGCCGTGACAGGGTTTGGTGTGTCTCTCTGCAAAGGGGTTGCACAGTGCCAGCATTCCTGGGATCCTGGCCCTGGACCTCTGCCCGTCCGACACCAACAAGATCCTCACTGGTGAGAGTCTGGGCCTAGCCCGGCAGGCCAAAGTGGGGAGGGGCAGCAGGGAAGGCGCATGCTCCTTGTCCTCTTCATGGGCATGGGAACAAAAGCATTTCCTTGAGCAAAAGGGCCTGGGTGGGCCTGACTCATTGTTTGGTCTTTTTGGGTCTTCTCCAGGTGGGGCGGATAAAAATGTCGTTGTGTTTGACAAAAGTTCTGAACAAATCCTGGCTACCCTCAAAGGCCATACCAAGAAGGTCACCAGCGTGGTGTTTCACCCTTCCCAGGTAAGGGGTTCTCCTCGCCACCCTTGGTTCTTCTTTCCTTGGCTGTTGTTTGTCCCTCACCCCGCTGCTGTCTCTGTGAAGTGGGGCTGGGAAAGAGCTCTGACTCTGACTCCTGAGTGGGCACTTGGAGGGGCTCACTTTGGAGTTGTGGAGATTGCCCTTCACTCTGCGTGAGACCTTCTAAAGCAGTGATCTTCCAGCCAGGGAGAGAACGGAAATGTGTAGTTTGACAAGCATATTCATTGAAATATTTCATATTAGGGAAAGAAAAAATCTTATAGTGTTCCTAATATAAACTACAGAAAACAAAGCTCAACACAATCTCAACTCACACTTACGAGGAGGACAGATATATCTGCTTTCCCATGATCCTCCAAGATGGGTAAAAATCATGTTGACTGTTGAAAGTGGTGTAGGTTGTAAACAGAACCTCTGGTTTACAGGGTAAAGGTAACTCATGGGACCAGATTAATGATATTATGGGATTCGAATTTTAAGCCTAAGACAGTTTGGGTTTGGGGCTGCAGGACATGGTTGGTTTAGTGCTTCGCAGTCAAGATTTCCCTTGGACCTTAGGGAAATGAGAAATATAAGAATAACATGGTGAATTTTTCATGACTAAATTTGTTCAAATTGAGAGCACTGTTTTCTTGCTTATGGGGTATTAATAGTTAGGTCTCATGAAATTGTATTGATAAAAAAAGATGGTAGTTATTTTTACCTTATGGCTTTTAATATCCTAACTAAACAAAAAATTGGTGAGTGACGCGAAATTCTCTCCCTGCCCCAAATCTTTTGGAAAATTAACTTACCCTGGAAATCCATAAAAGTGGAATGCACTGAAATACAGCCATGCAGCCCCTTCCAGTCCCAGTACTGCTCAGACCTGTGCCATACAGTACAGTAGCAGTTAGCTGCATGTGGCTATTTAAATTTCAATGAAATAGAATAAAAAATTCAGTCCCTCAATTGTACTAGCTACATTTTTCCTTTGGTCCTGGAAATGGGAAAATTGCTCTCTGTTGCAGTTAGCCTTTTTACCACTAGATGGCGAGGACGCCTCCACAAGCCCTGATGCTGTATGAGTTAGCACTTTAATAGCGTTTACCATTGGCTGTCTTGGGCACCATTGGGTGGATAGGTGGTTCCAGGGAGGGCAGAGCTGAAAGGAGAAGCAATTGTTGGCAGTTGTGGGCATCCCCAGCCCCGTTTTATAAGATTGTTTTGGTCTGTATCTCTTTTCTGACTCTGATATTCTGTCTTTGTTTTCCTTGTAGGACCTGGTGTTTTCTGCTTCCCCCGATGCCACTATCAGGATTTGGTCGGTCCCCAATGCCTCTTGTGTACAGGTGGTTCGGGCCCATGAGAGTGCTGTGACAGGCCTCAGCCTTCATGCCACTGGCGACTATCTCCTGAGCTCCTCCGATGATCAGGTGCGGTCCCAGCCAGTGCCCTGGAGAGGCCTGCTGGTCCCCAAGCTTGAACATCCTGGGTGGCAGGAACATCTTCCCACCCCAGCTGGTTCCCCAGAACCTCAAAGGAGAATGTTTGCCAGGGTTTGCCAAACCAGGGGCTCTGTCTTGCTGAAGGGCCACCAGAACCTGGGACCCACTTTCTCACTGACTCCATTGTCTCTTTTTTTTTCCCCAGTACTGGGCTTTCTCTGACATCCAGACAGGGCGTGTGCTCACCAAGGTGACAGATGAGACCTCCGGCTGCTGTAAGTTGCCTCATAGGCACTCAGCTTTTTTGTTTGCTGTTTATTATTTATTTTTACATTTTATTTAGTCATTTGTTTATTTGTTCTAAAGATATATTTACCATGAGCACCTGTCTAGTGCGGGCTTTGTGCTGGGTTCACTGAGGAATGTGAAGAACAAGGAACCTACCTTTGCTGCTCTTAGTCTCTCTCCCTGGTGGGCTCTGACCACAGGTCTCTCTTCCCTCCTCCACAGCTCTCACCTGTGCACAGTTCCACCCTGACGGACTCATCTTTGGAACAGGAACCATGGACTCTCAGATCAAGATCTGGGACTTGAAGGTAGGACATGGTAGGCCTCCATCTGAGGCCCAGGGCCAGAGGGAGTGTTTGTGACAATGCAGTGCTAATTAGGTGCTTGTGGCACCTGGCCCTGAAGGTGGAGAGACACTGGCTGTGCGTGTGTGATATGATGGTGTGGTCTGGGGGGTCCCGCTGGCTGTCCTTCCTGGAAGGACGTGAGGGACATCTCAGGTAGGAGTTTGGTGAGCCCCATTTTCTTCCTCTCATGATCTGTGGGTGACGTATTTTACTACCCACCGCCACTGTAGGAACGTACTAATGTGGCCAACTTCCCTGGCCACTCGGGCCCCATCACTAGCATCGCCTTCTCTGAGAATGGTTACTACCTGGCTACAGCGGCTGATGACTCCTCTGTCAAGCTCTGGGATCTGCGCAAGCTTAAGAACTTTAAGACTTTGCAGCTGGATAACAACTTTGAGGTGTGCCCTTCCCCCTCCGCCCAGCTTTCCATTGTGTCTCCTTGTTTGTCAATTATTTATTGAATTAATCTAATTGCTTCTGCTTATCCGCAACTGCCCCATAGTTTCTGTTCCCCTTGTGTGACCTTCTCTCTTTCTATTTCTGGCAGGTAAAGTCACTGATCTTTGACCAGAGTGGTACCTACCTGGCTCTTGGGGGCACGGATGTCCAGATCTACATCTGCAAACAATGGACGGAGATTCTTCACTTTACAGGTAGAGGCTGGTCCTGGGCTCCTGGGATCTCTCTAGGTGCCCAGGCCCGGAGGGAAGCCTCACTGGGTTAGGAATTTCTAGGGCTTGCATGAATTTACCTAAGCAGCTTTCTGTTACCACCTGAGGCAGAGCTTTATGACTAAGGAAGCAACTGAGTCAGACTGCATGGCAGTAGATGCTAGTGCTTGTTCTGCCACTTCCATGCCCTGTGGCATTGGGCAGGTTACTAAAGGGAGAGAAAAGTCCCTCTGAAGTTTTGATAACTGAATCTAAAATAAATGAACATTAGACAGTGACAGGAGGAGAGCCATTTTAATTACGTGCATATGCACGGGAGGCCCACATTATATTAGATCTGCAGAAGGGTCAGATGATTGAAGCTTATACAGTTTATATATCACTTAATAATGGGGATATGTTCTGAGAAATGTCTTGTTAGGTGATATCGTCATGTGCGACCATTGTAGAGTGAACTTACATATATCTAAATGGTGTAGCCTACTACACGCCAAGACTATTGCTATAACCTTAGTATAGTCTATTATTGCTCCTAGGCTACAAACCGGTACAGCATATTAAATGTAGTGAATACAATTATAACACAATGGTAAGTATTTGTGTATCTAAACAAGTGTAAACATAGAAAAGGTTCAGTAAAAATAAGGTATAAGAGATTTTTTTAAAATGGTACACTGGTATAGTGCTTGCCATGAAAGGAGCTTGCAGGACTGGAAGTTGCTTTCAGTGAGTGAGTTGTGAGTGAATGTGAAGGCCTAGGACATTACTGTACGCTGCTGTAGACTTTATAAACACAGTACACTTAGGTTTTACTAAATTCATAAAAAACTTTTTCTTCAGTAATAAGCCTTAGCTGACTTTTACTTTATAAACTTAAAAAAATGGATTCTTTTGTAATAACATTTAACTTAAAACTAAAACACATTGTACAGCTGTACAAAAATATTGTCTCTCTTTACATCCTTGTTCTATAAGCTTTTTTCTAATTTTTTTATTTTTATTTTTTACTTTTTAAACTTTTCTTGTTAAAAACTAAGACACAAGCACACATTACCCTAGGCCTACACAGGATCAGGATCACCAACTGTATTAGTCCGTTCTCACACTGCTATGAAGAACTGCCTGGGTAATTGATAAGGGAAAGAGGTTTAATTGACTCACAGTGACTCGGGAGGCCTCAGGAAACTTACAGTCATAGCAGCAGGGAAAGCAAACATGTCTTTCTTTACATGGCAACAGGAGAGACAAATGCTGAGCAAAGGGGCTAAAGCCCCTCATAAAACCATCAGATCTCGTGAGAACTCACTATCATGAGAACAGCATGGGGGTAACCACCCCCATGATTCAGTTACTTCCCACTGGCTCCCTCCCACAACACGTGGGGATTATGGGCACTACAATTCAAGATGAGATTTGGGTGGCGGCACAAAGCCTAACCATAGCACCAACATCACTGTCTTCTACCTCCACATCTTTTCCCACCGGAAGGTCTTCGGGGGCACCAACATGCATAAACCTGTCATCTCCTATGATGATAATGCCTTCTTCTCGGATACCTCCTGAAAGGGCCTGCTTGGTGCTGTTTTACAGTTAACTTTTTTTTATAAGTGGGAAGAGTATATTTAATACCAAAAAAAGTATAGTATAGGCATACCTTGTCTTATTGCACTTAGCTTTATTGTATTTTATGGATACTTTGCTTTTTATAAATTGAAGGTTTTTGGCAACCTTGCCCCAAGCAAGTCTGTCAGTACCATTTTTCCAACAACATGTGTTCACTTTGTGTCTGTGTGTCAAATTTTGGTAATTCTTACAGTATTTCAAACTTCTTCATGATTTATTGTGTCCGTTAGTGATCTTTGATGTTGCTATTGTAATTGTTGGGCGGGGGGGCACCATGAAATGTGCCCATAAAAGTTACTGAATTTATTTGATAAATGAAATGCTGTGTGTGTTCTGACCACTCCACCCACCAGCCGTTCCCCATCTCTCTCCCTCTCAGACTTCCCTATTTCCTTAGACACAACAATATTGAAACTAGGCCAGTTAATAACCGTATTATGGCCTCTCGGTGTCCAAGTGAAAGAAAGTGTCCCATGTCTGTTACTTAAAATCCAAAGCTAGAAATGATTGAGCTTAGTGAAGAAGGCATGTGAAAAGCCAAATAGGCCAAAAGCTAGGCCTCAACACCAAATATTAGTCAAGTTATGAAAGCAAAGGAAAATTCTTGAAGGAAATTAAAAGTGCTACTCCAGTGAACGCACAAATGATAAGAAAGCAGAACATCCTTATTGCTGATATGGAGAAAGTTTCAGTGGTCTGGATAGAATATCAAACCAGCCACAACATTCTTTTAAGCCAAACCATAATCCAGACCAAGATCCTAACTCTTGAATTCTGTGAAGGCTGAGACAGGTGAGGAAGCTACAAAAGAAAAGTTTGAAGCTAGCAGAGGTTGGTTCATGAGGTTTAAGGAAAGAAGCCATCTCCATAACAGAAAAGTACAAGGTGAAGCAGCAGATGCTGTTGTAGAAGCTGCAGCAAGTTATCCGGAAGACCTAGCTAAGATCATTGACGGTGGGTACACTCAACAACAGATTTTCAATGTAGACGGAATAGCCTTCTATTGGAAGAAAGTGACATCTGGAACTTGCACAGCTAGAGAGAAGTCAATGCCTGGTTTCCAAGATGCAAAGATCAGAGTGATTCCCTTGTTAGGGACTAATGCAGCTGGTGATTTTACATTGAAGCCAAAGCTCATTTAGCATTCTGAAAATTGTAGGGCCCTTAAGAAGGTGGGGCTAAATCTACTCTGCCTGTGCTCTGTAAATAGAACAACAAAGTCTGGATGACAACACATCTGTTTACAGCATGGTTTACTGAATATTTTTTAAGCCCCCCATTAAGAGGTACTGTTCAGAAAAATAGATTCCTTTCAAAATATTACAGTGCACCTCATTACCCTAAAGCTCAGATGGAGATGTTTCATGCCTGCAACATCCAATCTTCGGCTTATGGATCAAGGAGTAATTTTGACTTTCAAGTCTTATTACTTAAGAAATACATTTTATAAAGCTATAGCTGCCCTGGATAGTGGTTCCTTTGATGGATCTGGACAAAGTAAATTGAAAACCTGGAAAGGATTCACCATTCTACACGCCCTTAAGAACATTTGTGATTCATGGGAGGAGGTTAAACTATGAACATAAAGAGGAGTTTGGAAGAAATTGATTCCAACCCTTCAGCCCTCATGGATGACTTTGAGGGATTGAGGACTTCCATGGAGGGAGTAACTGCAGATGTGGAGGAAATGGTAAGAGAATTAGAATCCAAAGGGGAGTCTAAAGATGGGACTGAATTGCTGCAATCTCATGTTAAAACTTTAATGGATGAGGAGCTCTTAGGGATGACCAAAGAAAGTGGTTTCTTGATGGAATCTTCTACTGGTGAAGATGCCGTGAACATTGTTGAAATGATAATGAAGGATTTAGAATATTACATAAACTTAATTGATAAAGCAGGTGCAGAATTTGAGAGGATTGATTCCAGTTCTGAAAGTTCTACTGTGGGTAAAATGCTATCAAACAGCATCCATCACAGAGAAATCTTTTGTCAAAGGAAGAATCAAATGATGTGGCAAACTTCTTTGTTGTCTTATTTTAAGAAATTGTCACAGCCACTTCAGCCTTCAGCAAACACCACCCTTGTCAGTTAGCAGCCATCGACATCAAGGCAAGACCCTGCTGGTGGGTCTTGGAAAAAGATGACAACTCACTGAAGTGTCTGATGGTTGTTAGCATGTTTTAGCAATAAAGTATTTTTGATTAAGGTATGTACATTGTTTACTAGACATAATGTTATTACACACTTAATAGACTACAGTATAGTGTAAACATAACATTTTTTTTTGAGATGGAGTCTTGCTCTGTCGCCTAGGCTGGAGTGCAGTGGCACGATCTTGGCTCAATGCAACCTCCACCTCCCAGGTTCTAGCACAGGTGGGCACCATCACACCCGGCTAATTTTTGTATTTTTAGTAGAGACGGGGTTTCCCCATGTTGGCCAGGCTGGTCTTGAATTCCTGAACTCAAGCGATCCACCTGCCTCGGCCTCCCAAAGTGCTGGGATTACAGGCATGAACCACCATGCCTGGCCAACATAACTTTTATATGTAGTGAGAAACCAAAAAAATTTGTGTGCCTTGCCTTATTGCAATATTTGCTTTATTGGTAGCCTGGAGCTGAACCAGCGATGTCCCTGAGATATGTCTGTACATAAACCAGTAACGTACTGTACCTAATTATGTTATACTTTTTTTTTTTTTGAGATTGAGTCTTGCTCTGTCACCCAGGCTGGAGTGCAATGGCATGGTCTTGGCTCACTGCAACCTCCGCCTCCTGGGTTCAAGTGATTCTCCTGCCTCAGCCTCCCGAGTAGCTGGGACTTCAGGCGTGTGCCACCACATCTGGCTAATTTTTTTTTTTTTGTACTTGTATTTGTAGTAGAGATGAGGTTTCACTATGTTGGCCAGGCTGATCTCAAACTCCTGACCTCGTGATCTGCCCACCTCGGCCTCCCAAAGTGCTGGGATTACAGGCGTGAGCCACCGCGCCTAGCTATATTATACTTTTATACAACTGGCAGTGTAGTAGATTTGTTTATACCTGTATCCCCACAAACGTGAATAATGCATTGCATTGTGACATGATGATGGTTATGACATCACTTGGTGATAGGAATTTTTCAGCTCCACTGTAATCTTATGGGACCAGTGTTTGTGTGGTCCGTCGCTGACATGTCATTATGTGACACATGACTCTATGGCATCCTGAACTGCAGAAGGGAGTAGGGGCCTAAGGCTTCTAGGGGGTGGTGGTGACACAAGTTATGTGGGGGGATGGGGAGGAAGTGCACTACAGAGTCTCTCAGGTAATAAAAGTTGTCTCAGAGCAGACCTTAGATAAATAATGCATGACAGTCTGTGACAAAGACTGGCATCTAGTCTTCTCTCTTGTGAGACCAGTTCATTTTCCCTGGTTGAGATTCCCAGGAAGGGGATTCATGATGTTCCTTTCAGATGACCTGCCCTTAGAGAAAGAGGGGCAAGAGACAGGAGGGCAGGACATGGTCAGAGAGACCTTGGTTCAAAGCCCTCAGCGTGCCAAACCACCATACTTTGGGGTATTGTTTTCTGAGATCCAATATTACTTAACCTCTCAGAAAAGTGGGAATGGTAACTATAGACTCAGTGGGGTTGTTGAGGTTTAGATGAAAATACATACAGGTGCTCCTTGATATACGATGGAGCCACATCCTGATAAGTGCATCATAAGCTGAAAATATTGCAAGTTGAACCATGGTAAATCGGGGACCGTCTGTGAATACATAGGTCAGAACGGTGTCTGGCACGTAGTCAGGATTTGCAGTTGTTCTCACTCAGCATTGGGTCTTAGTCTGTGGTGGGATAGAGCAGTGAATAAAACAGACCCGATTTGGGCACTGATGTAATTTATAGTCAGGTTAGTAAGGCAGATGTAGATTAATTTCACATGTACACATTTAATTGCAATTATAAGTGCTAGAGAAGAAAAGCATGAGATGCTGAGAGAATGGGTAACAGGGTTTCTAACCTAACAGTTATGTGGCCCTGGGTACGTGACTTTCCCTTTCAGATCTTGAACTCCTTCATCTAGAAAATGGGAATATTGGCACAGCTTTGCAGGGTGTGACAGCTGGTGTTGTGGAGATGGCATGCTAATATGCTGGTAACAGGGTGCCTGATGCTCACTTAAGATGCTACATGAATGGGAGCTACTGCTGTGTGTGTTGATGAAATTCTCGTCCTCATTAGCAGGTTGTGAGCAGGATACAAGATATTTCTTCTTGCCCCGTATTCTCCTGAGCCCTGCTCAGTGTGTTTGTATAACAAAGGTGTCCATCCTAACAATATGGCTCACCGGTTTTCACCCTGTACTGTACCTGGTGTTTTGATTTAGAACCGAGTTAGGTAGCTGAAAATACAGCGTGAGCTTTTTAATGGGGAGTTGGTTGACTCCAGGTGTGATCCTAAATCTAGAAGGAATTTGGCCAGATGTTCATGAATTTCTGGAGTCCCATGAGGAATGTTGCCCAGCCTCATCTGCCTCTTATCTGGTCCTGCTCTGTGTTAGGGGCCTGAGTGCCCTGGGGTTGGAACACTATGAGCTAGAAAATGCTGATGGACTGTTCCACTTACGAGCAAGTAGTGAGCACTAGGCATAAACAAGCTGAGCTCTGAGGTTTTTCAACTAAACCTAGCCGAACTGCAGTTGCCCAGAAAGCTCAGGTGAGAAGGGGGGGCTGGCATTGCTTTATTCATTCATCCCACCAGTGAAAAATGCCAGGCACTGAGGGAGGCACTGGGGGTAGTGTGCAGGTCAGCCTAGGGAAAACAAACAGGAGCCTGCGGTGTGATAAATACTAATTAGAGAAGGCCTGGTTGTTTGGGAATCTGTTATTAGGGATCAGTGTTCAGACTAAAGGAGGAAAAGCCTTCTCACAGTTGCCTCTTATCTTTCTCCTCAGAGCATAGCGGCCTGACCACAGGGGTGGCCTTCGGGCATCACGCCAAGTTCATCGCTTCAACAGGCATGGACAGAAGCCTCAAGTTCTACAGCCTGTAGGCCCTGGCCCTTCTGATGGAAGCTGGGCCTCATCTCAGTAGAGGGGTAGAATTAGGGTTTGGGGGGGGGGGTGGGGGGAATCTATGGGGGGAGGGGGCTCTGTGGGGTGGGACATTCACATCATTTCACTCTGGTCTGAGTGGTGGCCTGAGAACCATGGTGGCATGGACCACCCTCATCCATGCAACTCCAGGCCCCATGGGAACGGATGTGGAAGGAAGAACTGTCACCCTCTTAAGGCCCAGGGTCGGAGCCCAGGGCCTCTCCCTTCCTGTCGTTCAATGGACGTGGTGGTGGCTGTTCCACACCCATTTTGTTGCAGTTCCTGTGAGACAGGAGAGGCTGAGCCAAGGGAACTGTGAAGGGGATGGGCAGGAGGGCTTGTGCAGGGTTTTGTAAGCAGTGATCTAGTTTCATTAAAAAAAGAAAACAATAACCATAACCACCTCCCCGTGTCTGTCTGCACCAGGAGCACCTGGGACTGGGAAGGTCAAGGGGAGGGAGCACACACTGGGACACTGGCTTCCGGGAAGCCCATCTTCCTTTCCTTTCACAGCTCTTACCCTTTTTTTTTTTTTTTAATTGCACAGCAGAAATAAAAACAAATCTGCAGATGAAATTTGCCATGTCCCTGCGGTTCTTGACCTTGTGTCTAAAGGCCTCAAGTCACTAGTCCTGCCACTTGCCTTGTAGACTTGGTTTCCTACACAAGCCTGGAAGGGAGGGAGACCTGCAGGGAAGATTAGCTGGATCTTGCTGGTGGGGAGGTCTGAGCATCTCCATCAGGGTTCTTTAGTTGTAGGCTTTCTAGCCTGTCCTCAGCTGGCATAAGTCAAAAAGGAGATTTTTTTATTGACTCTGGCGATTGAAAAGCTGTGGTAGGACTGGTTTCGGGACAAAGATCTGATAATGAATGTGCCTTATAGGGAATTCCTGTAGGGTCACGTGACTGCTTTAGATTGCAGGTCAGGAAAGGCCTCTGAAGTGGTGGTGATGAAGCTGAAGCTGGAATGAGAGGGACCTGAGAGGGGAGGAGTGTTGGCAGGCAGAGAGCAGGTTCTAGGGCTGGACTGAGCGAGATATATGGAGGAACAGGAAGGAGGTCATGGTGGCAAAGTCGGGGGAACCATGGTGTACAGTCTGGGGTGATTGACAGTCCCCTGACAAGGGCCATCCCAGTGGAAGGTCGGGGCTGGCTGCCTCCCTGGAGTGGGGTAAGAGGATATGAGGTGAGGAAGTGTGGGAGTCAGTGATTATAGACAAAAAATAGTGCTGAGAAGGGGAGCTGAGAAATGGGGTGTTACCAGGAGGGGAGCTTTGGGGGCAAAGTATGGTAGGCCATATTGTGGACATAACAGGAGACCTCCAGGCATGTTTTGCTGGGGCAGTGTTCTGTTGTCAGGGAAGCTCGGCATGCCGTATCTGCCTGGGAGGGTCAGGATGCCTACTAGCTAGGGAAAGCTGAAAAACCCCACAGTAAAGAAACCACTTAACTTATACAAGTTGAATATAAACCATTTAACTTACACCAGTGTTTATTATTAAGAAAAGACCTGGGCCAGGTGCGGTGGCTCACGCCTGTAATCTCAGCACTTCCAGAGGCCAAGGCGGGCGGATCACGAGATCAAGAGTTCGAGACCGGCCTGGCCAAGAAGGTGAAACCCCATCTCTACTAAGAATACAAAAATTAGCTGAGCATGGTGGCAGGTTCCTGTAATCCCAGCTACTCGGGAGGCTGAGACAGGAGAATTGCTTGAACCCAGGAGGTGGAGGTTGCAGTGAGCTGGGATTGTGCCACTGCACTCCAGCCTGGGGGACAGAGCAAGACTCCGTCTTGGGGAAGAAAAAAAAAAAAGACCAATCATACAGTTCTCCCAAGGCAGGACATACTTTAAAAAAAAGTTAGGACAACTGCCTAGTTAAAAGGTGGGCTAACAACAGCTATGGTTTGCAGATGGTAGAATGGGTCACTCGAGTGGGAGAGGGTTGAGGTCGAACTCCCGACCTCAGGTCATCCGCCAGCCTCAGCCTCCGAAAGTCCTGAGATTATAGGCGTGAGCCACCACGCCCAGCCACTCATTTAATTCTTAAAACAACTTTGCCCTTGGCCGGGTGTGGTGGCTCATGCCTGTAATCCCAGCACTTTGGGAGGCCGAGGTGGGTGGATTGCCTGAGGTCAGGAGATGGAGACCATCCTGGCCAACATGGTGAAACCCCATCTCTACTAAAAATACAAAAAATTAGCTGGGTGTGATGGTGCATGCCTGTAGTCCCAGCTGCTTGGGAGGCTGAGGCAGGAGAATCGCTTGAACCCGGGAGGCAGAGGTTGCGGTGAGCTGAGATTGTGCCACTGCACTCCAGCCTAGTGACAGAGCGAGACTCTGTCTCAGAAAAAAGAAAACAACCTTGCTCTTTGCTGTCCAGCAACTCAGCAGATTCTTGGTCCCTGCATAGG